>NC_000008.11:10407457-10711939 GCF_000001405.40 Homo sapiens | reverse complement strand
AAACTCTTACATTTATATATAGAGAGAGAGAGATAGAGAGAGAAAGAGAGAGAGAGAGGAGAGAGAGAGAACCCTGACCAATACAGAAGGTCTCGCTCTTGTCACCCAGGCTGGAGTGCAGTGGCGCCATCTTGGCTCACTGCAGCCTCGACCTCCCAGGCTCAAGCGATCTTCCTACCTCAGCCTCTTGAGTAGGTGGGACTACAGGTGTGTGCCACCATACCTGGCTAATTTTTTAATTTTTTGTAGAGACGGAGTCTTGCTATGTTGCTCAGACCCAGGTCTTGAACTCCTGGACTCAAACAGCCTCCCAAAGTACTGGGATTACAGGCTTGAGCCACTGCTCACTTTCTAAATGTTAAGTTCTGTTATTCCATTGAATATCCGTTTCCAAAGAACATGTTTCCCATTCTGCTCACAATCATCCGATCCCCTCCCCACCCAGCCAGTCAGCCCTGGTTGGAAAGGCCTCTCTGGCAGCCTGGGACATAGGGATGCCCACTTTCAATTCCATGCTGGGTACCCAGGAGGGAAGTGACTTGTCTGAGGGTTACAGAGTGAGTCAGCAGCTTGGCCCCAGCTACCCCGAGTGCTGGGAACTGGCCCCGGGTTGGCCTCAGCCTCTGACGTGTGCCGTCTTGCTCAGGGCGGAAACCTGTCTTCCTGGGGAGGAGGGGCAAAGGCCCCGGGGTGCCCCTGGCCTGGAGATGCCTCCCTTTGCTAGAAACTGCACAGGAGGCTTGTGGTGGGCATTTTCCTAAGTGTGTCTCTCCTGTCCAGCTGGATTGTGGCCCTGCAGCATGTGGTCTTCCTGGTTCCTATGCCCCAAGGTGGAGCCCCATCCAGCTCACTGCTGAGGGGAAGGGAAGTGCGATTCAAAGGGGAGCGACCTAGGCCCAGTGCGCAGCTCCTCCACCTTGTTAGCTGAGACCCACATGAGTCACTGCATTCCCCTGAGCCCCGGCTTCCTCATTTGGAGGAATTGGGATCCTGAGACCCCCTCACCCAGTGGAGAGGTGCAATGACTTTCACACTGTGGTCAAATGACTCAAAGCAAGTGCTTGCTCCATAAATGGGCACTTTTCCTCCTGCTTTGTCCTGTCATTGCCCATCTTGGAATCTCAGAGGCTTCCTACCAACTGGACCGGAGCTCGGAGTCTCAGCCTCACATTCAGGGCCCTTGGCTGCATTCCCCCATTAATGATTGTTGGCACCAAGACAGGCTTGGTAGAGGGCATGTGACACCTTGGTAAGCACGTGGCGAAAAGACAGTAGGGCGCGCTGGGCAAAGGCAGCTTTGAGACAGGTCTCTGAGTTCCGATTTTGAACTTGGTGCACAGAAGCTCCCCAATTGCCCCCTTACACAGAAATTCTGGAACCCATGGCTTCCCCTGGCTACCCCCGGCAACGTGTCTCTGACCACTGCCTTTAACTACCTTCCAATCTCCTTCTGCAGTCAGCCTCTGCTTAATTCAGGGTTGGCCCTGCCCAGCCTCCCTCCCAGGCCCCCTGTCCCCAAGTCCTGACTCTTCTGTGATGGGGTTCTGCCTCTTTGTTGGGGGGAATGATCTCCTTATGGATTGAGTGTGGGATATTTTGGCCTCTGGACTTGATCAAACTCCTAGAAGAGTAGAACATTGATCAGTGTGCAGGGTGATTTAGGGAAAGGAGTGGATGGTTAGGTCTGCCGGGCCTGGGGTAAACTCCAACCAGTTACTTAGTATCTAGGGAACAACAGAAATTACCCAGTTCTTATCCATAAAATGAGGATAATGAAATGAAATGCCTGACCCATGGTAGATACTCAATATCAAGAGAGAGACTGCTTTCATTATATTATTTTGTATCCTCCTCTGTGCCTCACGCATTCCAGGGCTTCCACAAATGCTCATGAAATGTGGAAGCTGCCCACTATCAATGTGACAGCCAATGTGACCAACTGGGTCACTGTGAATGGCTGGACCATTGAAAATGACTGGATCAGTGTGAATGACCAGGTCAATGTGATCAACTAGATCAGTGTGATCAACCGGGTCAGTGTGATCGAATGGAACTGTGTGATTGACCAGGTCTGCATAATCGACTGGATTAGTGTGAATGACAAAGTCAGTGTGATCGACTGGGTCTGCATGATCAACTGGAAGAGCGTGATCAACTGGATCCATGTGATCAACTGGATCTGTGTGATTGACCAGGTCTGTGTGATTGACTGGATCAGTGTGAATGATGGGGCCAGTGTGATCAACTGGGCCAGTGTAATCAATTAGATCAATGTGATTGACTGGATCAGTGTGAATGACTGGATCAATGTGATTGACTGGATCAGGGTGAATGACTGGATCAGTGCAATTGACCAGATCAGTGTGATCAACTGCATCAGTAAGATCGACCGGGTCAGTGTGTTTGACTGTTAGTGTGATTCACTGGGTCAGTGTGATCGACTGGATCAGTGTGATTGGGTCAGTGTGTTTGACTGAATGAGTGTGATTGACTGGGTCAGTGTGTTTGACTCAATGAGTGTGCTTGACTGGGTCAGTGTGATCACCTGGATCAATATGATTGACCAGGTCAGTGTGATTTACTAGATCAGTGTGATCGACTGGATTAGTGTGATCGACCAGGTCAGTGTGATTGACTGGGTCAGTGTGATTGACTGGATCAGTGTGATTGGCCAGGTCAGTGTGGTCGACTGGCCCATGACTGGCACCAAAGCAGGCCAGCCTTTGGCCTGCATGAAGTGGGCAGTGCCACCCAGCGGCATTTTTGGACCCGAGTCTGAGCTCCTTTTCCACGTTGACAGCCTCACCCTGTTTATAGGGTCCCTTCTGTGCCCAGTTTCTGAAAAGTTTTCAAAAACTGCTTACAACAGTTTGGAGTGTGGCATTTTGGGGGATGAAGATTCACGAGGAACCCAGGAGGTTGAGTTTCCTATGGGAAAGGCCGCAGTCTTCACATGCCTTAAGCTTGCATTGAGGTGTGACATGGGGGACCTGGGTGGGAATCCAGACCCTGTGTTGCAACCTGCACTGCCAATAACCAAGACAGTGACTTTGGACAAATCCTCTTCTTCCCGTTTTCCTTTTCCTCAGCCAGAGGTGGCTGAGGTGGGTTACCCCTAGGATTCCAAAGCTCTAATATTTTAGGACCCCGAGGTCACAAAACCTTCTAGTCTCAAATAAGTTATCAAATTAATATTTTATTCTAAAATTTCAGGGAGAGTAGTAGTGACTATTTGGGTTGAGGGAAGGTTACCGTTGAGTAATGGCTGGTTGCATTAATTAATTGATTTCTCTACTTAGTTGTTTATTCAAGTCTTCCTTAATGTAGTGTTCTGTGCCATTGTGGCAGGTTAAGAATGGCTGAAAATGGCTTGTCACTCCCTGAGCTGAGAGGTGTGTCTTATTTTCCTACCCTCTTTCCTCTGGGCCAGGCCTTAAACTGCTTTGAAGTGATGCTCTGCCTGTTCTGACCCTTTTCAGGAAACTGTCAGCTTCCGTTTCCTCCTTCTTAGAACCCAACTGCCATGTTGTGAGGAAGCCCCAGGCAGCCACATGGAGAGGTCCATGTGGGAGGGAATCAAGGCTCCCCATCAACAGTCTCTGTCAACAACCAGCATCAACTTGCCACCACAGAGGCCAACTATCTTGGAAGTGGGTCTTTCAGCCCCCTTTGGGCTGCCCTAGCTGATGGCATGTAGAGCAGAAATGAGCTGTTCACATGAACCCTGCCCAAATTGCAAAATTGTGATTGTTGTTTTATTTATTATTATTATTTTTTGAGATGGAGTTTCACTCTTGTTGCCCAGGCTGGAGTGCAGTAGCACCATCTTGCTCACTGCAACCTCTGCCTCCTGGGTTCAAGTGATTCTCCTGCCTCAGGCTCCTGAGTAGCTGGGATTACAGGCACATACCACCACACCCAGCAAATTCTTATATTTTTAATAGAGACAGGGTTTCATCATGTTGACCAGGCTGGTCTCGAACTCCTGACCTCAGGTGGTCCACCTGCCTTGGCCTCCCAAAGTGCTGGGATTGCAGGAATGAGCCACCATGCCTGACTGTGATTGTTGTTTAAAGCCACCGAGTTCTAGGATAGTTTGGTATGCAGCAATAAGTAACTAACACAGACAGAGCTCATGCTGGCATATGGGAACACAAAGATGAAGTCCCGTGTCTTAGCCTAGGTTTCTCCTCAAAAACAGAACCCGACACAGGTTTACTTATAGTGTGGGGTTTCTTTGGGAAGTGATCCAGCAGTAGCAGGAATGAGGACCAAAGACAGAAAGAGAAGAAGGAAAAGCTGATATGAGGTGTAGTATCCCTGAGTGGTCCACCACTGTGATTGACTGGGACTTGGTCTCTCTGGGACCTTTCGAGGAACATAGAGCTATAGCTCAGAATTGTACCCCTAGTGGGGTGTGGTAGCTCATACTTGTAATCCCAGCACTCTAGAAGGCTGAGGCAGGAGGATCACTTGAGCCCAGGAACTTGAGACCAGCCTGGGCAACAAAGTGAGACCCTGTATTTACAAAAAAATGCAAAAAATTAGCTGGGAGGTGGGAACTCAGTGTCCAGAAGGAACCCCTGGCTGCAGACACAGTTCCCCTTTTCAGAGAACTGTCAGCTTTTGTTTCCTCCTTCTTAGAACCCAACTGCCATGTTTTATGGAAGCCCAAGCAGCCACATGGCTGCCAAGCAGGCACATATAGGGAAAATCAAGGCTGTAGTCCCAGCTACTTGGGAGGCTGAGCTGGGAGGATAGCTTAAGTCCTGGGAGGTCGAGGCTGCAGTGAGCTGTGATCTCGTGCCAGTGCACTCCAGCCTGGGCAATAGAGCAACACCTTGTATTAAAAAAAAAAAAAATGTCCCCCTGAGGGAGAAAGGGAGGAGCAGTTGGTCACGGGCTCCCACCTCCCATTGGCTGGGTCATTCTATGGAATGCTAAGCTCCCTGCACCCCCAGGATGTGCAGGAGAAGACGCCATGTTGGCTCCTGATGGTGCCCCATGCTATGACATCAAAGAAGTCACAGGAGAGGAAGCAGCAGACATTTGGCATAGACTTGAGATGAGTGCTGGCCATATGCAGTGGGAGGAACCTATGTGGAACAGTTTTCTCTGACCTTGGCTGGAATCAGAGGTGAGGCCAAGAAGGTAGGAGGTGACTCACAGAGGGGTTGGGGGTGACAGGGACCTTTGAAGACCTTGCAGACTCAGGTTTCTGCTCTGCACATGAAGCCACCTGGCTATAACTGGCTGAGTCTGAAGGCAGGGGTTCCTTCTGGGCAGTGAGTTCCCACCGCCACATTCAGAGTCTGAATGTGAGTATCCCCAGGACACCCATGACGCCTGGCTGGTACTGTCCTGGAGGCAGTTGCCACTCGCTGGTTAGTGCTTCCTGCAGAGTCCTGGGCAGCGCCAGCCAACTTTTACCTAGAGCTCTGTTCTTTTGCCAGAAAAGTTCCAAAGCCTTCGTCTACCTGTCTAGTCTAAACCCATTCACATCAACATCTGAGGCATTTGGAGTCCTCGGGAAAAATACACTCAGGCCGGCTGACTTGAGAAGCCCTGGGCAGTGCCACTTCCTCAACTTTGTGGGTCAAGGGAGGTGAATTTCCAGATTCTGTTGGAAACCTGAAACCCACAGCAAAGCCAGCCTCCTGAGAAACACTTCTGAAATTTTGGGGCCTGGATAACACAGCCTCATGGTATTGGAGGTTTGGATTAGGTTTAGAAACCTATGTTTCAGTTCCCAGGTGCTGGGAGCCATGTTCTTAGAATATTAAGCAGGAAGGACACAGGGTTACCTTGGTTCTCATTTCAAAAATCTGGGCCCTGGGAAAAACATGTATTCTCTCAGCCTTTTGAGTAGGTAGAAAAGCACTTAACAGGAAGCACCAGAAAGCCCTCTGAGTTCTTTGGGGGACACATCTTAAGCAACACCATGAGGCACGCTGATGATGAAATGTTCATGGGTGAGAGTCGGACTCAGTGCATTTTAGTAAGGCCAATGCCCTCCTGAGCCAAGTCAGAGGACATTGCTGTTGGGGCAGGCATTTTCTGAAGAGGGCACTATAAGGATGGTTAACTTCTGTTTTGTTTTGCTCAAATTCCTCATTTGACTTTTCGTGTGCAAGTTCTCAGAGAAGAAGTTCTGCTTCTGAGTCCGGAATAGCTTTCCATCCAAGAGTGGACACTGTGGTCTCCCTCGGAGTCCAGAACAAAAGGGTAGCTCGTACCCAGGGGCCATTACACAGGTGGGCAGGGTGACGGACTTGCCCAGGGCCTGTGTCCTTGGAGGCAGTGGATGGGGCAAGAGCCCTCATCTGGGGGTAAAAAATGTGCTTCTGTCTGGGGTTCTCCCACTGTTAGTCAAGTGACCTTGAGCAATCCTTCCATCTGTCTGAGCCTCAGTTTCCTTGTCTGTCATGGTTGAAGCATTCTCTGCCCTGCCTGTCTCACTGACCTCAGTCAAATACTGGGTATGTGCGCATCGGCTCCCACAACCAAACGCTGGAAGACGGGTGGAGCTGCCTCCAGGGTTACTGGATTAAGGAAGCAATCTCTCAATCAATCTCTCCTCTCTTTTGCTTCCCTTTGCCTGTTGGCTTCTTTCTCTCAACGCTGGTATCACAGCTACAGGCTGCTCTGGCCTCCTGCAATCCTTAGAGCTTCAAAACCAAAAGGAAGAGAACCCCAGCAGCTGTAGAAAGAAACCCCCCAGAATCACTCATCCTGGCTGGGGGTGTGGTGGGTGGGTTGAGGATGGGATACTTTGATTGGTCCAGCTTGGGCCATGTGCCCATGTCTGCTCCAATCACTGTGGCCCAGGGCAGTGGAGCACGATGATTGGTCCACTTGGGGAAAGGCTCACCCCGTGGCCAGGGGACGCACTGTGACCGGGAGCCCGCATCAGAAACACCAGGCTGCCCCCACTCCTTTAGGGCACTGATGTGTCTTTTCTGTGTCCTTACATATGTGACCCATCCCAGTATCCGACATGCAGTAGGCACTTTCTACATGTCTGTGGAATAGCGTTGACAGTGAGGTTTCTGACACTCCAGAGTTACTTGAGTTAGATACCTGCTTCTGGACTTCACAGCACCCATCCCTGTTCCCAAGTACTGCTTATGTTCAATTGCTTGTTAGTGTCCTGCATTAAAACGTGAGCTCCTCAAAAGCAAGGACCTTGTCTGGCTTGTTTACCGCCGGGTCCTCCGTGCCTGACAGCCTCTGGTACAGATAATTGGTCAATTAATGTTTGTGAAATGAACATCAACTGTGTGTGAGCCTCAGTGTCTTGACAGAAGGAGCCTGACTCTGCCCTTTCAGGTCGCCCAGCGCCTTCTCCATCCCTCTCCATCCTCACTTCCAGTTTCTGATACTCTGAGTGCAGTTATGACTTAATGTATGCCCAAGAGCCAATTCTAAATACATTTCTGGCCTTAGGTTCTGTTGTTTATAAACACTAGTGAGACCATTGCTTTGACAAAGGTGCTAAGATCTACAAACATTTATATTTGTGTAATCATCTTAAAAATGAGTACTTTTTAATGTTGAACTTCTTAAGTGAAGTTCAAATAGTATTTGCAGTAGTGAGAGGTGTTTCATCTGCACCAGAATGAATTCTCAAAAGCTTTACTTTGCCAGAATTGGATGAATAAACTGAACCATTATTGGAATTGATTGATGTTTCAATCGATGCATCTGGTGACGCTAAAACTGGCGTTGTTTCACCATATGTTATGTGAAATTCTACTGAGATGCTATCCAGTGAATGACCACTGCTTTATTTTCAGCTTGCATATAAGAAAACTTAGAATACAGAGCAAGCTCGATTTTAAACTGCCACCTGCTCAGTTGCCCCTGTGCATGTTAAATTGTGGATTCCAGATTCTGGACAGGCTTCTTCTACATTTTTTTTTTTTTTTTTTTTTTTAGGTGGTGTCTTGCTCTGTCACCCAGGCACTGGCGTGCAGTGGTGCAATCTTGGCTCACTGCAACCTCCACCTCCCGGCCTCAAGCGATTCTCCTGCCTCAGCCTCCTGAGAAGCTGGGACTACAGGCACGCTCCATCAAGCCTGGCTAATTTTTGTATTTTTAGTAGAGACAGGGTTTTGCCATGTTGGCCAGGTTGATCTCGAACTCCTGACCTCAGGTGATCCACCCGCCTCGGCCTCCCTAACTGCTAGGATTACAGGCACGAGCCACCACGCCTGGCCTGGATAGGCTTCTCAAAGTTCCTATGAACCTTTGAGGTAGCTGCTGACGCTTTTTGAGCAGATTTCTCGGTAGTCAGTGGCATTGCTGTGGTTCCTGGCAGATGGTAGATGCAGAGAACAACTTTGTGCATGTTACAGTTTCGTCATTAACTTTCTTAAAAAAGAGAAAGTCATTATATTTACATTTTCATTACTCAGGCACTTTCCTTTTTTGTTGAGTTCATTGCTACCAAAAGGGTTTATTGAAAAATGAAAATGCAGTGGCAAACAATAAGATAACTAAATCGCTGTAGCTTTGTAGCACGTGGTAAGTGGCAAAGTCAATGCAGCAAGGCCATGGGGACTCCCCTCCGTGAACTCTTCTTCCTCCCAGCTCCTGGACATACTGCCTATGTGCCTGGCTTGTCTCTCTCACTTTTCCCACTGACCCCAGAGCCTGGTGGCTTCATGCATCTTGTGGTTGTGCAAGTGGCTGAGGCACTGAGCAGTTGGTGGGAGCAGAGGTGCCGCGTCCTTCTCTCAGCACTACCACCACGGGAAGAGCTGGCTCTCCTCAGTTACTCATGTCTGCCTGCATTTCAGTGCCTCAGGAATGGCCCGGGCGCTGTTTTTGAAGGGTTCCACTGAGTCAGGAGAGTATTGGGAGGGAGAGGCAGGTCAGCGCTCTGCCTCTTCCAGTTGCAGCCTCAAGTGTAGGTGAGAACTTGCTCACCACACACCCCATGTGCCTACGCACCAGGAGAGTCCCACACCATGACATGCAGTCATGGCAGGAGCTGAAGCAAAGGTGGGGAGCTACCTACCTCCCCCAGCTTCTTTTAGAGCAAGTCTTCAGCGAACTCCACTAAACAATGCAAAGCTGGGGTGCACGCCAAAGCAGGCCCAACACTGGGATAACAGGAGTCACCCAGGACAGACCCAGAGAATGCAGAATGTATGGTCCCTTTATCCACAGGCTCTAGCAGGTATTCCGGTTTCAGATGGATTTGAGGACAGTTTCTCAGTTTGGGGTCTCCACTTCTGGGTGGTGTGAGAGTTTAGGCCTTGCATGAGTAGGGGGCATGGGTGGGAAGTCCACTGTCCCACCGTTGTCTTGGTGTCTACCCAGTGTCTGCTGTAAGACGGTGCTCCCTGCTGCTGCCTCAGGTGGGTGGGAGGGAGGAGTTTTCCCGTGGGACCACCCATTTGCTATTCTTAGCTTGAGACAGAAAGCCCAGTTTTGACTTCCACAGAGGATGAGGCCCGAGGCCCGAGACCTTTCCTCCACTCGCTGCTGTGGCTTCCCTCCACATTTCTGGCCCTGTGACTCTCCCAACTCCTCCCGACCCCTTCATAAATACAGCTCAGCTACACAGAAAATATATGTCTACCATGCACCACACCCGGGACTCCTGCAGATGCCAGTGGGGGCTGAGGGAGGAGGGCGGCTTCTCACACTGGCTCAGGACTCCATCACCTGAAATGCAATTCTTCCCAAGGCCACTTCATTCACTTGTGGGTTTGGAAGGCCTCGAGATCCAGCTGGGCCTGTCCTCTCCTCCAACCTTGCCCCTCAGATGATGCCAGGCCGCCAGGCCTCCTCTGCTTATCCTTGAACAAATGCCACCAAATAGTCATGGAAGTCATGTGGAAGTTAGCAAGGAGTGGGTCTCTGGCACGTGGCTTGGGTAGAAGCTGTACCCACTTGCCCCTCCACCAGCTCCCACACGCACATGTGAGTACACCCATCCACGCTGGCTGTGAGGGTTTCTGGGACCCTGGTGAGGCCCTAGACAGAATCCGATGGCAGCTCTCACACTTCCCTCAGGACCATAATGGTTTCATCCATACAGTAGATATAGTTGTTCACAAGTGTTTATGGAATGAAAGAGGAAGGAAGAAATAAAAAATTTAAGAAACTCCCTGAACCTCCTTCCTCTGTCCCAAGAGGTATTAGGCAGTACATCAAGTTTCTTGGGGATCAACACACCTGGCCATGGCATCAGGGTGAGATGGGAGGAGAGTCTCAGGTACAGCTCCCAGCAAGGCTGCCTCACCTGCTGGGGGGTCCTGTGTCCTGGACTTCTCTGCCAGGGCTGCAGAGGACTGCTCTGCTCCTTCTGCAGGGCACCCTCGCTAAGTCCCCCAACCCCCTAAGGCAGCTGACTCTGCCTGGAAACACAGACACCAGGCACACCTCAGGTGGCACAAACTAGAAAGTAGGTGGCAAAGGAGAGATAGGCGGGATGAGCTAATGACATGAGCCTGCCTTATTGGGCACAAGGGGTGCAGCAGGCAGATGGCAGAGCAGGGCAGGGGCAGTCTCGGGCTTGGGAAGAGGCAGTACATGGTGACCCCCTCACTGTTCTGATTTTGAGGGCCACAGTCACCTGTCAAACCAACAGCTCCAGGACGTGTGCCGCTATTTGCATGAGAGGCATGACGCCCCTGGGAAACAGCACGGAAGCAGGAGGCTTCTGCTCTCTGCTGTGTGACTTCGAGTAGGTTATTTTCCTCCTTGAACCTTGAAACCCTTGACACATGGGAATAGCAAACCTCACCTTGTCTTTCTCCTAGGACGTCTTAGTGAGAGAGGACCAGAGACACCATCCCACAGCACCTCTACTCGACAAGATAGAGAGCTGGGGCCCAGAGATGAAAGGGACACAGGCAGCATCACACAGCAGATCCACAGCAAAGCGGGCTCCAGGCCAGGTCTCCGACCTCTGGGACAGCACCTGCCCCCTGCCTGAGTCCAGACAGTGCAGATGCTCCTGGGAGGAAGAGTTTTCTAGAGGGCACATGGCTCTGGGTCCTCTTGTGGGAGACCTGCGGGCTGGACTGCATGCAATGAAGCCTGTGGTGGAAATGTCAGGAGGAAGAATCCTAGGATACATTCTCCTTACATGGCATGGGATTCCGCAGAGGGCTTTGCTGGTGTGTGGGGCACCCTCACTCTTACTGGCTTGCCCCCATGGGTGGCTCCATCTTCAGCGGAGCTCAGGCTTGTCAGCATGTGAAAAGTACCCCCAGAGCAAAGCTCTGTGCTTAGCAGAGGTCCACAGCCATCTCTTGTCACTCAGAGGAAATAATTTGGATTGGATTTTAGGTGGTAGCAGGTAGTTTCCAAGACAGAGACCAGATGATGGCATGGGTTTGTTTCTTTTAATCACAAGAAGTCTCTCTGTGGGTGCTGAGCTCACCGTGCCGCAAGGCTCATGGTTATGGGTGGCTGGTCCCCAGTCAGTCTCGTGTGGCAGTCGGGACCTTCTACTTCCTTGCCTTCGCTTTCTTTCCTTTGCTCGCTCTTTGGGGCTTCAGGGCTTCCTCCTGGCCTGCGTGGCTGGTGATGGGGGGCGGGATAGGGGTGGGGGCGTTGAGGTTCAGAGTCTTCTTCTGAAGCTTCAGGTCCAAGATGGCGAATGTGTTCTGGATCTGGCGCTGCAGCAGCTCCTGCAGGAGCTCCATCTGGGTGTGGACTGCCTGGCAGATGAGGCTCTCCAACTCCTGGAAGGAAAGGGGAAGGCCGATGAGCAGGGCTGGGGAGCCTCGCCGGATCCAGTTCTCAACTCAGCCCCTGTTGCAGGTACGAGAATGTGTCCACTGTCCATCCGTCTCACCCTGCCCACGGGCCGTGGTTGCCTGGACCTCTGGCTTCTGGTTGACTTCAGCCAACTAGGGGCGGGAGGTCTGAGGGTGGGGAGGTCCTCATCTTCTCCTGACTGGCTGTGGCCTGGCCATGGCCACGGACTATGGGTAGTCACATTCCCTGTCCCTCAGCCCTTGCCTATAACTAAAGCTCTCTTTTTGGATTCCAATAGTCATTCCCTCCCTTTTCTTTTCTTGCCTAGAGTGACGGCCAGGCTGTTTGAGTGTGTCATTTGTTCTGGGCCCATCGGCCAGTGCCATATTTCCTATAGACCCTACCTCCTGGTCAATGCAGGCTCCATCTGGATACCCTGGGCCCCCACCATCCTCATTCTCACCTTTCAAAGTTCTAGTGGTAGCTTCATGGGAGGGGACAGGGGAAATTGCTTCAGAGAGTGGGTGTGTCCTCCACCCAGCCAGCCATAGGAAGAATGGAAATGCAGCCACTGTCCACCCATCATGTTAAACAGGAAACCCTGTTGGTCAACTCCATCAGAGTTATAGCCCACAGAGCCTGGATACATGGACCACGTAACTGTGTTTCTCTAGGTTCCTTGCCCGAGCAACCACACAGCATAGGAGCTATTGTCAGGGGACACACTGGAAGCAACTGGTTGGATGTAGTGCATTTCTTTGAGATCTTGTATTCACTTAAAAGATATGCAAAATTGTGCATTTGCCCCAGAATATCCTCTTGTTGTTTTTGTAGAAAACAACATTATTGGGGAAGGTTGTGCTATAAGAGAATGCGTGGTGTTTTTTGTTCTATGCCCTTGAGTGCCCCATCTCAGGTGCATAGCTGGGGCACACAGTGTAGGGGGCTCTGGCTCACCAGCTCCACCAGGCAGGGGCCAGCAGTGCCATGCTGGAGGCTGGGCGGCGAGCTGGGAGGAGCAGGCAGGAACAGCTGTGGGAAGTGCAGGGCAGTAGGGGCCACTGTGGCCATGCCCCACCCTGCTCCGTGTGCTAGAGCAAGGTCCCTGCAGGGGGCCAGAGACATAGACTGTTGCGTGGGTTTTGTTGGGTCTTTATTGAATGTCTTCGTGAACTAAGATCACATGGCCCCCTGATGTGCTATTTGTCTGGAGACTTATCCTTGGATGAGCACCATCCAGGCTGCTATGCTCATTGCTCTTTAGAGATTTTCGTGTGTGTGTGTGTGTGTGTGTGTGTGTGTGTGTGTGTGTGTGTGGTGTGTGTGTAACCCTAAAGGAATACTTCCCAGGGCCATTTGCTCTTCAGCTGATGATTCAGAAATCAAAATCCCTTGGAACTCACAGGCCCTGCAACTCCCCCACTCCAATGCCTGAAACACAGGCACATACATACACACGCACATGCAAATACTTGTCTCTCAAAGTATGTTCAGAGATGATGCAACAATGATGACTTCAGTGCCTATGTATAGCTAAGAAACTAATGTAGGCTTGGCCAGGCCCTCAAGAAGTCAGCTACCCTGAGGCTGGGGTCGTCATGGTCATTGAAGAGCTGGTCATGGGAAATGCTGGCAGCTAGAGCCCCAGTGGTCTGGCAGAACCTCCAAGAGGGCAGCCCAAAGTCTGAGATCCAGGCACCGGATCCTCCTAAGTCCTCCCTGGGCCCCAGCTCCAGCCTTTGTCTCCCTGGTCACATGACCCTCCCCAAGCTGTCCCCATGTCCCTGCCTCCTCCATCTTCTCCCCCATCCTAGGGGCATGCCGGCTCTGGATAATCTGCAGCAGTTCCAAAGCTGGAGTCTTTTTCCTGCCTCTCTTGGTGGAATCTGTCACTGACCAATGACACAGAGGAAGGAACTTAGACTTCAGGGTCAGCCAGGCCTCAGTCCAAATGTGAACTCTACCATATGCTAGCTTGGTGACCTTGGCGAGTTAAAATGTTCTCTGCGCCTCAGTCGTCTCATCACTAAAATAGGGACATGAATTTCTACCTTTAGTCTACCGCGAAGCTCGTGGTAGACTCTTGATTCCTCCCTGCATCTCTCCCCCTCCCCTGTGTGCCACTGAGGAGCTCCCATCTGCAGTGACTCCAGCCCTGGCTGGTGTCTCTGCAGGCCCAGGTGCCCACCCACGGCAGGGGGGCAGAGCCTCACCTGTCTCTCCAGGACCTGGCCGGGCTGCGCAGGCGCGGCGGCAGCGAACGCCTTCTGCAGCGAGTTCTCCCGCTCCAGGCGCAGCGCCTCTTTCAGGAGCAGCACGTCGGCGCGCTTCTGTGCCTCGGCCTCCGTCAGTGTGGCCACCTGCTGCTCGTGGATCCACAAGTCCCTGTCCATGCCCTCGGCCAGCGGGAGGGGATGGGGTGGCATGCACACCTCCAGGTGGGCAACGGTCAGGTCGACCTGCTGGTCCTGGCCCAGGACATACTGGTAGAGTTTGTAGTGGCGGATGAAGGTGTGGTGGAAGTAGTCACAGAGGGCCAGCAGGTGGGTGGTGTTGAAATGGCCCCGGTAATCTCTAAGCTTGTTCCCCAGGATCGTCACAGCCTCAGTAATGGAGCAGCCTGTAGGCACAGGGGCCAAGAACAGAGTGGGAGTGGGACAGAGCTGCCCTGCCAGGCAGTGGATGTGGGCTCTGCACCCCGACAGCCTGGTCACAGAGCCCATGTCCCCACTGCATTTTTAAAAAATATTTATTTCTATTTATTTTTTTTGAGACGGGGTCTAACTCTCACCCAGGCTGGAGTGCAGTGGTGCAATCGTAGCTCACTGCAGCTGCAGCTCGCTGCAGCCGCCAACTTCCAGGCTCAAGAAATCCCCCTGCCTCAGCCTCCTGTGTAGCTGGGACTACAGGTACATGCTACCAAACCTGACTAATTTTGTTTATGTTTTGTGGAGATGAGGTTATCACTGTTTTGCCCAGGCTGAACTCCTGAGCTCAAGCGATCCTCCTGCCTCGGCCTCCTAAAGTACTGGAATTACAGGTGTGAGCCACCATGCCGGCCCTAACTGCAATTCTTATTACCATGCATTAGCTTTTGAAAGGTATCGAGTGTACCACGTTTCTTTTTTTACTTGCAGTAACTTACACTTATCCCATTTATTTCTTATATGATTACCCCAGTATAATCATGTAAATGTGATTATATGATCTCAGTATAATCACATTATCATTACCAGTATTTTGTCTTTTTTTTTTTTTTTCGAACTCCTGGGCATAAGCTATCCTCCCACCGTGGCCTCCCAAAGTGCTGGGATTACAAGAGTGAACCACCACACCTGGCCAGTATTGTGTCTTTTGATGCCTGTTTTAAAGAGTTACTTTCGCTGTGCTTTATCTTGTTTCTACTTCTAACTCTTTAGGAAGGAGATGAGAATGTAGAAAAGGAATTCCCATAAGAGTGGAGTAGGAGGCAGTGGGGCGTGATGGCTCACACCTGTAATCCCACCACTTTGGGAGGCTGAGGCCTGTGTATCACTTGAGGTGAGGAGTTCGAGACCAGCTTGGCCAACATGGCAAAACCCCGTCTCTACTAGAAATACAAATATTAGCTGAGTGTAGTGGCAGGTGCCTGTAATCCCAGCTACTTGGGAGGCTGAGGCAGGAGAATTGCTTGAACCCAGGAGGTGGAGGTTGCAGTGAGCTGAGATCGAGCTACACTGCACTTCAGCCTGGGAAACAGAGCAAGACTCCATCTCAAAAAAAAAAAAAAAAAAAAAAGAAAAGAAAAGAAAAGAAAAGAAAAAAAAAGAGTGGAGCAGGCAGTGATTGATTGATACCCAGGCCACTGCTGTGCTGGTGGCTCATGTTGCAGAGTTGGGAAAATATTATTTACCCCATGCAAAGGATTGGCTCTGAGGGCAGCACCAAGGGCAGTGCTCCTTGTGGGGGTGACCCATCTCCCCACTTCTCTCCTCCTCTCCCCTTCACTCCTCCTGCTCACGACTCTTTCAGGTGCTCAGCACAGTGGTCAGAGGCAGGGCTCTCCCATCATCTGCTTGGGTCTTGACAGAGGAGGTGGTTCATGAAGGGTCGTGACTGAATTACATGCCTACCCTGGTGAGCAAATGAGCAGACACCAGGCAGAGAGATAGGCAAGTCAAGGGCAGCAGAAGAGCATGGCCCAGGCGTGGAGACCTGGGTTCTCGCAGACACCGTCCTGGAAATGTACTGTGGACTTGGCCAAGCCTCTTCTGCTCTGTGACTCAGTGTCCCCCTCTGAAGAATGAGGGCTTGGGCCAGGCGCCCACCAGATCATGTGCTTTGGAGAATTCCACAGTTCCTTCTGCCGACAATGAAAGTAACATGCTGTAGGCAAGGAGCCGGGCTTTTCCCCGAAGTAGGGGACCTGACTTGTCCACAGACTCCTTCCTTTTCTCTTCCTTCATGTGAGCCCTCCATGGGGCCCTATGCGGTTTCCCCACCCCCAGCTAGAGTGCTCCATGCCCCTTCAGCAGGGACTGTCTCAGTCTTGCCCACGAGGTTGTTTTGAAGTCTCCCCACCCCCCATTCCCTTCATGTTTCCTCTTGGCTGGTCACTGAGGCTGTCTTGCTCTGTATGGAAATATTCACCTTGAATCTCCCCAAAATACCCAGGGGGTGGAGACATCATGGTCTTGGGAAAATATTAGCAAAAGGGGCACCACTCCACTTGGAGCCATGTTAGGATGTGCTGGGAGTGACGCCTGGATTCTGGCAATCTCAGCCTCCAGGGGGAGGGAAGGAGGGACTGCTCCATCATGCAGAATCACAGACTGGAGGCTGTACTTCTCCTTTCTGTCATGGCAAACCAGCAGGCTTGGAGCCCAAGGGTTACACTCCTCTCGGGAGGGTACTGGGTTTGGAGGTCTGAGATACTCTGTCTCTCTTAGATATGACACGGGCCTTTTTCTCTCAAATGTAAAATTCAGAATAGTGATACTGACTTCACAGGCTTGTTGGAAGGGTCAAATGGGGTAAGATGTCCAGCTTCGTACAGAGCCTAATACAAGCCAGCAATCAATAAATGCTGTAGAAAGAATTTATTTCTACCTTTGCAAAAAAAATCTCTCCATTCCCCTTCCCCTCCCCCATCCAGCCTTCCCTCTATTCCTTCCTTCCTTCATCTCTGTCCATCTTTCCATTCATCCATTCTTTCACCCACCCATCCATCCATTCATCCATCATCCTTCCACTTATCCATCCATCCATCCGTCCATCCTTCCACCCACCCATCTATGCACCCAACCATCCATCCATCCATCCGTCCACCCATCCATTCGTCCATCCATTCTTCCATCCATTCATTCATCCACTCTTCCATCCATCCATTTTTCCACCCGTTTGTTTATCCATTCACCTATTCATCCATCCATTAATTCTTTGATCTATCCACCCATCCATTCACCCATCCTTCCATTCATTTGTGAAAGGAAAAGAAAAACTTGGGAACCCAATTCACTATGCCAAAAGAAAAAAATTAAGCTGAAAGTTGAGTAACACAAGAAACTGTCTTTTCTTTGATTCCTAAGCAGGTAGCTACAAATAAAAGGTTAAATATCTCCACAGGTAGCTACTCTATGTTTGCCTTATCTTATACAAAGTGCCAATTTACTGAGCAAGGGAGGAATACATAATTGATTATTCCCCACCTGCTCCTTTTCTCTTGCAACATGTGGATTACCATACCCTCCTTCTTTCCCCTCCAGCCCACTTTCCCCTTTAAATATTGAAGCCTTCAAAATTATCTCTGGAGAAAGGAACGGATCTTTCTCCCAGGTACATCATTAACCTTGGCAAAATAACCTTCTAAATTGATTGAGACCTGTCTCAGATACTTTTCAGTTTACATATTTATCCTTCCATTCATCCAAGATTAGTTTGTCAAACGGTGACTGAACCTATAAATTGTTACTGTCTATTAATTACTCGGCACTATGTAAGATTCTGGCAATACTATGACAACAAATAAGTCATATCCCCTGCTCTCAGTTGCTTGCAGGAGAGACACAAGCAGATAATGACAGTGCATAGTAAAGAGGAACAGAGTTGGGTGAACAACAGCATGGGCTTCAGGACCGGGTCCTCTTAGAGAAGGCGATGTGTGAGCTGCATCCCAGAGTGAGGCTGAGCCAGGGCCAGAGGTGGGGCCACTTCACAGCCCAGCTGAGTGACAGCAGAGGAGCAGGCAGCAGCCTGGCCTGGGTGGGAGCAAGGTGAGGCTTGTTGTCGTTGGCACCTAAAGGTGGAGGCAGATGATGGCAAGAGCTGCATGGAGAGGTGGGTGGAAGACAGACCCAAGGGCCTTGGATGGATGCCACACTTAGAAGCCAGGGCTCTGTCTTCTGGGCAGTGCACAGAAGGAGCAGATCTGAGTGGCAGGACCTGGCCGTCCTCGGACGTAGGGTGTGCAAGACAGAAACTGGCACAACCCCCAGGTTCTTACAGAGGATGTTTGAGGGACAGTGGGCCTACCAACAGAGAGAACACCATATGATGAGACGCTGACGTCTGACATGACCCCTGCCCTCAGACAGCTTCCAGTCTTGAAGAGGAGACAGTTGAACAAATGATGGCCACCTGTGTATTCTCAGCCCCCAGCATTGGGATTTGTGTACAGGAGGGGCCCAATCAAAGTCTAGAGAGTAAGTGAACCAGCTCTAATATGTCAAGGTGGAGGTGTTTATTCATTAGGTCAGCAAATACTTATTGGGGGCTTTCCCTGTGCCAAGAATTCTTCCAGGTTCCAGGGAGGTGGTTGAGGAGTGGGGAGGAAACACACAGATATCTAGCTCTGCACAAGGCTGTGTGGGGTTGGCAGCACACATGACAGGAAGAAGGTCAGGAAGGGCTTCCCTGAGGAGGCAGTAAAGGAGCTGGGATGTACTGGGTCAGAGGGGTTTACTGGGCAAAGAGAGGTGGTGAAGGGCAAGGCAAGAGGGGGAGCAGCTTGTGCAAAGGCCCTGTGGTTGAAGCAGGCATGGCCCACTGAGGGACTGAAAGGTCGGGGAGGAAGGCAGTGAGCAGGCTGGAGATCTGCAGGCAAGGAGCTGCCTGGCTGGAGATGAGGCTGGGTAGGCCAGGCCCTCAAAGCCCCTAGCATGCCCTGCCCTACAGGGGTCCCACTCCCAGGACCGCCATCTGGCAGAGGCCCTCTCCACTGCCCATCTCCCTACCCCCGATGGAGTCTTTCTCCAGAGTACTCATCACGATCTTTGATCTTGTGCATTTTACTTGTGTGATTTGTTCTTGGTCATTTTCCCTCCACTATCACTCAAGCTGCGAGGGAGCGAGAGGCGGTCTTTTCTGTTCACTGCTGGGTGCCAAGTGCCAGAGCAGTGCCCAGCTCCCAGGAGGTGCTCTGCAGAGAAGGAGAGACTTCTTGAATGGACACAAGGGAATGGGCGGCCACAGCACTTTCAGAGGCCATGGCAGGGGTATCCCTTGAGCCTGGGAGTTCAAGACCAGCCTGGGCAACATAGAAAGACCCGAACACTATAAAAAAAAAAAAATAGCCAGCATGGTGGTGCATGCCTTTAGTCCCAGCTACTCAGGAGGTTGAGATAGAAGGATCACTTGAGCCCAGGAGGTCAAGGCTACAGATCGTGCCACTGCAGTCCAGTCTGGATGACAGGGTGAGAGCTTGTCTCACACACACACAAAAGGATTTATTTAGGGAACATTCCCATGTGCCAGGTGCTGGGGGATGTTGCCTGTGGCCAAGGCTTTCACCATGGAGGCTGCTGGGCTGGCAGAGCAGGCCCCAAAGGCCAGGCCCACCCAGACATGGCAGAAGGGTTTCCAGCAGGTAGGGGGTGAGCGGAGCCAGGTTCCAGGGAGCCAATTCTGGCAGCAGGAGGAACGAGCTGTGTCGGAAGGAAGGGCCAAGGCCTCGGCGGGGATCAGCCTAGGGCAGGGTCCAGGTCTTGCTTCACTGACCAGAAGCTCTTGGCTGCTGCTGCCCTCAGAACAGCAGAGAACCCCTGGCCCCACACGCCCTGTGTCCCTTCCTGTCCTTTCACTCAGAGCTGGGCATCAGAGCGTGCAGGCCTGCCATCAATTGGCAGGAGCTTCCCCGCAGGGATGCAGTGAGATAAGAAGGAGCTCTGAGAGGCCAGGGCGTCTGCACATGCCCCGTGTCGGGGGCACCAGGCTGGAGTCCAGAGGATGGTGGGAAAGGCCACCCCAAGCAGAGGGGCCAGGAGCAGTGAAGGCCGGAAGTGAGAGGGGCACAGCATGGCTGCGTGCACAGGGCCACACCCAGCTGTCCAGGAGGCAAAACTGGATTCTGCGGACTGAGCTGGGGGACCCAGGGCTTGTGGTCAGTTTGGACAGGGTGGTTCATGACAGCCCTATGTGCCATGTGAAAGAGTTGACTTCATCACGGAACACCAGGACCTCCAAGGATAGCGTACATAGGATTATCAAATTCCTTGGGGTTAAGAACCTGGTGGAGAGGTACTGAGGCCAGACGTGAGAGGTTGGGGCCATCCCAGAGGGAAGTCGGTGGCCGCATGGAGGACAGCAGAGGCTGCCCATTGAGGGATCCCAGAGGGTGAGCAGGCATGAGGCCATCATTTTTGATCAGCAAGCTGGACTCTGGGCCTGTGTGTGTGCGACAGTGTGTGAGCTTCATCAGATGACTCATCACACCTTCTCTGAACTTGCCAGAAGGTGCCCTGCTCCTCCTCCAGCCTGGCCTGGCCTGACGGAGCATGGGGTGGGGTCACCTGCATCCTGCA
Organism: Homo sapiens; assembly: GCF_000001405.40. Taxonomy (NCBI): domain Eukaryota; kingdom Metazoa; phylum Chordata; class Mammalia; order Primates; family Hominidae; genus Homo; species Homo sapiens. The sequence continues at coordinate 10,691,441 of NC_000008.11, read as the reverse complement.
GCTGTGGGTGGCTGTGTCTGCCTCATTGGCGAAGGCCAGCCTCTGAGCCCTTCTGTTCAGCCCCAGCAGCCGTACACAAAACCCAGATCTGAAAAGAGAAGTCTGCCAGGCTCAGTAGTGTGAATGTGCTCAGCAGCCGTGCCTGGGTGTCCTGGCGGCTTATCATCCTGGCCGATGCCCCACTGTGGCCATGGGCTGTGACCTGCTCCTAAGAGGTCATACAAACCAAGTGTAGACCTTGTCCTGGGTCAACAGGGAAGGAGTCCCTGGGCTGAATTCTAACTTTCGGCCCCCAGACACTCTTGGCTGGTTCTGGGTTTCAGCAAAGCTTGTTGGAAGCCGGCTTATGAGACACACTTTCTTGGCCTCGGACCACACTCCCTGGGCCTCGGGTTGAGAAGTTCCTGGTGACTCAGAAAGTGGAGGGATTAAGTCTCAGGGAGAAGCCGCTGGCTGCCGGGCGGACAGATCTGTGCCTGCAAGTTGCTCTTCAATAACAGGGAGTGGCCCTCATTTGCATTGGCTGCTGGGAACTTCCTGAAGATGGTCCCCAAGCCCCTGGAGGCCAGCACCTGCGAGGATATGCAGCACGAGTGGAGGAGGAGAGGAATGAGGAGGGGAAGGGCGGGGGAGGCTTGCTAGGCAGATGTCAGCACGGGAAGCTCCACGATCAGGGCAGAAACGGCTCGGACCAGGGGGCTCCGGTGGCTTCCTTGGGCCCTCATACCCGGAGTCTGGGCTGGGCGAGCCGGGGGGAGATGCGCCACACCCCTGCGGGGCTGGAAACGGGGAAGGCTGCTCCTTCTGGGTGTGCCTGAGCGGGTGGACTCAGGTACCCCGATAAACCAGTTTGGTTCCCCCATCTTGCCTCCCAGGGGCAGGAACCAAGTCAGGCTACAGCGTGGCACTGCTCACCTTTCCCAATACCTGAGCGCCTACCAGGGCTGGCCCAGTGTGGTGGGAAGCAGACGAAAGCAAGGGCCCAGCATCTCCACCCAACAGCATCCTTCATCCCCCGCACGCCGCATTGCCCCCTGCCCCCTTTGTGCTCCTGGGGAGACTACTAAACTCCTTCACCCCTGGCTGCCGGGGACTGTACCGCCCAGGTGAGCTCCCCTCAGTTAGGGAGCACCCACCGCCTTGTGCCATGCATGCTCTGGGTCACTCGGTCTCCCAGCTCCCAGCACGGTGAGTCTGGCACAGGTACCAACCCCTCTCCTCCCGGGAGAGAAACTGAGGCTCAAAGAGGCTGAGGGATTTGCTCAGGGCCCCTCAGGTGGTATTCAGACTCCAGGCCATCCAGCTCCAAGCGGCTTTGGGGTCTTTTTGTAGATTCTTGGAGGTGGACACTGCAAGGGACCTCCAGCCCCATTGGTCACATTTTCCAAAGAACGTTTTGCAGTAGCTGTTACAGTTGACTCTGGGACAACGTGGGTTGGAACTGCACGAGGAAGGAGTCCCTAGGCTGAATTCTAACTTTTGGCCTCCAGACACTCCTGCGGGTCCACTTACACATAGATTTTCTTCCTGTGCCACCCCCAAAACGGTAAGACCAACCCCTCCTCTTCCTCCCCCTCCGCCTCTTCAACATGAAAATGACGAGAAGAGTGGCCTTGGTGATAATCCACTTCCGCTTAATGAAGGGTAAATGTACTTCCTCTTCCTTATGTTTTTCTTAATACTTTCTTTTCTTCAGCCTACTTTATTGTAAGAACACAGTACATAATACATATTACATACAAAATGTATGGGAATCGACTGTTTATATTATCAGTAAGCTTCTGGTCAACGGTAGGCTATGAGTAAGTAAATTCTGGAAGAGTCCAAAGTTACACATGGGTTTTCAACCGCACAGGAGGTTGGCGGCCCTAAATCTCGTGTTCTTCAAGAGTCACCTGTATATCAAAATGAATGTTTCACAGCCAGAGAGACCCTTTAAGAGATGTTGGATCCAGGGAGATTAAATAGAGCTTTAATATGCTAATGAGCTCAACAAAATATGCAAATGAGCTTAGCAGATCACCAAAAGGCATGGAGCGTTTGCAATGCTTCTCAAATCTATTTGGGGCAAGTAGTCTCTCTGGACCAAGGAGCACATCTCTCTGGACCAAGGAGAAATGTTGAGCTTGTACAATCGTTTTTCTCTACAAATGGGGAAACTGAGGCCCAGAAAAAGGATGAGACTTGCCTAAAGCTAACCTGTGGCAAAGTCAGGACCTGAGCTTCAGCCCAGGTGTGAGGGGTCGGGAACCTGGTGGTAGAGCTGCCTTCCCCATCACCACTCCCTGTGTAGGGAAGGGATTGGTGTCTATTTCTTTTCATTGCCCCAGCCCTGGTGCTTTTTGATAGGTCAGAAATGTCTGTGAAAGCTTGGCTGGGGCACTGTCTGCCCAGGGAAGGGAACGGAGGAGCCAGGGAAGGAGACTGGGCCAGGTGCTGTTCTTGGGAGTTAGCTTTGTGGCTGACCTGCTGTCCACGGCCTGGGGACAGGCAGGATTGTCAGGAAGAGCCCTGAGAGCTTGCCACCTTTGCTTGAGACCTCTTCTGTGGCTCCTGCCTGTCCCGGGGTCCGTGGTCTGTTGATCTTCCCACCTCCTACTGCAGCACAAGTGGTCCCTTCAGGGTGACCCCTTTCCAAAGCCACCTGGTAAACTGCAGGGAGAGGAGAGAGGGCAGGCTGGTTGGGCCTGACACTCCCATGGGGGAAGAGGAGCAGCTGCATCCCTCCTGACCTCATCAGGATGGGCCCGGACTGGCCAAAGGAGGACCACGCTGGCTGGAGATGCATCATCCTCCTGCCCTGTGACTTGGGCACCAAGGATTCAATAGCTGTGTGTTCTGTTCTCAGCCACCATTCACGGTCACACAGCAGCCACCATTGCGCCTAGGGAACACCTGGACTGAAGATGGGACTGAAGATGGCACTGATGCTGGGGCCATTCCTTGAAGCTCGGCTCCTCTGTCAGGGGCAGTAGGGTATGTCTGGTATGAGCACAGACTGGGGATTCAGGCAGATGCAGGCTAACCTCAGGCTGCACAACTTCATCACTTGCAGAAGTTATTTGGCCTCTCTGGGCATCAGTGTTCTCTTTCTTTGTCTTTTTTATTCCATTTATTAAAACTGGCCCAACTATGATGTTAGAAGTCAGTAGTAGTTTCTGGAAAGAGTCAGAAAGAGGCTTTTGGTTGCTGATAATTTTCTTTTTTCTTTTTTCTTTTCTTTTTTTTTTTTTTCTGGAGGTGGAGTCTTGCTCTGTTGCCCAGGCTGGAGTGCAGTGGCGTGATCTTGGCTCACTGCAGCCTCCACCTCCCACGTTCAAGTGATCCTCCTGCCTCAGCCTCCCAAGTAGGTGGAACTACAGGTGTACACTACCACGCCTGGCTAATTTTTGTATTTTTAGTAGACACAGACTTCACCTTATTGGCCAGGCTGGTCTTGAATTCCTCACCTCAGGTGATCCACCCACCTCGGCCTCCCAAAGTGCTGGGATTACAGGTGTGAGCCACTGCACCTGGCCTGGCTGCTGATAATGTTTTAATTCTACTTTCTAGTTCTGGATGCTGTTAAATGGGCACACTTTCTGAGAAATATCAAGATGAAGATTTATAATTTATGCATTTTTCTCTGTGTATGCTATAATTAAATGAAAGATTTACTTTAAGAAGATGGTGACCCTGAAAAATAAGTTATTCCTAATTTGTGCAATGATGATAAAATCACAGAAAAGTAAACATATTTAAAAATAGTGTTTAAAAGCAGAATCTTTTCACACTGGAAGCAGTTTTTCTAATACAATCTCTTTCTTTTTTTTTTTTTTTTTTTTTTGAGATGGAGTCTCACTGTGTCACCCAGGCTGGATTGCAGTGGAGCGATCTTACTCAGCTGACTGCAACCTCCGCCTCCCAGATTCAAGCGATTCTCCTGTCTCAGCTTCCCAAGTAGCTGTATTTTTAGTAGAGATGGGGGTTTTGCCATGTTGGTCAGGCTGGTCTTGAACTCCTGATCTCAGGTGATACACCCGCCTTGGCCTCCCAAACTGCCGGGATTACATGTGTTAGCCATTGCGCCTAGCCGTAATGCAATCTATTTCTATTATGCAAGACTTTTAATAAAAACCATTGCATATATTGATTCCATGGTATAAGAGACATGGGCAGCAGTGTTCTTACCTGTAAAATAGAGGCAATAAAAATCTCTACCTCGTGAGATTAGGCGACAGCATGCATATGTGGTGCTTTCCACAGTGCCTGGTACACAGTAAACACTCAATAAGTAATGCCATTGTCACCGTCATTGCCATCATCAGGCCTCTGCTGGCATTCCTACACAGCTGGTGGGCTGTGTGGGCTCCTGGACTGAACCTGGTTTGGCAGAGAATGAAGCATGGCTCTAGGACTATAACCCTGGAGACTGGATTTCTTCAATCTAATCCCTTCTTGGCGGTTGCCTGGTGATTCTACTCACCTATGGTGGGATGGGCGGGCACGGGGCCCCACCCAAAGAGTAGTGGAGGCTCTTTCTTTCCTGGTCACTCAAACAGTGAAGGGGACAGGACAGCTGGGAGTGGGCTGGGTCCCCAGTTATGGGTAGGGGAATAGGACACCACTTACTGCATAACTCAACAGGCCCTTGTGCTTTATCCTCTTTCTCCCCACTATTGTGGGTGCCTCCATGGCAAGAACCTGCTAGATGGGCCAGACTTCCCAAATCCAAATTCTCTTTTTATTACTATTACTTTATTGAATTAATTAATTTTTTAATACCACCAGGTATTCCAGGGCGGTCTCCCATCCAAGTACTAACCATGTCCGACTCTGCTTAGCTTCTAAGACTAGACAAGATAGGCATGTTCAAGGTGGTGTGGCTGTAGACCCAAGTCTAGATTCTTGTACTGAAAAGCATGTGGGTGCTTATGAGAACGACAGGGCAGATAATGGAAAATCTTCCCAGAAAGCTCTGGACATGTGGTTGCTGCCCAGTGCTAAGCTCTCAGGAAATAATACTATGACTACATTAGTGTGTTATTTTACAGTTTTAAAGCATTTACATTATCCATCAACTCATTTGGTTATCACAACCAACCTATGAAATAGGTATTTGACACCATTTAACAGATGAAGAAACTGAGGTTTAGAGCATGCATGTGGCTTGCCTACTGCTATTCAGTAGCAAAATCAGGTCTCAGTCCAGATCCTCCAACTCCAAGGAGAGTACAACACAGCCATTTTTTAGGAGTGAATGGAAGATATATGAAATATACAGCACTACAATATGTCCACTAGCATTCTTAGATTTAAATTTAATTTTTCAATTGTTGTAATATACATAACATAACACTGACCATTTTAACTACTTCCTTTCTTTTTCTTTTTGAGATGGAGTCTCGATCTGTTGCCCAGGCTAGAGTGCAGTGGTGCAATCTCGGCTCACTGCAACCTCCACCTCCCGGGCTCAAGTGATTCTCCCGCCTCAGCCTCCTGAGTAGTTGGGACTACAGGCACATGTCACCATGCCCAGCTAATTTTTTGTATTTTTAGTAGAGACAGGATTTCACCGTGTTAGCCAGGATGGTCTCAATCTCCTTATCTCGTGATCCACCTGCCTCAGCCTCCCAAAGTGCTGGGATTACAGGCGTGAGCCACTTTACCCGGCCGATTATAACTATTTTTAAGTTTATAGTCTATGGCATTAAGAACATTCACATTATTTTGCAGCCATCACTGCCATCCATCTCCAGAGCTTTCTTATCATCCCAAACTAGAACTCCATATCCATTAAACATTAACTCCCCACTCCCCCTCCTCCTGGCCCTTGGCAATCCCCATTCTACTTCCTGTCTCTATGAATTTGACTACTCTGTGTTCCTCATAGACGGACTCATACGATATTTATTCTTTTGCATCTAGATTATTTCACGTAACGTAATGTCTTCAAGGTTCCTCCGTGTCGTAGCATGGGACAGAATTGCCTTCCTTTGTAAGGCTGAATGATATTCCATTGTATGGATAGATCACATTCTGCTTATCCATTCATCCATCCATGCTCACTAGGGTGACTTCCACTTTTGGCTATTGTGAGTAATACTTCTATGAGCATGGATGTACAAACACCTCCCCAAGTCTCCACTTTCAATTCTTTTGGGTGTGTACCCAGAGAAGCCATTGTTGAATCATATGCCACTTCCATGGTTGCTTTTTTGAAGAACTGCCATATTGGTTTCCTATCCACTATGTCTTTTAAGTTTGTTTGATAAGATACAGTAGTCCACCCTTAACTGTAGCTCCAGTTTCCTTGGTTTTAGTAACCTGTGGTCAACCGTAGTCCAAAAAGATTAAGTAAAAATCTCCGGAAATAAATAGTTCATAAGTTTTAGATGTTGCACCGTTTTGAGTGGCATGATGGAATCTGGGTCATCTTGCTCCGCCCCCTGTGGGGAGTGGATCACTCCTTCCTTCAGAGGACCCCCACTCTCAATGCTACCCTCCCATTGGTCACTTAGGAGCTATCTCCGTTATCAGATGGGCCGTCGACGTATCTCAGCGTTCATGCTCAAGTCACCCTTATTTGACTTAATGATGGCCCCAAAGGGCAACAGTGGTGATGCTGGCAATTCGGATATGCCAAACAGAAGCCACCAAGTGCTTCCTTTCAGTGAAAAGGTGAAAGTTCTCGATTTCGTAAGGAAACAAAGAAAATCATATGCTGAGGTTTCTAAGAACTACGTAAGAACAAATCTTCTATCTGTGAAATTGTGAAGAGAGAAAAATAAATTTGTGAGTAGTGGATATAGGGTGTGGTACCATCCCCTGTTTCAGGCACCCCTTGGGGTTTTGAAATATATCTCTGATGGATTAGAGGGGACTACTATAAACCAATATCCATATTAAGGGGAAAATCTACTCAAACACTAGGATTAGAAATATTTCATTGTTCTTTTAAAGACATCTTTTTTGGTCACTTGCCTAGGGCTCAGAGGGCAAGCTCAGGACCACATGTTTTAAAGACTGTCATGGACTCTTGTCCACGCCCTTCTCTTTGTCCATAATGGTCCCCCTACCTGGTCTGCTTAGGAGACTTGGCCCCTCACTGATCCTTGCCGCCATTTCTCAAGGAGCTAGAATGATTCATGTGAAAGAGCTTTGGCAGAAGGGACAGGCTCTGCAGCCAGAAAGTCTCAAGGTTAGTACTGGTTCTTCCCTCTATTGTGTGATGATTGGCAAGTTATCAAACCTCTCTGAACTTCAGTTGAATTAGTGAAATGTGGACAGCAGTACCCATCCACCCAAGACTGCCATGGGGACTAAATGAGATGATATGGGCAGAGGGCTCAGTGTGCCATGTCTATGGCTGAGATTATGATCATCATCCCCTTCCCTGGTCCTCCTGGAAGCACGGGGCTCCTGTCCTGCTGCAGTCACCTCCTGCCTAGCATCGTGGGAGGGCCGGCTCCTTAGCACGCAGGGATTTGGGCTCACTCTGGGCTTGCTGGAGAATGGGGCAGAACAGGGGCCAGCCGGTGGAAGGCTCAAAGAGGCAGCTTTCAGTGCAACAGCAGGAAGAATTGTCCAGAAGCACCGGCCGCTCACTGGCAGAGTAGGTCTTCTCTCCAGAAGTGAGGAGGCATTCCCCATCAGTCTCACAGCTGAGGGCCTCAGATGCTCAGACACCGGAAAGACGGGATTCCTGGATGTCTGTCAGATGGGGGTTGGATCCAGTGACCTCTGGGGCTCCTCTCAACTCTCATAAGCTGTGGGGATTTCCGTGGAGCTGACGGTCCCTGTAGCCACAGCTGGGGCACTGCCAGTGCATCTTGGCCAAGCCCTGCAGCTGACTCGAGCTTGGTGAGGGGAGCCCTGACTTGGGGTCCTGGTCATCCTCATGGTCATCATCCCCCAGAGATGAAAGCGACTAGGCAGTCCCACAGTCTCAGGGACACAGTGCCATTCCCAGCCTGAGATGTGGCTACTCCATCCTCATACCTTGTCCCCTCTGATGCTGGGGGCTCCAAGGCTGACCAGTAAGTCCAGCTGATGGAGGAAGAACCTGAGAAATCAGATGTGGGAAGGGGTCCTGAGAGAACGTGTACCATCTGCCCACACACAGATGGCACATCCAGGCCAGGACACCTTAGCCAAAGGGCACAACTCACCCTGCCAGGTAGGCCTGGGCCACGTACCATCCTGGAGCCTTCCTGCTGGGGCCAGGATCCCAGCCTCTCCTGTGAGCAGCTCTGGGTGACCCAGTTAGGAAGTCAGCAGGTGTGTGACCTGGCTCATCCAGGTGTTGCTCCGTCTGCACTCCGCAGCCCTGGCCCACTCGCCATGGGGGTCTCCTGGGCTGCCTGCTTCTCAGGCCTTCCTGCACCCCTGGATGAGTGGATAGGTCCCCGTTGTCCAAATGAAAAGTCACTCAGCTGGGTGGATGCTGACCTGGGTTCAAATCCCAACACCACTCACTCGAGGTGCGGCCTTGGGCAAGTTACCCAATCTCTCCAGACCTCAGTGTCTTCATCTTTCAAATGGCACCTGCGAAGCCAGGTTGCAGTGACAATTACAGAAGCTGTGTTAAAGGCCAAGCACATGACACACAAGGCCTCCCTCTGTGGGACGGATAGTCTCTTGCGGAAGGCAGGGGAAGGTTTCTATGGCCCCGTCTTGATTTCTGACCTACTTACTGTCACCGGCTCACCCGAGGAGTGGTGGCCTTGCTCAGTGTTACAGGCTGTACTGCTCACACCCTAGTTTACGTGTTGAGGTCCTAATCCCCAGTATGTCAGGACATACTTGGAAAGAGGGTCTTTATAGAGGCGATTAGGGTCCAATGAGATCATTAGGGCCAGCCTTCATCCAACAGGACTGCTGTCATCATAACAAGAGAAAATGTGGACACACACAGAGACGCCAGGGAACAGGTGCACAGAGGGAGACCACAAGAGGAAGTGGGGAGAAGGCGGATGTCCACAAGCCAAGGAGAGAGGCTTCGGGAGAAACGAGCCCTGCCACGGCCTTGACCTTGGGCTTCCAGCCTCCAGAACTATGAGGAAATAAATGTTTGTTGTTGAACCCACACAGTCCATGGTTCTGTGCAGCAACCCTGGTAAACTAATACTGCACGGAGGCATCTACAAAAGGAGAGCTGCTCGTTTGTCCCAAGAAATGCTCCTCTAAGATCTTAATCTAGGGCCGCTGTGGAGACTTCCACCATCCATCAATCATGAAGTCTCACTTAAAGGCCCCTCCAGGTCTCGCCTGAGGGGTGTCAGGTTCTGGTTGGGAAGGAGGGGTCCTTGGAGGCCTTTCCCAGGCTGCAGAGGCTGGCACCTTCTCTCTGCTTCAGGGGTCTTGAGAGGCTGGAGGCTCCCCGATGTGAGGGCGGGGTACTTCAGGGCTGCCGGGCAGACCGTGGGCATGGCCATGAGTGTCCCCACAAGAACTGTCATGCCAGGAGCTTGGAAGAGTCACTGCCTCCTGCCCGCCAAGGCTGCTGTGGGCAGGTGTCTGCCTTCCCATCCTAGGCTACCTGGGCAGCATTTCCTTTAGAACCAGGAGTGGCCATGGGTGGAACTGCAGATGCCAGGACCATGACGCTCTTCACCAGGCACTCACCCGGCTGCCCTGTGCCTCCACTGACCGGTCACAAGTCCCGCCTCCTGCCAGGCCTGGGATTGGCGGGCCTGGCCATATGCAAAGGTTCTTCCTGCTTCAGCTGTCTTGAAAGAGCGTCCAAGAGAGGCCGTGCCTGCCACGCGTGATGATGATGAAGGGCGGAGCAGCACAGAGGTCAGAGTGGTGGTGGGTTGGGGAGGTCCTGCAGGTGCCAGGTGGCCACAGGTGGGACACCTCCAGGCTCAGTTTCCTGCCAAGGGAAGCCTGAAGCAGGGGAGGCTGTCCCCACCTTCCCTGCCTCCTGTGCAGGCCTCCTGGGCACCCTAAATCTCTGCGGCTCCTCAAGGCCCCCACATCCCTCTCCTCTCCTGAGCCTCCCCAGGATTAGATAAGGCTGGCAAACTGTGCCCCCTTCCTGTGGTTTTCTCCCACCAGGACGTCCCAAGCTGGAAGACTCCCGCCCCTCTGTGCCACGGCTGGTGGCTTCACCCTTGACCCGGGGGAGATGGCTGGATGTGATCTGCCCAGAGCTTCCCAGAGGCTGGCCAAGAAGGCACAAGGAAAGGACTCCTTCTTCTGGCCTGGTGTGGAGAGCAGAACGTCCTGGAGAGGCGTTTGCCAGGCCAGAGCCAGCTGAAGCTTTTGAAGAAAGGGCCACCTTCCCTCCCTGCGCCAAGGCCTGATCGGACTGGGAGATAAACTGCACTGGCAGCTGTCCTGGCAGAGCTCTGAATCACTGCTGTGCAAACATGACCCTCCTTCACTGCGACTGCCAGCTTTGTTATCTAGAATGCAAACACAATGCAACCATCCTTAGCTCCAGATTAACAACAACAAAAACATCCCTGGAGAAGCCGCTTTCCAAGATGACTGAAAGCCCAGTGTGGATTTTAGCCAAAACAGACAGAGGACCCCCGCTCCTGCCTGGGCTGCCTGCACCCACATTCTGAAATGGGGACAATGCCAGGAGGCGGACAGGGTGGGATGCAAGGTGGAAAAGAGCTGGAATGTGCCAGGGACCTGACTTGCCAGCTACGCCAGCTCTTTCTGCCCCTGGCCGCCTGGGCCCCCTCCTGAGGACAGCAAACAGCTTCCTGCTCTCTCGGTCTGGTAGGCAGCAAGGCTGGCACCCTTGTGTGCTCAGGGCCAAGCATGAGTGTGGGCAGCTGGTTAGAGTCCAGGTCAGAGGTGGTCTGGGCCTCCCTTCTGCTGGCCCATGCCTTGAAACTATCTGCAGGATGAAGGCAAGACAAGAAAGGGTGTAGACAGTGAGCACCCTGATGGCCTGCGTGCAGCTCCTTCTTGCCCTGAACCATGGCTGCAGAGGGTGGCACCTTCTGTCTGTTTGATGAGTCTTGGACATAGGTGGATGTGGATATGGGACCATCCTGTGTCCCCTCCAGCCATATGGTAGCGAACATTGATTAAGCACTTACTATGTGCTGGTCATCCTGCTGTGAGTGCTGCATGTCTGATTCATTTGCTCCTTCCTATAAGTAGGAACTGTTACTGCCCCCATTTGACAGAGGTGGAAACGGAGGCACAGAGAGGAAACTATCGTTCTCAAGGCTATGCAGTGTCGTGACCGCAGTGGGATTTGAACTGAGACTTTTTGACTGCAGAGTTTGCTGTTTGCTGCCTCTCACATTGGCGGTGCTTGCAGTGTGGAAGGAGCGTCACTGGGGCAAGACCAGCCCCTCGCCGCCTCTGCGCATCTTGAACTCTCTGTCTCCATGGGCATCGGGAATTGACTCATTTATTAGTTTATTCATTCACTGGTTTCTTCCTTCAACTCCTATTCTGTGCCATATGCATCGCTCAGCACTGGGGGGTCGGAGGGGACAAAGATGTACAGGGCGCAGACCCCTCTCCGGCAGCTCCAGCCTCTCCAGGCCAGGCCTTCCTCACTCTCCAGCTGAGGACTCCAGGGAGGCCTGTGGTCTGAGTGGAGAGAGAAAGGGGACGGCCTGGTGAAGCAGGGCATGAGAAGGACGGACAAGGCAGTCATCACAGGGAAGGAGCCGGGCCAGGCACGCCTGCAGGGCCCAGAGAGGACGCAGACATCACAGGGAAGGGGCCGGGCCAGGCACGCCTGCAGGGCCCAGAGAGGACGCAGCTGCAGAAACGCAGGTGGGAGGCAGCCAGGCCGTGGCTGTGGCCTGGAGAGAGAAGCTAAGCCCATGAGGCCCAACGCGGAGGGGCCAAGATCAGCTCTGGGTGATGCGATCCAAGGACGGGGAGAGGCTTAGTCAGGAGGGGAGTTTACCCAGGGCTGGAGGGCACAGGAGAGAATGGAGGATAGATAACGGCTGGTGACTCAGAGCCTATGGTCCAAACCTGCACAGTGCCACTTGGATGACACCAGAGAAGATCAAGGTTAGGGCTGGGGTTGGGCAGAACTGGAGCAGAAACAACTGAGCAAAGCCGAGGGAGGAAAGGCTGTGATTTCCACGAGCGATACTGCAGGACTTCCTAGGCCGCTGCTGTCCGGGCGGGGCATGCAGGAGACCTAAAGTTCCAGGTGGACAGTGGAGCCCAGGAGGGTGCCTGAGACCCCTGCAAGCGGGTGTAACATAAAGGCCGACTCCAGTGCACACTTTCAGGGCTTCCTCTATGCTGACCACCGTTCCAGGGCCATAAATGAACTCAACAAGCCTGTGAAGTGGATGCTGTTCTTGCCCCACATTTACAGACGAGTGACCTGAAGCACAGAGAGGCTGAGGGAATGGCCAAGGTCCCACAGCTAGGAAATGGCAAAACCGGGTCCCCAGAAACATGTAGGGCTCAGCCTGGGCCTGGAGGTGACGGCAGCGTTTGTCAGTGAGGAGAACCCGGGAAGGAGGTGCAGCTGGAATTCTACCCTCGGCATCTGGGGGACTGCAGGGCTTGTTCTCGCTCTCACGAGTGTCCCTGTGCAAGGCAGTAAGAACACAGGTGCTGACTAGGACGCCACCTGGGCCAGCCTCCTGGCTCAGGGACAGCAGGCACCATCCTGAATGGCACCGTGGTGAGCCGAGGTGCAGGAGGCCTGGCTGTCGTGGGGCTCTGCACCCTGGGGTGCTGCGGCTGCACTCCGCTGCCTACTCTCTCCCCACTGCAGCCAGCCTGGCATGGCTGTCAGGAGCCAGCTCTCCTGGTGGGTCAGTCACCCACTGGGCAGAACTGGGACAGTCTCATTTGTCTCCCATCTTGCTCCTGACTTCTGAAACAAATCTGCAGTTTGCTTTTTTTTTTTTTTTTTTTAAATTACTTCCTGGTCCTGCCTCTGGTCCTGCCCCATCTCCTGCAGTGCAGGGTCACTGGGGCAGTGCAGGGGCTGAGGAGAAAGGGCCCTGGCACGTGTCTACTGGGCCTCGTCCTTGCTAGGGCCCGTCTGAAGCGGGTGACCCCTGACTATGCCAGGTTTCTGGATCACATCCTGCTCCCTCGAGTTCCCAGGTCCTTGTGTCTCCTAAAAATAAAGGTGCCACTCACTGGGCGCTTCCTAGGCACCGAGCACCATGCTGTGGGCTTTAAGGCACAGCCTCATTTGATCCTTCTAACAATCCCAGGTGGAGAGTGATCCTGCATCCCCATTTTTCTAGATGTGTCCACAGAGGCTCAGAAGGATGAGACTTGCCCTAGACCACGCACCCAGTAAAGGGCCAGGTAAGACCTGAATTTTCCCTCTGGACCCCCAGCCTCCTGATGTCTATTTTCAGCCAGTTTAATTTCAGGCATGGGAAGCCCACCTAAGAGCTTGTTTCGAGTCCATGTTTGTATTAACCATGCCTCACACGCTTTCAGATGATACGAAAGTGAGAGGAGGAACTCGTAAGGTGGATGGCCCAGGATTAAGGCTGAGCAGATTTCAGGAGGAAGGAAAGGAAGGCCAGTCTGAACGAGGTGGTATCCGTGGGGGTGACTGTGAGATCCTGCAGGTGTATTCGAAATCGCCATTGCACAAGGGCAGGATGGGGAAATGGTTACGGGCTTTAGTGGACTGCCAGCCTGATGCCAATCTGTGTACCTGATGCTGATAAAGCCAGTGCACCCATCGGCTATATAAACAGGAGCATCATGACCAACACAGGGGAGGTGGTACATCCCTGACCACCTCACCGATTGCTGTGTTTGAATCCAGATGCCGTATGTTAAGAATAATACTGGCAAACACAAGGCTACCTGGATGAGGGCAGCAAGAGAGGGGGCAGAGGTTAGTTAGGAGGTGGTGGGGGCAGGGTCTATGGGAATGATGTCATATTAAAATAAAAAAAGAGGTGGTGTGGTATGGGTGGTAGTAAACACAGGCATATTTGACTCATTATATATAGCATCTGAAGACTAAAATATGGTAAATAATGAACATATGTTAAATAAATAAAATGACATATATGATTTATGGAAGCTCTAGATAAATGTATGTAGCAGAAATTTAGCTAGCATTTCAGTAAGTATTTGAGTTTTTAAAAAGAATAATGAAAGGTACTAGGATGTCTAGTCCAAATGGAAAGATGTACTTAGTCGCATTATATGAAGCCCAATAAATATGCTCAGGGCCCACACGCTGCTAAGAATCTGGAAGACAGATTTGGAGAGGGGCGGAAGGCAGCTGTAGGCTAGATACAAGAAAGGACTTCCTAATGATGAGTGTGGTCATGTAAGGAATGAAGTGCAGGAGGAGGAGGGGTTCCCTGTTCCTTAGGGGGTGTCTGTGGAAGCTGGAAGAGCTTAGTTGGCATCCAGGGGCTCCCTGCAGTCAGGGAGAGGAGTTTTCTGTGCACTCAGTTGGTGAGTCCATGAGACATAGCTGTGCTGTGTTGATAAGGCATGCTCCAACCAGAAGTGCCGAAAGCTCCAGAGCGCCCTAATCTTGGGTTGAAGTTGGGTTTGCATCATCATCGACTGTTTTCCAAGGGCTTGGCCTGTGGAGGCTCTGATGGGGACTTGAAAGAGTTCGCTTCCCACCTGCTTGCGGCTGACATTCCTCTTCCTGGTTGTCAGTGTTTGTTCTGGCCACGAGCCCCTCTAGAGCTCAGACACCGGGATTGAACTCTGGTACTCACATGTGGCTGTGAGCAGTGGGGAGGCAGGGCCTTGAGGGATACCCTGAAGGCTCCTGTCCATGGGGCTAGGGATGGCAGGAGGGGGATGAGATGTCCCGAGAATCTCTGAGTCCAGCCTGTGAGTGATGCCATGTCTCGCTCTAGCCTTTAGGCTGGGACCACTGGGTGGGAACGCAGGCTGGCAGGAGAGAATTGGAAGAGAACCTGGCAGCCGAAGAGATTAAAGAAAGGCTGACCCAGGTGTGCCTAAGGCTGGGAGCACTGGATGCCTTCAAACAGAGGTGCCGTGGGACATTCTGTGTGTCTGAAAAAGCACTCGCTGTTTGGTAAATCGATTGCAGAATGCAAGATTTGAAAGCAGTGGACCAATCAAGAGAGGGGGGTGGAAATGGTGCTGGCCCTGGGGGTGGTCAGAAGTGGTGAGGTTAGAGAAGGACATTGAGGTGTTGCCAGCAGGACTGAGTGATGAGTTCTGGGTGCCTTAAGGATGGCGCCTTGTGTGTGAGAGACACAGCCTCGTGCAGCCTGTGTGATTGGCAGCTACTGAGATTATGACCAGAAAGCCAGGGAAGACCTCTAATATACCTCACTTAAAAAAAAATTATTATACTTTTTTGGAAAATAATTTCAAAGCAAAATAAATTAAATGAAAAGTTGCAACAATAGTAGAAAGAAACTCTTCCCAGTCCACTTAAAAGAAGTGCCCCACCCTACACACCCCACCGAAGCATCCTTTCACGTGTATCTCCTAAAGCAAGAACATTCATCATCACGACCCATCCGATCCAGACCCTCACCCTGAACATGTCACTACCACCCGGTCCCCAGACCACACTCTGGTTTCCACAGTTCTCCCAATAACCTCATTCATAGCAAAAAGACCCAGACAGGCCACAGGTCACGTGTGAAGACATCCCTTCGCCTCTTTCAGTTTGGAAAGGTTTATCAGTCTTTGCTGGGCTCTTATGGCCTTCGAGTATTTGAAGCTGGCAGGAGGGCTACTTTGAGCCATGGTCCTACTTTGCTGTTTTCTCTTGATTAGATTCGGGCCATGAGTCTTTGTTGGAACCATCACAGGAGAATGCTGGCTGCTCACTGCGTCTGACCAGGCACACGGGATTCTGTGTGTGGCCTTTTACTGACAATGTCCACTTGGATCATTTGACTAAGGAGGCAGCTGTCAGCTTCTTCCCTGTAAGAGTATTCCTTTCTCTTTGTCACTACGAAGGATGTTGTGGGAGAGGTTCTTAGAAAGCATGGAAGTATCCCATTTCTCATCAAGCATCCGCCCACCACTTTCAGCACCCATGGATGGTTCTCAGTGGAATGAAGTATCACTGTGAGGGCAGCCCCAGAGAGCCTGCCCCATGTATTTGCTTAATGAATGAATCTGCACTTCATTGCCCAAGAGGTGGGTGGAGTGACCACAGCTCCTCATGCCACCAGGTCCTTTTCTCATGCAAGCCCTGCACAGGGCCAGGGAGTGGGCAATGCTGCTTCCATGCACCCACCTGACTGCATCCCCCATCTTTGCGTGAGCAAGCTCCAGGACTCCCCCGGCACCTGCAGCAAAGCCAGATCTCCTACCAGGAACAACGTGCAGCCCTTCAGGTCCATGAAGGGTTTTAAGTCAGGGAAGGTGACACATTTGATTTATGTTAAGCAAAACCAAACGAAAACAAAACAAAAGCAAACACCCTGGCTGTTGTGCAAACAGCTTGGAGTGGTTCAGATTTGCAGTCAGGCAGACCAATGAAGACTCAGTGAGGATGTTTGGGAAGGCTGAGTAGAGACCTTATTTTTAAGCATGTGAGGAGGCCCAATGCCAGGGAAGGGCAGGAAGGGGCCCTGGCTCCTCCAAGGCTGCTGGGGCTGTGGACGGCAGGGGAGTTCTATGTGTACCCACCCCATCCCGCCAGCCTCTGCTGACTCCTGCCCTGGACACACCATACCTTTGGTTTCCCTTAGCAGCTCTTCTGTGAACTTGACCACCTGGGCCACCTCCACCCATGGGAAGCCTTTGCCCACTGCAAAGATGATGCTCTCGTAGAGGGTGTCCAGCAGGATGCTCCTCCGGGAGTCTCTCTGTTCGTCAAACTCCTCCCAGTTCAGAAGCCTCCGCAGGCGCTCCCGACCTTGTGGTCTCTGCAGGGAATGACATGGGAACTGCAGGGTATGATGTGGGGGTTGCAGGGCATGATATAGGGGCTACGGGGTGTGATATGGGGGCTATAGGGTGTGATATGGGGGCTGTGGGGTGTGATATGGGGGTTGCAGGGCATGATATGGGGGCTGCATGGTGTGATATGGGGGTTGCAGGGCATGATATGGGGGCTACAGGGTGTGCTATGGGGGTTGCAGGATATGATATGGGGGCTACAGGGTGTGATATGGGGGCTGCGGGGTGTGATATGGGGGTTGCAGGGCATGATATGGGGGCTACAGGGTGTGCTATGGGGGTTGCAGGATATGATATGGGGGCTACAGGGTGTGATATGGGGGCTGCGGGGTGTGATATGGGGGCTGCAGGGTATGATATGAGGGTTGTGGGGTATGATATGGGGTTGTGGGGCATGATATGAGGGCTACAGGGTGTGATATGGGGGCTGCAGGCTGTGATATGGGGGCTGCAGGGTGTGATGTGTGGTCTGTGGGATGTGATATGGGGGCTGCAGGGTATGATATGGGGGTTGCAGGGTATGACATGATGGTTGTGGGGTATGATATGGGGGTTGCGGGGTATGATATGAAGGTTGTGGGGTATGATATGGGGGTTGCGGGGTATGATGTGAAGGTTGTGGGGTATGATATGGGGGTTGTGGGATATGATATGGGGGTCGGAGGGTATGATATGGGGCTGCAGGGTATGATATCGAGGTTGCAGGGTATGATATGGAGGCTGGAGAGTGTGATATGGGGGTTGCAGGGTATAATATGGGGTTGAGGAGTTGAGAAGCCATCTCTACTGGGTAAGACACTTTTGGGGTCCCCACAGTGGTGCTCCAGAGCCCTGAAGAGTAACTAGGTATGTGGGTACCCCTGGGAAGAGCTGTGCTTTGGTTTCTGGGCAGCACTCCCTCCTCCTGGGACTTGCTCTTCTTCTAGGACTTTCTTTCCTCTGAGAGTTCTCATGCTGGCCACTGCAGCCCAGGTTTTGTGTACCTCCAGCAGGCCTCAGGTTCTGAAATACGATCCCTATCCCCCTGCCTAAAATAAAATTTGACTTTCCTGAGTCTACTCTTAACTGACTGCAGTAGAGGCATTGATCTGACAATGAAATTTATACTACAGTGTAAGTGACTGACCAAGAAGGGGCTTGGTGAGGTAATGCTTTAGCAGAAGGAATGAGTCTTGCTTGGTGAAAATTCAGACACACGGGCAGGCCAAGAGGAAAAGGTAAACTTTTTTCCCTGCCTAGAAGTAAAAACCCATTTTACTTGAGAGTTCAGCTGGCCCTTCTGGAAAGTTCTTATAGGCTCCCAGCAGATGTAGGAGAAGCAAGTGCCACTTAAAGGAAGTGGCAAAAAAATGTTTGGGGTGCAGCAGAGACCCACCCACCACACGCAAGAGTGTTGCTTTCCTGAGGCAAGGGATCCTCTGGCTGGGAGGACCCCAAGGGACCCTGGAGGACCAATGGTGGCCTTAGTGACAGAGGGAGGCCTAGAGTCCTGTCCTCGGCCCCCAGAGACTCCTCTTCCACTGCCACCACTCTTCTGCCTAATCTAGACAGCACCCCCTAGAAAGCAGCAGAGCCTCCCCCAACACACTCCCTGCACACAGTGGCTCGCAGGACCCTCAGGGTCCCAGAGGAGGCAGGCACAGTCCCTCACTTCCCTTCAGGCAGGATCTGCTCCTTCTGGGCCTGCATGTGGCTTGAAAAACAGCCCACAAGGTCCAGGGGCTGGTAAGCCCTGGCCTGAAGTTTGGGCCCCACATCTCGTCACAGCCTCAGAGGTGCTGTGCTGAGCCGGGGTGGCTGCCCCGGGGTCTCCTGAAGAGGCGCTTCCAGTGCCCACCTCCCTATGTGCCCAGGATGAGCCAGTTTCTGTTTAAAAGCCACATTTTCTCTTCCTTCACCTGAAGTTGGAAGACTTCTTTCACTCCCTGGGGTGTTAAGAGTGCCATGGCCCCTGCATCTGGTTGCCAGGAGACGGAGCCAGACTGACTCAGAGTTTCCGGAACCCTGGGGGTGGCCAGTGCCAGCTTTGTTAGGTCACGAATGGCTTCTCCCAGGCTTCTCTCCTCCCGGCCCCTCCTGCGATGCGCTGGGCCTGGTCACCTGCACCTGCTCAGGGACAGGAACCCCCCCTTGCCTCTCCCTCATAACCTGTTCTCCTTCAGGAAGTGAGCATTCTGAGGCTTCCCATAAACACACACACACACACACACACACACACACACACACTCTTGCACACACATAGACACATGCACACACGGAGGCACACACATGTACACACACGTGCACACACACATGCATGCGCGCGCACACGCATGCACACATGCTGCCCGTCATCCTCATGTTCTTCTGACTGTAGCCTCATGCCTCCTGCCTGCCGACAGGTCGGGGTGTTTGTCTCCACGGAAAGGACTGCCCGGGCTTGCTGCCTCCACGTCCTCCCTGACTCCTCCTATTAGGGTCTGGCCTCCCCGACCTCCTCCACTGGCCAGTAGCATCCATGGCTCTGTTTCTGGTGTCATGACTTTGCTTTGGGGTAGAGCAAACAGTTCTTCAGGGGTGTCCCCAAGTGCAGTGCCCAAGCCCCTGAAGGCGGCGATTGGGAGGGGTTCGCTCCTTCTCCGGGCCAGCCTTGCTCTTCTCTGTCCTGGAAGTCACTGGCACCCACCGGTTGCCTGGGAGGCAAGTCCTTCCTTCCTCTGCCTCACTGCCCAGAGTCCCAGTGAGGAAAGCCTGGTCCTACTCGCCAGGGTTGGTGGGCAGCTGCCCAGGACCCCTGGCTCCCCAGGTCACCCCATTTCCCCAGGGGGTTGTCTTGGAAGAGGCTCTGGCCATCCTGAACCGTCATCCTCCTTCAGCCACGTGACTGCGTCAAGGACCCGCCCACCTTCCTCCCGTCGTGATGGTGATATTTCAGGGCCCTCACTGCCCTTCCTGGCCACCTAGTCTTCAATGACTTTATCCAACCACGTGACTTCAATGTCCATCCACAGAAAATGACTCACACATTTACGCAGTGGCGGTGTTCACCCCTCTCTGTCTTGGAGTGTGCGACTCACCACACCTCTCCCCAAAGAACGGATACCTGCGGACCTGCGCCGCCTGTGGGGTGTCCAGGGGTCCTCGGGGGCTTCTGAGTGTTTGGGGTGTGTCGCTGGCAGGAGTCCTGATCCGGGGTCAGAAGGGGGTCTCCATGTCCAGGCTCCTCTGGCAGGGGCTGTCCTGAATGCAGTGCTAGGGGTGTCCCCCAGGCTGACACCATGCCTTGGCCCTCAGGTGGAGCCCCTCACTCGAGTCCTTCCCAAGTCTGTGGCCCCGGGACCTCCCCAGGATGCAGCTGGGATGGGTCTCCATACCCCAAGGCTAGAGCCCCTTCTCATCCCGTGTCCTATCCTGCTCCATTTTCTCAGAGTCAGTATTAGTACAGCGCTTTTTGCTGCAATTGTCAGAGACTCAGCCTGACCTTAGGCCAAATGCGAATGTGCTGTCTCACATGACTGAGAAATCTCACGTCTGCTTAAGGTAGGCGGGGGCCAGGTGCTGGCACGGCGCTGTCAGGAACGCCTCCCTGACCCCTGGTTCTGCTTGCCTGTTGTTCATCCATTCTCAGGGTCCTCCCTAAATGCACTTCTAAATCCCCCCACCTGGCCGACTCTTAACTGACACCACCAAACTCAGCCTCTACGAAAATTAGTTCTTCTGGAAAACCCTCCAGATCCCTCTTCAACCCTGGCTGATCAGGTGCCCTCCACTGCTCAAGCCATGCAGTGGCATGATCATGGCTCACTGCAGCCTCCAACTCTTGGCCTCAAGTGATCCTCCTGCCTCAGCCTCCCGAGTGTCTGGGACTACCGGTGAACACCCACCACGCCTGGATAATTATTCTTAATATTTTTTTTGTAGAGATGGGGTCTCACTATGTTGCCCAGGCTGGTCCCAAACTCCTAGCCTCAAGCCATCCCCCTGCCTTGGCCTCCTGAAGCTCTTGGATTACAGGCGTGAGCCACCACACCTGATGGACTGGACCTCATTCTTGACTCCTCACCCTCACTCCTTTCCAGCTGCCTTGAAGCTCTGGGAACTCTGCCTCCTAAACATTTATTGAGCCCATTCTCTTCTCTGAATCCCATTGCTACCCCAAGTAGAGTTCATTCCCATTTCTTGCCACCCCCCCCAACCCCCACACCTACACCATCCATTCTCCACACTGTTGCCAGAGGTAACTAAAAAAATAAATCTAATTATGGACTGGCATTGTCAAGAGCACTTGCTAGGGTGCTGTTGTGTAGCATCGTTTTTCAGGAGGTGGTTACACTGGTGTATATATATGTCTCACTTAAGATCTCTGAATTTTATGTATATTACACCTTCTCCCCTTTCTCTACACACACAAATACATGCGTATATGAAATTAGACTATGTCAATTTCTTGCATCCAAATCTTCCATGGCTGCTCATTCATAAGCCCCAAGGCCTTCATGTGGCTGTCCAGCCTCATGTGACCTTTTCTTCTCCGGCCCACACTGGCCTTGGCTTCACCCACACTCCCTCCAGGACTTTGCCTGCTGCCCTCTCTCCCTGGAATGCTCTTTCTTCCTCTGCTCTTCTAGATAACTCTTTCTGGCTTTTCATGTCTCAAGTTAATCATCCCTTTCTCAAGGAAACCTTTCCTGAGTCCCTGTCACATGCTCTTGTAGCATTAAATGCACCCCCAGTAGCACTTTGCAGGTTGTAATTTTTTCATTTCATGTAGATGATTGTTCTAATGCTGCTTTCTCCTAGATTGTAAGACAAAGAGGGCATTTTGTTTTATTTATGAATGTGTTATTTACCACTGTACATACCTGGCACATAGTAGGCACAACTGTGTGTTGCATGGCTGTGTTCATTTCTATCATGGCTCTTATGACATTGCACCTTGTGTATTGATTGAATGGTGGCTTCCCCCTTTAGCCTGCTGGTCCTGCGAGGGCATGGACAATGTCTTAGTCACCTCTGGAGCCCTGGTGCCCACTGCAGGCCTGGATGGTGGCTGGGACTCAGTACAAGTTTACTGGTGAATAATCAAAAGAATCACAAAGTGACATTGATGGCAAAAACTGGTTACGGACAGAGCCCACCTATGTTCTTGACTCATTTTGGCCACATCCAATGTTCTCTTGCTAAAGAAACATGGACATTCTCAAATCTCTTCTGAGAGCCATGCAAAAGCCACATGGCATGGCAGGCTTGAGCTTAATGGCATTTGTGGTGTCTTTTCCCATTTATTGTGTGTGGGATGAATATTTGGATCTCAGTTTACCTATCCTAAAGGCCTGTTTGGTAATAAAAATGAAATAAAAGCCTCACAGAGTTACCAAACAGCAGTGAAGAGTGTTTTTCATTAGTAGATAGTTCTATTTCAAGAGCTTCAAATTCATTATGTCTTTTAATCCTTGCAACAGTTCTATAAGATGGATATAATTATTAACATTGCCATTTGATATAAGATGAAATTGAGCATAGATGCATTAAATATCTTGTGCAAAAATCACATAACTTAAGAATTGGCCATGCTATCAACACTGCTGCAGGATTCAGGAGTTTTCCAGGTAGGGCCTGACATTTAGGCTTCTAGTTAGTACAAAAGCAGAGTTTACTTCACCACTTGCTTCAAGCTACAAGAATCACCTCTACAATAGAGTTTTTGACTATTCTTGGTTGCATGCAAGATTTGACCATTATTTTTCCCTTTTTATTCTCTATCATCATTATCATCATCAGTATGGTTTTTATCATCTTCATTGTCATCATCATTGACCGCCTGCTAAGACATGAGCTTGGATGCTGGAAATATAAGAAGGTATATTGGTATGGTCACATTATCTAAAAGTAGTCCATCTGGAAGGGAGCACATAGATCCTTTCGCCGAAGCCCTCGACTTTTCTAGATAACAGAACGAGGTTCAGAGAAGAAAAGAGGGCATCAGTAGTCAGATATCAAGGTCAGGATTGGAACTGAAGCCTCTGATCTGATATTAGTGCTCCTTCATCTGCATCATGTTACCTGCCTGTGATGGTCAGTTGTATGTGTCAGTTTGGCTAGGCTGTAGTACCTGGGAATTTAATTAAACATGAGTCAAGATGTTGCTGTGAAGGTATTTTACAGATGTGGTAAACATCTATAATGAGTTGACTTTAAATTAAGGAAATTGCTCACAGTATTGTGAGTAAGGCTGAAGTCTTGAGGCAGAAATGTTTCCTTTTCAGGAAACCTCAATTTTTGCCAGCCCTTCAACAGATTGGAGGCCTTACAAAAATTGAGGTTTCCTGAAAAACAAATTTCTGCCTCAAAGGAGGCCTTAAAAAATTGAGGTTTCCTGAAAAAGAAACATTTCTGCCTCAAGATTGTTGCATCGACTACTCCCTGATCTTCCAGCCTGGAAGCCTGCCCTACAGATTTTGGACTTGCCAGCTAACGTGATCATATGAGCCAGTTCAATTCCTTAAAATAAATCTCCTAATTATCTGTTATCTATCTATCTACCTACCTATCATTTATCATCTATCTACCTATCCATCATCTATCATCCATCTATATATCTGTTATCTACTCATCATCTATTATCTATCTACAGCCTATCTATCTACCTATCTATCCATCAATTATCTATTATCTATTAATCATCTATCTATCATCTATCTTTCACCTATGTATATCATCTATCTAGCATCTAATATTCAATTAACTATTATCTATCAATTATCCATCTATCTATCAATTATCTATCCCTCAATTAACTACTATCTATCAATCATCTATCTTTCTACAATCTATCAATCTATCCATCCCACTGGGCTTTCTTCTCTGGAGAACCCTAGTTGATATACTGCCCTAAGTGACTTATATGGCATAAGTAACTTTTTGTTTACAAGTAACATTTTGTTTACAAATACAACATATTTAAATTTAAAGGAAATACATAAAATAATAAAAAAAATCCAAAAAACTATTTCTACCTACTAAGAATGACCAAGGAAAAGGTGAAAGCAGTCTAATAGGACAGTGGACAGATCAGCTGGGAGATGTCAGCTTATGGTATCAAGAGAACCTGAGTTTCTTTAGTGAAGATACAAAGAATGCTTATGTTCTCAAATATTTATTCTCTACTTTTGTCTTCCTAATGGACCCTGATATTTTGTGGAGGAGGGGCAGGTACAGCAATAGGGTCAGCCAAAAGCTATCTTCCTCAGCCTCTATTTTGGCTAGGAGTGGTCCAATGATAAAATTTCTCCCAATATAAGCAGAACTTCTTAGGTGGAACATCAGGAGAGATTTTTAGGAAGAGTATTTCCAGCTGGGACACACAGTTTTGCCTTTTTTTCTCCTTCTCTTCCTACCTAGGACATGGGCACTATGACTGAGGCCTCAGCAAACATTTAGGATCATAAGGGAAAAGACCAATCTAATGAGAGAAGACTTGCCCCTGACACCATGGGACACTGAGCCAATACCAGCAGTTACTATGCCTGGACTTCTCATCAGATGACAAAAACAAACCCTTTCATGTTTAAGCCACCACACTTAAGTCATGGTACTCACAGCTCTAACATCTCCTAACTTATGACTATGGTACCAGGAGTGGGGTGCCATAAGTAAAAGAAGCTAATACTTGACAGGGACTGAATGAAGAAGGTAGGTAAAGAAAAATTAATATATCAAACATTACAGACTAAAAGCTAGTGACCTTGTGATGCATTTGAAAACGTTCTTAAAAACTGTGTCTCCTGCTGTACCTTGGATCATGTACCACACACTAACCAAGGCTGTAGCATTGCAGAATATGGCAGGAAGAATCGAGATTGCTAGCAGTGAAGTTCAGAGACAGAGAAATAAATCTGAACTAGGGTGGGACAGTCTGCAAGCAGAAATAGATGCAAATACAGCCTTTCTTTCTTTCTTTCTTTCTTTCTTTCTTTCTTTCTTTCTTTCTTTCTTTCTCTCTTTCTTTCTCTTTCTCTCTTCTTTCTTTCTACAGGGTCTTGCTCTGTTGTCCAGGCTAGAGTGCAGTAGTGCAATTATGGCTTACTGCAGCCTGAACCTCCTGGGCTCAAGCAATCCTCCTGCCTCAGCCTTCCATGTACCTGGAACCACACAAGAATAACACCAAACCTTGCTGATATTTTTTAATTTTCTGTTTTTTGTAGAGATGAGGTCTCACTTTGTTGCTTAGGCTGGTCTGGAGCTCCTGGGCTCAAGTGATCCTCCCACCTCAGCCTCCCAAAGTGTTGAAATTACAAGCATGAGCTACCACGCCTGGCCAAATACCGCTTTTCTAGAAGACACATCCTCTACCTGTGATCTGTAATCTATATTGAATGAGATCACTGCAATTTTTGTTGTTCATATGTTTATTTAAGATGATTTTTTAAAATTGTGACAAAATAAACATAGCATAAAATGTACCATTTAAACCATTTTACATGTACAGTATTATAGCATTAAATACATTCACATTGTTGTGCAACCATCATCATCACCCATCTTCAGAACTCTTTATTTTCCCAAACTGAAACTCTGTATGCATTGAACACTAACTCCCAGTTCTCTGGCAATCCCCATTTTACTTTCTGTCCGTATGAATTTGACTACACCAGGGACCTCATATAAGTGAGCGCTTGCAGTACTCACACATCATGCAGCATTTGTCCTTTTGTGACTGGCTTATTTCACTTAGTATAATGTCTTCAAGGTTCATCCATGCTGTGGTGTGTGTCAGAATTGTCTACTTTTTAAAGGTTGAATGATATTCCATTGTATGTATTTACCACATTATCCACCTCTCCATCAATGGACACTTGGGTTGCTTCCACCTTTTAGCTATTGTGCATAAGCTGCTATGAACCTAAGTGTACAGACGAGAACACTACAATATGGAGTCCTGCAGGATCGATGCAACCCAAGTGCTTCTATACCCCAAATTAAAGAATTTATAAGTAGTGATTTCAAAATGGCAGCCACAGTGGGATAAACGGCCTATCTCATCAGACAAAGCAATGGTCTCCTGGCAAAGACAGGCTTTAACCTTCTAGCTGGAGCTTATAGGTTTAGAAATTACCTCAAGTTGGTAGCTATATTTTAAGTGCTAGGGAATGGGGGATTGCACAGTGGCTATGTCCAATAAGTAAAAGACAAGTAGCTTCAGCCCTAAAAATTATGCCTGGATAAGATCTTTGGTTCCATGTGTTACTTGCATGAAATCAACTGGAAGCAATTACAACTAAAGTGAACTAAGTTTTGAGAAAACCATTTCACTATAGAAAACCCAACTTGACCTGCAACATCCTTTAACTCTTAAATCTCTGAAACTATTTGAGAACCTCGAAACCCAAATGAATAACAGGTAAGCTTTAAAAGCTGTGCATTTATGAAGAAGGTTATCATCCCAAACACTCTTCTGAGACAAAGCTAGGCAGACCAAGCTAGCTTAATAATAGACCAAGAGGAACATTCCAGAGAAAAAGCAATGGAGGACTAATGCTTAAGGGAGATTCACCCGGAAGCTGGAGCAAAATCGGCCAGGTTGGTTTTAACCAAAGAATGTAATCCATTGCCAAGACAGAGATCCCTCATTATTTTTGTTCAAGAGAATTTGATAATTGTCATGGCCCAGTGACTGCTGAGTGTTTCCCATTATTCTCTGTTGTTGTTGTTGTTTTGTTGTGTTTTGTTTTTTTGAAATGGAGTCTGGCTCTGTCACTCAGGCTAGAGTGCAGTGGTGCGATCTCCACTCACTGCAACTTCTGCCTCTCGGGTTTAAGCGATTCTCCTGCCTCAGCCTCCCAAGTAGCTGGGATTACAGGCACCTGCCACAACGCCCATCTAATTTTTGTAGTTTTAGTAGAGATGGGGTTTTTGCCAGGCTGGTTTCAAACTCCTGACCTCACTTGATCCACCTGCCTTGGCCTCCCAAAGTGCTGGGATTACAGGTGTGAGCCACCACGCCTGGCCAGTTCTCTTTTCTTGAAGGAAGTTTTTACTGCAGTTCCCTTCCTTTTCTGCCATTATGTATGGGATGTGCTAGGGGCAAACTCTTCGAGTTTGACTGTTTATAACTTACAAGGACCACATCTAGACTTGATAGAGAGGACAGCCTTCCCAGAGACCCTGTCTATCCCTTAGTGGAAGGGCCAATTGTAGGTGAATATGAAAAAGATGTTTATGGCTGAAGGGTCACTCCAGTGGGTGGATTGTGGCGGACATTGCTTGTGATCTGTCCAGTATTATTCTCTCCTAGTACTTTTACAAGAGAATTCCTATTTTTGGGGGGTGCCAACAGCAATGTACACTGTTAAAAAAAATGACATTTTGGTGCCTCCCTTGCAGATTGGATCAGTCATGTGACATGATCCTTGACAGCTTTTCTGGGCTTTGGGAAGCCCATTTACCCTTTATGCCTTTCTTTCCTCCAGCAGGGAATGTTTATCCATCCAGCAGGGATGATTGCTGGAGCTCTGGCAGTCATGTTGCAAGCACATGAATGGGCATCCCATCCCGGGGTCCCTGGAGAGAGCCAACGCTTGCTGCACCAGTCACTGATTCCTAACTCTTGGACTTTCTGTGATGTATGAGAAGGAAACACCCATATTTGAGTTAAGCTGCTGTCGCTTGCGCTTAGAGTTCCACATAGCTGCACTAGGTGCTATAGGCTTGAATTGCTGAGGCTCAGGTTGGGTCAAATGAGGTTGTGAGGTGGACCAGGCAGCGAGGGGCTGCCGTTCACAGAAGTAAAGTGATTTGCCAGAGCCAGGAAGTGGGGGTGTTGAGGCCTCAGGATGTCTCCTTTTGTCACCCATGTGAGCTGCACCTCCTACTTCCTCTCAGGTCCCTGAGAAAGGGACAGTCAGGCCGTCATCTTGTGAGACTTTTCCAGGACGGGGGGTGGGTGGGAGCATGGGGGTGGGGGCTGGGAAGCTTTCTCATCCACATAAAAGGAACTCCATCAAGGACAAATCATCGTGATGAAACTCGAGTCTACCCCATGGTGGACAGTTTCTCAGAACATCAGTTTGGGCTTGTGAGCTCGCAGCCTGTTAGACAGATCGGCAACCTTCATTTCCCTGGAGAAGTAGCAGCCAGAACATAGGCCTTGCTCCCAGGTTACCATAAGCGCAGGCCCCTGGAGATGGCAAGGGGAAGATAAACCGTCCAGAAAGGCCCTTTTCAAGACACGGTCAACCTAAGCATGCTTCAAAGCAGTCGTTCATTCATTCATTCACTCAACAAATGTTTACTGACCCCTTAACAGTAGCCACACTGCTAAGAGCATGAGCTACAGAGATGGCCTGTGAGGGCTTATATGATGCTGCCGTGACTTCCGGCACCATCTGGCGAGATCTGCTCTGCTGAATCCCCACTGCTGGGCTTTCCATGCCTCGGGCATGCTCCTCCTCACGCATTTGTGCCTTTTTCTTCTGTCCAGAATGCTGGTGCCTGCTTGGCCAGCTCACTTTGGCCAGGCCTTCATCTAATGTCACATCCTCGGATTGCATCCTCTGAGCATGCCTCTGCAACAGCTCCCCCTCCTCTCACCTCCCCACCCAGCTTCATCCTCCTCCCCGGCAGGTTACCCCTTACCTTGGACTGGTTTACTATGTGTCTGTCTTCCCCACTAGGATGTTACTTAGGACAGCAGGGGCCTGGCTTTCTCCCTGTGGGGACCTGTGCCCAGAGCAGTGCCTGGCATGGAGTTGACCCTTCCAATGTATTTGTTGAATGAAAGCACCCAGGTGGGGTGTCCAGAGCTCCCAGGACAGGGGAGGAGTACACCATGTCACCAGCCTGCACCTGGAATGTGAAGACAGAACCCTCAGGGGACTGGGATGGAGGAAAGGCGGGCCCTGACCCAGATGTGACCACTGGCTGCAAAAGGTGACTGCACCGGAGATAGAGCACGACTAACTGGGGATTGAGGGTCTGGCAGAGAGAGAGGAGATGAGCTGCCTGGGGCCAGCTGGGGATCTCTCTGCCCCGAGTCAGGGGAAGCGGGAGGGTGATGGGACCAACCATGAGGTGGGCAAAGAGGTGGGCGGTGGGGGGAGGTTGAGAAGAGCCATCCCTAGCACCACCCTAACTTTAGTGTGGGAAAGTGCAATGTGGAAGTGAGCTTTAGCTCTGGGGCATGCCCCCTGGGGAGAGTCTTTTGTTTTTAATAGTTTCTTTTTAATAGCTTGTTTTAATAGCTTTGGTTTTTAGTTTGTTTTTAATAGCTTCTTTGGTTGTGGAAGGATGGCTGTGGGCGATTCCTGGAGTCAGTGCTGGCTCAGGGCTCTATGTAAGAAGGGGCGAGCCTTCAATATCTGGACAAAAGTAGCTTCTCCAGCCAGGAAGGAGGTAGAGAAGTCACGTGGACAGCCAACACCGTCTGCCACAGTGGCATCGACCTTCTGCCCGGGGATAAGGAAATGTTGGCTGGAAAAGAGATGTGGCAGGACACTAGATGGGTAGGAAAGGTGGAGGATTAGGGCTCTTCGTGAAGAGGTTGGAGGCAAGAGTGAAGTGGGGGCAGTAGGGAGTTCCAGGGGAGATGCCACCAGGACACTCCTTCATGCAAGGAGGGTTGAGCCCGAAGGCTTGGTGTGCAGGGCTGCATACTGGTCACCCTCAAAAGTCCTCCCTTGCAGGCCTGTGAGCTAACCCCAGCTGCCTTTCCTAACCCCAACAGATGATAGATGAGAAATTGGCCGCAGTAAACCAGACTTGGGTCTCACTAGGTGTAAGCATTAACCCCCAAATGCCCTCATGGATCTGCGGAGAGATGCCAAGTTCCCTATCCAGTAAGACGGGGCTGGAGCCTGTTTGCCTGAATCTCTGAAAAGAGAGAGACCTCAGTCTGATTTTCACTTTACGAGAGAGCAGAGATGATGTCATTGTGGAGGTGGGGGCAGGGGTGGATCTGCAGAGGTTTGGAAGTGCATCTGTAGAGAACAGGACACCCGTGATTCCAAGAGTGGTCCTGCAGTACTCAGACCCATGTGGAAACTTAATTTCATCAAAGCCTGTCCTCTGTCTGCCTGGGAGGGCTGGCACACTGGCTGGAGGAGTTCCGGTCAAGGCCTCTCCTGGAGGGGAGGCTGTGGCTGGGAGGTCAGAGGCTGGGGAGGGTTGGTCTGAAGCAGCCTTTGGAAAGGAGGGAGCGATCTTGGGAGCCTGAGAGGTGAAAGGAAGAATTGGAGACCCCAGAACTTCAGCCCGTGAGAGCACTGCGTGTTTATTTGGTATCTCCTGTGCCTAGAACAGTGTCAGACACATAACGAAAAACCAGATCCATATTTGTTGAATTAATGAAAGAAAGAAGCCCCTGATGGTAGTAATTTGGCCAGCAACAGCCCTGGGGGTTTACCAGTTTACAACCGGTCGGGCACTTTGGAAATGAGCCCAGGTTCTCGAGTCCTCCCTTATCTGTGGTTCTGTTGAAAGGGGAGAGCTGAGCTGCTGGGGACTGTGGGAGTCGCACAAAAGCTGGGAGGACGGGGCCCTGAGTATGTGAATTCATGGTGTGAAGGGGGAATCAGGTCCTCCCAAACTTACAAGTTGGAGTCCTAACCCCCCGTTCCTCGGAATGTGACTGTATTTGGAGATAGAGCCTTTAACGAAGTAAATAAGGTAAAATCAGGTCGTATGAGAAGGGCCCTAATCCCATAGGACTGATGTCCTTACAGAGAGAGGAGATTAGGAAACAGACACTCACAGGACAGCCATGTGAGTACACAGGGTGAAGACGGCCATCTACAGGCCAGGAGCGGGGTCCCCAGAGAAACCAGCGCTGCCAACACCCTCCACTCGGACTTCCAGACTCCAGAACTGTGAGGAAATATGTTTGTGCAATCTAAGCCCCCGGTCTGTGGTCCTGTGTTATGGAAGCTGAAGCCGACTACAGTGTGGGTGCCAGCCTTGCATCGTTATGAGCCAGGTCGGTGGCTCCCTCTAAAGAAAGGGGAAAGACATGATGGCTCCCAGGGGAGAGAAGTGCTTCTCCAACAACGCCTGGGAAGGAAGAACCTATTTGTTTGGTTTAAAAAGTTTGAACCTATTGTCGGTCAGTACTTAAAAGAATACAATAAAAGGAATTATTAAAAAACGTATTAGACACACAAAATACGAGCCAAGCGTTCTTGCACCTGGATATCACCACAAAGTCAAATCGCTCTAAGTTTCTAAATGCATACCCACCATGTCTGCCCTTACCCCACTTTGTGTAAGTAACAAACTGCCCACAACTCACTGCTGGCTGCAATTCCTTTTGGAAGCACTGCTCTGAGGCCCTACCACTCATTCCAGGATTGCTCTGGCCTTAGAGATCAGACACATGGGGAGCCGTGTCCAGCGGGGAGCACCGAGGGGTCCTGCGAGCCACAACCCCAGTGATGGCGCCCTGTAAAGACCACGCATGCATGGACTGGCTGCCTGCAGCTGAGAGCCTTCTCAACAGTAAGGAGAAAAAACATGAGCATCTTTCCCACCCAGGAGTAAAGAGGCGTGCAGAGGGGAAGGAAAGAGAAGAATCCAGAGGGTAACGAGAAGACAAAACTCCTAATCCAACCACAGCAGCCACCTCAGCCCTGCAGTAAGGACTTGGTAGATTTCCTGCTGAAGTCCATTTGAGCTCATGTGACTGTAGAATGTCGCTTACTGTGGTGTCTGGGTAAAGACAATCATAGAGACAGAACTATAACAGGACACAGAGCAACTTCTTTCAGGGAGATTTGCTATTCCTCTGCAACGAGCAGAGGAACAATGTTAAGAATAGCTCATCTCCTATTATCCTGCCCAAAGGTCCGTGGAGATGGTGACTCAGGGAAGCTGGTGAAGATTTGGAGTAGCAACTGTGAGGGCTGGACCTGACCAGGGGATGAGAGAAACCTTGAAAAGAGCATCAAAGACTGGACCAGGGAATGAGAAAAATATTGAGGAAATGAATCAAAGTCTCAGTTAATGCTGAGACTGTGAATTTGAAGTAACCTAAATCCACAGAAGTGAGCAAATTCTTCCGGAAGCTTCCAGTTGGTGCAGTGGAGGAGAGGAAGGTAGGTCGTTGCGTTGATCTGCAAGAGAGTGTATGAAGTGTGTCCCATGAGAATGGGGCTAGGCAGACAGCCACTGTAGAACCAGGAAGCAGGAGAAGGCATGGGAGCAAAATGGCTGAAAGGCTACCGGGCAGTCCTGTGGTGAAAGCAGGAGAGGAGAGAGCTGTAGGCATAGGAGACTGTGGCCTGAGACTGAATTCTTTGAGTTTAGGTTTCTAGAGCTGATCACATCTGGGTGATAAAGCCTGGGGAACAGATGGGGAGTGAATTGGTGAGTTGGAGTGTGGATGAAGGGTGTTGAGTTGAGGGGATCTGAGGCCAGGTTGTGGGATGGGTGCCACACAGACATAGGGCCATCAGGGAACAGTGGCATTTCTCAAGTGGACAGGGAGATTCTGCATGGCCAGGTGCCAAACTCCTCATGAACGAGGGAGCGAGTCCATGAGGTCCAAGGACGACAGCAGCAAGGAGCTGCCAATGGTGGTGGAAGCTGACAGTGGGCATGCCCTTTGAAGGAAGGAGGGGCTGTGCCCACGTGTAAGAATGATGGCCCGGCAGCGGCAGCTTGTGGAAAACCAGCCCATCCCTAGGAAGGCCTGCGGTGGCAGAATTCCCTTGAGAACAGCTAAGGAAGTGACGGTCCAGAGGCTGCACTGTCCTGGGCTGTGTCCAGGTGATGTGGAGCTCGCTGTAGTTCTTACTCAGTGCATAAATGCCCCGTGGTTGGGTTTACATACCGGTCCCAGGAACCAGGCCCCAGCAACAAGCTGTGGTTCCTCCTCTCACCTTTTTAGGACCTGCGTTGTCCCCTCCCTCCTGCATCCTCAGTCTCTCCCCATCACCGGCCACTTCCTGCTGCCTGCTCTGGCTACCACCTTGTTTCTTTCCTGCCTTGCACTGGCAAACTTCCCAAACAAAAGGTTTGTCATTCCTGCCTCTATTTCCCCACCACCTTCTCACCTATAGTCTCTCTCTCTTCTGCCCTCTCCTCTCGACTGAACAGCTCTCTTGAAGGCCACCAGGGCTCCCTGCACTGCCAAGAACTGGTGCCATTTCCCTTTTATTCTCCTGGGTGTCTCAGCAGCCATGGCTGGATTACCATTCCTGCACCCTGCGAACACAATTAGCCTGTTTTCACACTGCTTTGCTTGACTCTTCTCTCTCCATTCCCTTTTTGATGCTTCATTCTCTTTCTTATATCTTTAATAAAATCCCTTCTTGGGGCTATGCTGTTCTCTCTACCCAAAGCACAGTGTATTGATGAGATGCATGGAGGCCAATGCCAAACTGCCTAGACCCAAATTCTGGCTCTGCCACATACCAGCCAAATGACCCTGGGAAATTAGTTCTCATTTCCATGACTCGGTTTCCTCATATCGGGAGTGGTATAATAATACCTACCTCCTAGGGTTTTTGAAACTCTAGACAGTGGCTGCTATATGGTAATTATGAAGCCTCTCTCCTTCCGAGCTCTCCCGTGTACCCCTCTAGCTCCAGCTAAGGCACATTTTAAGTCTTTATCAGACCATCCCATGAAATTAATTTCATTTGGAGTGAATTCATGTTCTCATTGCTGACTTTGTTGACTGTCTTTCTGTACATCATATTTGTCATGTGATTTTAAATGTTGGTTTCAGGCTCACCTAGAGTAGCGGGTTTGCTTTTGTTCTGTTTTCTCTCCCTCTCTATCTGCTACCCTCCCTGGGTAGTAGTTTTGTGGTGGCCCTCATGCAGTTTCCTAGTCAGAACCGAATCTCCTAGTGACATTTTTGGAGTTCTTCCTCTGCAAATATTTTGGGGGATATTCTAGACCCAGTCACCAGCCATGCGGCTGAATCTTTTTGTTCCCTCTTACTTATTATACCAATGTCTTCTTATAAACCAAATAATTTTTATAAGTTAGAATAAAGGTTATCAAACCCAGCAGTTATCAGCTGAAGTCCTGTTTCTTCATGCAGAGCCCAGAATATGAGTAGCACAAATGTATTTCAGATACTTTGTGTGTATTACACCAATGGCTTCCTATAAACCAGGGTTTCTCAATCTCATCACTGCTGACATTTGGGGCTGGGTAATTCTTTGTCATGGAGAGGGCTGTCCTGTGTATTGCAGGGTATTTAGCAGTGTCCCTGGCCTCTATCCACTGGATGTTAGTAGCACTCCCCCCTCCAGCTGACACAACCAAAAATGTCTTCAACCATTGCCACGTGATCCTTGGGCAACCCCTGCTCCACCAGCAGAGATCTAGTATCATAAAGCCATGCCCCCACACAGGGGTCAGCATTCCCTTTTACAGCTTCTGTGTCTTAAAGGTGTGGAGGAGCCCAGCCAGCCTGTGGTCTCAGTCCTACTCACTGCTTTGTGTTTTTCTTCTAATTTTGGGCAATAGAGATGTTTGCCTTTTGGGGAGTGTAGGGGGAAACCCTAGTTATATCTTTTTATTGTTCCTTTGTTTCATTTGGTCCCTCATGGCTATGAAATCGGAGCAGAGGGTATAAATTCATGCACAGATATTCTGCTTCATCTGGATCAAAATGCCCTCTCCTTTTCATCCTTCAGGAGTGATGTCCTCCTTCCCATCATGATAGTCTTTCTAGCTTTGGAATATTTATAGCACTTACTGTCAATAATAGTCACTTTGCATATTCTGCTTTCAGCCACTTGGAAGGGTTGTCAAAGTCTAGGATTGGTATTTTACTTTAACTGGCTTATCTTTTGTGGCTACAATTTGATGTTGGCTTCTCTGAGGTTTCTTTGCATATTCAGTAGTGGCTAAGAGGGCAGGTGGAACATAGTAGGTATTTGGGAAACATTGAGCCATGAATCTCTTGTTGGTTGGTACAAAGACCTCTGAGGCTCAGGTTCAAAAGTTCTAGCTACCGTCTTGCAGCTTTGAATCATTGAAGTAGGTTTTCTGTAGTACAAAGGCTATTTGACTATGCAACTCACAAAATCAGAGATGTTACACTTGGTCATTCTTCGAGGTAAGGGAGCCCTGGGTGCTGATTGCCTGGGGACAGTTGCGGTTTACTCCTGTCTTCCAGATGAAATTGATAATGTCTTGTTTCACTCCCCAAAGTGCCTTGGTTTAGCTGATAAAATATGCGGTAACCCCACTTTGAGGCCACTAAGTATACTCTCCTTTATAAGTGTGGACATTGAACAAATTATATTTTCCCTTTACTTACAATGTTTCCCCACATTCCCCTGGGGAAAAGAAGCTAGTGAAATGTTTTATTGCAACTCTGTGCTTATTCATGGATTTGGATGAACTGGCATTTACTGAATAGCAATGACTGCTGTACACTTTGCAGGTAGGTGCTCACTACATGTGAACCAAACGTACATCATCTGAAATGCCTTTGCGCTACTCGTATTCTGTGCTCTGCATGAAGCATCTGGACTTTGGCTGATCACTACTGTGTTTGACGATGCTTATGCTAACTTATTAAAATTACCTGGGCAAGCCTATCTTTCACCTACAGTGTGATCTGCACCCCAGAGCCAACATCCACACACATCTGATCACTGGGACTGACCTGCTGTGTCTGTCAGCCAGAAGCAAGGCTTAAGTGATTTCATTTGTGGAACTGATCAGTTCAATGCGGACTACACATACACTAAATCTTCGCCTCTTGATGGCAACACACCCTGAGTCCCCATGACTTCCACAGGCTGCCCTTCCACCTAGTTAATTTCCAGGGAGGAAACTGCCAGGCTGGAGGTCACAGTTTGTCCCCTGCCTCCAGGCAGCCCTGCACTTAAACAAGTGTATTCTAAACAAACAAAAAACAAATTTCCAGCCCTCCGAGAGAGTTGATTTGAACATTCCAGGCTCCTGTGGCTCCCCATAGGCACTGCCAACCTAAAACCAAAATGATCCATTTTGTCTGAAATGAAGAAGGAGGACCCTTCGAGGGGAAGCTGCTGTTCGGCTTTGGTGGAGAAAATGGCTGAGGACGGGTTGACTTCTCAGCTGCTTCTTTCGGGCCTCCACGTGCTGCCTCCTGCCCGATGCAATACCATCATGTTTCCTTCTCTGCTTTCTTCCGGGAGATGGAAAACAGTTCCCCACCTTTCCCCTGGTGTCCCCCACTCAGGACCTGGTGTTCCTGCCCAGTACCACGGTGGGCGGGGCGCTCCCCCAATCCTGCAGGCCTGTCATGGCCCACCCAGACAACTGGAACAGGGTGGGAGCTGCTGGTGCTCAGAGGGCTCCCCTGCAAGCCCCCAGGCTGTGTTTAACAGTCTTGACAAGTGTACCCTTGGGCAGAGGGCCAGGAACAATCCGTGTAACCCCATTAAGCTAATTATCCTCTCTGCAGATGGCCTCCCGCACTAATCCTCTTGGGTTTGCCATAATCCAGCTCCCTCTGGGGAGAGTGGCCAGGGTGGCAG
The DNA here is from genome assembly GCF_000001405.40 of Homo sapiens. Taxonomy (NCBI): domain Eukaryota; kingdom Metazoa; phylum Chordata; class Mammalia; order Primates; family Hominidae; genus Homo; species Homo sapiens. The sequence continues at coordinate 10,655,151 of NC_000008.11, read as the reverse complement.
GTCTCTGTGCAAATGGACCATCTGTTGGAGCTCAGGAGGCTGGGCTCCTGCCCAAGGGACTGGGGCCTCAGGCTCTCAGGCCAAGGAGAGTGGCCCCGAGGACTGTCCGGAGGAGGGTGGCCAGCCCTGCTGCCCAGAGGGACTGAGCCACTGGCAGGGAAGGAGGCGGTGTTCCCCCTGGCCTGACTTTCCTCCAAAGGACGTCCCCCTGAGGCTTAGGGGCTGAGCCATGCCCTTGTGCTCCCTGGAGGACGGTGAGTCAGCAGCTGCCTATGTCCCGCAGGGTCAGCCAGCCACCTGAGGGGCAGAGAGTCTTGGCTCTGGGAAGTCACAGCAAGTGGGGAGGCGTTTCAGCCTGAGAGCCTGGGAGGGATGTCTTGAACAGGATGCTTGCGGTGACGCAGGATCGGTTCTCTTCTGCAAGGCCTGCTGGGCTGTTTGGGAGCAGATCATGTTTAAACACGACACAGTGGAGTTTCAGGTTTCTGCTCGTTGATTTACAGGATGTTAGTATCACAGCCTGTCTGTTTCTCCCACCTGGACCTGGAGGGTGAGCAATGCAGTCGCTGGAGTCAGAGAGGGAGAAATCCCTCCTGAGGATTTCTTGGGGCTCTTGGAGAGGAGGGAGAGGTGGGCAGCTGCCCCTTGATTCCTGCAGGGTGAGGTCAGCTGGGGTGGGAGCAGATTCTGGGGAGGTGTCCAATTTGCTTCTTAGAGGACCGAGACTTCAAGAATCTCTGAAGACCCAGGGCAAATAGAGAGAGTGGTAAGGAAGGGGCATAGAAGGTCCCTATCAATGAGGTCATTGAATTTTCTCTACCCAGCTTCAAGGCTGGCATCCTGGGCCCATTTGTGCAGAAGAGACTGAGGCCCGGACAGATGAAGTCATGGAAGGGCCACAAAATCAAACTGGGGTCTGCTCTCTTTATGGTAATGACATCCCCCCAGCGGCCAGTCAAGTGCCAGTCTCCCGTCCCAGTTTTCTGGTGGAGAAAACGAGGCTTAGGGGAGATCAGTGGTTCCAACGGCAAGTGAGCAGAGATCCATGGCCCAGACCTCAGACGAGGTCCAGCGCGGCTGCAGCTAACTGTCCCTGTGCCTCAGATCTGTACTTCCCCATGGGACCATGCCCCACAGCCAGCTCATCCCCCTGCCCCAGGCTCCCTCCCCAGCTGCTGCACAGTGAAGGGAAAAGGAGCAAAGACACTGCCTCAGGGTGGAAGCTTGGAGGAGGTCGCGGGAGGGCACCAGGACTCCTTCCCTGGGGGAGGTGCACAGCCCAGAAATGCATCTCAGACAGTGAGAACACACCTTCAAGATGTGCACTCCACATCGTTCTTTATTTACCCTCTCGGTTATATAAACATCTTCCAGAAATCCTCTTACAAATTATAGTGACCTCAGACAGGCCTGCTGCTCTCTTCTAACAGGAGGGGACGAGGAGAGCTGGTTGCCGTTTTCTGAACCTCTGTGTTTAATGTGTGTGTGTGTGTGTATGCGTGTGTGGGTGTGCACATGAGTGTGTATGTTTGTACAGGTGCGTGTGCGCACATGTGATGTGGGTGTGGGTGTGTGCACATGAGTGTGCATGTGTATACAGGTGGGTGTGCATGTGACGTGTGTGTGCATGTGATGCATGTGTTAGTTTACGAGTGCACGTGTGTGTGTGTGTATGTGTGTGTGTGTGTGTGTTGGAGGGAGACACCTGGTGTTTTGGAGGGATCCCTGGACCTGCAGTCACGAAGTGTAGACTGTGGCTGGCAACATAGTTCTCTGCTCCTCTGCTCCTGGGTTTTGGTCTCTTAGGTGGAAATCAAGGGGTCTGGACTAAACAAGCCTTCGGTTCTTTCCAGCTCGATGGCCTGTGCATGCAGTGTTCAACAGCTTTCTCAGCTCCAAGTTAAATAACCCGTCCCTGTAACCTTTCCCTGTAAAACGCATTTTCCAATCCTTTAATCATCTTGGTTACTTTCCTGTGAACTCCCTCCAAGAGACCTGTGTCATTGAATAAGTATGTCATATAAATTAGTCAGTAAATCAATCTGTCAACAATATCTCTTGAGCAACCACTCTGTGGCTTGCTGGAGGTGCTGGGCTGATACAACCCAGCCACACAGGGACAGAAAGAGTTTTCACCCTGCCTCAGACCCGGAGTTGATTTGTCTAACAGTGGCCTGAGGCACTGGGCACCCACTGGGATGTCATCGATCCCCAAAGACCGAGCCTTCCTCCAACATTAATGTCTGAAAATACTTTAGGTAACATTAGCTAGGCACCTGCTCTGTTCAGAGCTCCACTAGGCACTGTGATAGTTACAAAAGTGAGCATGATGACCTCCAGGAAGGGCAGGTACGCACAGAGGACGGGAGGAGATAGGGAATCAGGGGGGACGTGGGCTCAGAGTGGAGAGCCGGCCAGCCTCAGGCTGCAGATGGAATCTTGGTGTTCAGATGTGGGCTACTTTGAAAGGTTTTTTTTTTTCTTCAATACAGAAGGATCAATTGTAAAATGAAGTAGCCAAAAGCATTGAATTTGGAGGAAACAAGACTTTCGTTCAAAGAGTGATTTCACCACTCACTAGCTACGTGAACCTTGGGCGAGTCATTGAAGCTTTCCAAGCCCCAGATTCTTTAAGATACTGCGGGGCTGGTTATACCCAGCAGGAAGGAATATTAGAGTTAGATGACATCGCATTCGTCAAGTGTCTGGTGCATAGCAGGAGATCTACATGTATAATCTGCTTTCTCTCCACCACTCATGATGGATCAGTTTCTGAGGAGGCCCCCAACCCTTCTGGATGGATATCTATATTGTCAGCCTTACTGTTAGCTGGGGCCCTAAGTTCTATGAGTCCACTCTGTGACGTGTATCATATTACAGTCCCTGCTTCTTGATCCTAAAATCATTTCCTTCAACCCTGAAGGGCAGTCTTTTATTTATAGTGGAGTCATGCGTGGCTTCATGATGGGAATGCATTTTGAGAAGTGTGTTGTTAGACAGCTGTGTCATCATGCGATCATAGAGTATACTTGCACGAAACTAGATGGTGTTGTCTACTACACACTCAGGTCTTATACTGTAGCCTATTGCTCCAAGGTTACAAACCTGTACAGCATGGTACTATACTGAGTACTATAGGCAATTGCAGCACAATGTGAAATATCTGTGTTTCTAAACATGGAAAAGAAACAGTACAGATACAGTATAAAAGATTTTTTTAAATGGCACACCTGTATATGCAGCGCCATGATCATCTCATGGGGCACTGTCATTGATGAGGTCTGTCATTGACAGAAATGCCATTGTGTGCTGCGTGACTGTGTACTGTATGCTTTGGGATTTTACAGTCATGGAGCAACAGCTCTGAGCATAACTTTTTTTTTTTTTTTTTTTTTTAAGACGGAGTCTCGCTCTGTTGCCAGGCTGGAGTGCAGAGGCGTGATCTCGGCTCACTGCAGCCTCCGCCTCCTGAGTTCAAGGGATTCTCCTGCCTCAGCCTCCTGAGTTCAAGGGATTCTCCTGCCTCAGCCTCCTGTAGCTGGGACTACAGGCACGTGACACCACACCCAGCTAATTTTTGTATTTTTAGTAGAGATGGGGTTTCACCGTGTTGGCCAGGATGGTCTCAATCTCTTGAACCCGTGATCTGCCCACCTCAGCCTCCCAAAGTGCTGGGATTACAGACGTTAGCCACTGCGCCCGGCCCGAGCATAGCTTTTATTTCTATTTTTTAGTTTAGCATCAATTTGCTGTACTAGAAAGAGCACTTGGTCCTTGACCAAGGCCCCAGATTCACCTGGCAAGGTCATTTCAGACAAATCAGAGAGAGAGCGCTGCAGCACTCCTCAAATGTGTGAGCACAATCACCTGGAGGTTTTGGTAAAACACAGATTGCTGGGCTCCACCCCCAGGTAATTTGCATTTGTAAGACGTTCCCAGGCCAGGCTCAGACTGCAGGCCCAAGACCTACACTGTGAGAACCTCTGGTATGGGAAGAACAGCCTTGGAGTTTAGTGGAGCTTGGCAGAGTCAGTTGCCCCTTCTGAGCCTGCTTCCTGATTTATCAACCTTTACCTTACAGACTAGATCTCAAGGTAATAATCAGACAAATTATCCCAGAGCACTTTGCAAACCATAAAACACTACAGCTATTAGCAGCTTAGTGTTCCCTTTTAGCTTTCACTTGCTCACTTATCAAACGGGGATAATAATGGCAATTTTAACAAAGATTAAGTAAGATGTTCTACATAAAAACACTTTGCGAAGTGTAAAGAACTACAGAGTCAGCTGAGTGTGGTGGCTCATGCCTGTAATCCCAGCACTTTGGGAGGCCGAGGCAGGTGGATCACCTGAGGTCAGGAGTTCGAGAATAGCCTGGCCAACATGGCAAAACCATGTCTCCACTAAAAATACAAAAAAAAAATTAGCCAGTTGCGGTGGCACACACCTGTAGTTGCAGCTACTCGGGAGGCTGAGGCAGAAGAAGAATCACTTGAACCCTGGGTGGCAGAGGTTAGCAGTGAGCTGAGATCGCACCACTGCACTCCAGCCTGGACGACAGAGCGAGACTCCCTCTCAATTAAAAAAAAAAAAAAAAAGAACTACGGAGTCTTGCTCTTATGACTTCCCTGAGCCTCAGTTTCTGCATCCCGAATGTGACAGGATGGCCAGTGTACCAGCCTTGGTCACGTGACAGCTCATTATCATAGATGTGGATAACGCAAGTTTGCATTTAACACCCTGGCTGATGCCGCTCTGTGTCTTGTTGGCCCCTTTGGTCGAAGCTGTATTTTGGGAGACTATTAGCAGCTAGGATGCTTCTGCCTATGGGAAACAAAATTCCCAGCTAAAAGTGGCTTGAAGAATGTGGGGTTTGTTTTCCTGTCTAGTAAGAAGTCCAGAGGCAGGGAAATTTGGGGTTGATTAACTCACTGGCTTCATGAGTAGAGACTCTGGGATTCTCTTGGCTTTCTCCTCATGATCACGTGGTGGTTGCAGCAGCACCCAGCTTTCCATACACACGTGACAATCCCCAGAAGCAAGAAGAGATGAGTCTCAAATTCGTGTTTCTCTTGGATGAAAACACTTTCTCAGAATCCTCTCATTGGCCAGGGTTGGATCACGTGCCCTACAACCAGGGAAATGGAACTGCATAATTGACTTAGGCCAGCTCATATTCAACTCCTGTGGCTGGGAGAGGCCCAGCAACTGCAGGCCGCCCAAACAGACCTGTGACAGCAAGCAAGAGGTGGGGCAGGGGCGGCTGAAGGGGAGGCAGCCAACAGTATCGGCCGCATCCACTATCTCTTTCCAGGAAGACTCATGGGCTTCAGGGAATTGCTTGCACATCTGTAATCCCGTGTGTTGTCCTGGAGCCGGAAGCACAGCCAGAAAGGGGCCCCAGCAGAATTTCCAGCTAATTCTTTTGTGTTTTTAGTAGAGATGGGGTTTCACCATGTTGTCCAGGCTGGTCTCGTACTCCTGCTCTCAAGTGATCCAGCTGCCTTGGCCTCCCAAAGTGCTGGAATTACAGGCATGAGCCACCGCACCTGGCCAGAAGCTTCTTAAATAGGTATTTGTGAGCCTTCCCAAGAGAACACTGAGCTCTCTGGGAGCCAGGGACAGCAACCCACCATCGAGCAGCCTCCTGTCCTGGCTGGGGCAGGCTGTGGTCTACTGGGTCAGAGTGAGACCACAGCGGGTGGGACTCAGCTAGCCATGGGTATTTCTCAGGCAAAGCCCTTGATCCTGAGGATTCACAAATGAAGGTTGAAGGCTTGCTATCGTGTGCTGTGTTTCCTCCTAAATTGAACATAGTCCTAGTCCCTAGAGTAGGCTCCCGACACATGCCTGAGTGCCTAAGAAACTGTAATGGCCATGAGTACAAGAGTTTGGTCAGCAAGTGGATGAGGAGAATGAAGAAGGACTTGAGAGTAGAATCGGTTTTGCTGGAAGAAAGTTGTGTCTGTGGGTTGTTTGAATCTCACGCTTCCTCCTCTGTGAAAGCTTTGCGAATCCACTGGAGTGGTGAATCCGGGAATTTTCTAAGGAAGGGAAAACCCCTACAAGGCTTTTATTCCACAGAGAAGTCTCCCATCTGGGCTCAGGCATGGCGCTGCAGCTCCGCATGAAAGTAGGGCTGGGAGGCGAGGGCCTACACCCTCACTGCCCTGGCCCCTCCTGCCTGGGCAGTGGATGTCCCTGGCCCTGAAGCGTCCTCGCAGCTCCTGTGAAGCATCATGGGAAAGCCGTGAGGATGAGACCATCAGGGCTTCTCTAGCCATGGTATGTGCAGGATAGAGGAAGATAAATGCTGGGAACGGGGAACATTATGTCTGATTCCCCTGGGTGTGTGGTGTCTGTCAATCCAAGAGATTTCCCAGCCAAAGCGATTACTGTAAGTTCTCTGTCAGGGTCTTAAGCCCACATAAAAGTCAGAGAATGGCAAGGCCAACTGGATCTCATTGCCTTTCGGTTGGAAGCTCCCATTTTACTGGCAAAGACGTGGGGGTGACTTCGAAGGAGACAGGGAACCTAGGGCCTTGGATAGCACATTCCCAGACCTGCCCCATTGTTCCTCGTGATGTTTATTTTAAAAGCTTGGAAACGCATAACAGATCCGTGCTGGAACACACACTGCAACTACTGGGTTTCAGAGCTGTGGGTCTCAAGCCTACTTGTGTGTCAGACTTGCCTAGGACACTTTATAAACAGAGCAGCTCTAGGGGGACGCTGGGAATCTAAACTGAAAAACAATAGCAGCCATTAGAATAGGTACTATTAAAAAAACAAACAAACAAACAAAAAAACCCAGAAAATTGGCCAGGTGCGGTGGCTCACACCTGTAATCCCAGTACTTTGGGGGGCCGAGGCAGGTGGATGACCTGAGGTCAGGAGTTCGAGACCAGCCTGGCCTATGTAGTGAAATCCCATCTTTACTAAAAATATAAAAAATAGCCAGGCATGGTGGCACATGCCTATAGTCCCAGCTACTCAGGAGGCCAAGGCAGGAGAATCGCTTGAACCCAAGAGGTGGAGGTTGCAGTGAGCCGAGATGGCGCCACTGCACTCCAGCCTGGACAACGGAGTGAGACTCTGTCTAAAAAAAAAAAAGAAAAGAGAGAGAGAGAGAAACCAGAAAATAACAACAAATGCTAGTGAGGATGTGGAGAATCTGGATTCCTTGTGCACCATGGTGGGAATATAAAATGGTGCAGCCGCTGTGGACAGCAGAATGGAGTTTCCTCCAAGAAATTAAATGTACAATTGTCATAGGATCCAGCAATTCCTCTTCTAGGTATATGCCCAGAAGAATTGAAAACAGGGTCTTGAAAAGCTGTTTGTACATCTTGTTCATGGCAGCATTATTCACAATAGCCAAAAGGTAGAAATAATCCATGGATTCATCAATAAGTGAATGGATAAACACAAACACTGGCATATACATGAGGTGGAATATTATTCAGCCCTAAAAAGGAGGGAAATGCTGACTCATGCTGCAACACGTTGAAATGTTGGAGACATGATGCTAAGTGAAATAAGCCAGTCACGAAAGGACAAATACTGCACGATTCTGCTTCTGTAAAGTTCCTAGAGGTGTCAGATTTATAGAGACGGAAAGCAAAATGGTGGCTGTCAGGGGCTGGGGAGAGGAGAAATGAGGATGGAGTGTGCAAAGGGTCCAGGGCTTCAACCCAGGATGATAGAGTTTTGGAGACAGATGGGGGTGATGGTTGCATAACAAGAAATGTGCTTGATGCCACTGGGCTGTACACCTAAAAATGGCTGAGATGGTCAATGTTATGAGTACTTTACCACAATTAAAAAAATAAAAACACAAACAGTAGAGCGACAACCATAGCAGGCTCAGCTGTCACAGATATGTCCCCTGGGAAGGAGGTCAGAGGGCGGACATTCGTTAGGATTTGTACTTGGTTGCCTTGTAACCAGTCTCCGTTATAGGGAGGCCCTGGAGCAGGCTGGACGGGCTAGAAGCTGGGCTGCCGTGGCGCCTCAGTGGAAACGCAGCCACTTTTACAGGGAGTTCTGAAGGCGGGACAGCTCTTTCCTGCTGCCCCAGCCTGGGGCCCGGATGAGGATGCGTGGCCTTTATAGCCCCTCGTGGATCTCTGCTGGTCAGGCACTGCCTTGCCAGGGGTTCCGCCTCGGGCGAGGCTTTCTTCCACTGGAGCGACCCCCAAGGAAGCTGACAACTGAGGGGGGGAGGTTGGCATTTGAGAAAAGTGACTGCAAGTGCCTAAGAGCTGGGGACACACAATAGGCCTTTAATACCCATCTTTGTTTAATCTTCACTGTGATCTTCATAGCCTCTCCGCGGAAAGCAGTATTATCCTTGTTTTGTAAGGAGGGCGTGGAGCAGATAAGTCAGTGGCCTAAAGTCACGTAGCTAGTAGGTGGTTGAGCTGGTTTACAGCTGTCCTCGGTGCTTGTGTGCCACCCGTGGGTGTGGGCAGGAGAGGCCCTTCCTAGGCCCTGGACTTTAGAGGGGCTGGCTCGGTCCCCTCCGTCCACACCACTTCCTAGGGGACAGGGAGTCCAGAGGGCCAAGCGGAAGTGTTATCCTCTGCTCTGTCTGGAGCCCACACTGGGGACCTGGAATTCCCTGGGTGTTTCTAGGGCCTGCGTCACCTTTTCTCTGGCTCCATCCTCTCGTGGGCTCCAATAACGGGCAAAATCCTAAAGACCCATTAGCATTTAGGATGCCTAAACGGCTCCTAAATGAAAGGCGAGGTCTTAGGAGAGCATACAAGGCTCCCAGCGATTCAGAAAACCAGCCCTGGTGTCTGCTTCTGGGTTGAAACTCCAGCTCCCTCCCTAGAGCTGCATGACTCTAGGTAGTTTAAACCTCTGAGCCTCCACGTCCTCCACCATAAAATGGAGATAGAATAGCGTCTTCTTCAGGAGTGTGTGGTGACAAAGTTGGCATGGGGATGCCAGGTCCTCGGCACAGCAGGCTCTCTCGGCAGCCCCGTGGGGGATGCCCTCCTGCAGGTCCTGCAGCACCTTCTGCCCTTCCCAGTGCAGCCTGGTTCTTGCCTGTCCCCCCAGCTTAGACTCTAAGTTTGGAAGTGCAGGGACGGCTTCTATCTTGTTCTCTTGGTGACCAGCGGGAGGCTCAGTCTGCCCGTCCTGAGGGAAGGAATGGAGAGGGCAGGGCTGCCTGCAGGGGGTTGAAGGGATGAGGCTTTCTCTGTAGGGCCCAGACAAGAGGGAAGAGGAGAAAGGCCAGGTGCAGCAAGTGCTCCCAGCCGCCAGGGCCATGCTTGTCATGCCATGTGGAGCCTGGTGCAGGGTTCAGAGGTCCCTGGTGGCCAATAGGTGAGCGTGTCCTTCTGCCTGGTCTAATTGACTCTGGGGGGCTGGACTCGCTTGCACTGGTGCCATCACTCGCAGGTGTCCGTTTGCTTGGTTGAGGACCTGAAGGCCCAGGGAAGCCCAATGCTCGCAGCCTCGCGACTCCTTCCCTTCCCAGAGGGCTTTGCTCCTGGCAGGACGTGCCCATGGCAGTGATTCCGCAGCCTGGCTGTGCTTCCGAGTTACCTGGGGTTCTTGCTAACAGACTTCCCATCCTCCCTCCGAGGGCTGGACTCTGCTGTACAAAGTGATATTGGACATCTGTGATGTGGACCAAAGCCCCTGGTGAGTAGGATCTATTTGGTGTTGAAGACTGACGTCTGGACACCACTAATTTAGAAGGGAGTCATTAAAATTAATTTAAATTTTTACCTTTTCCTTATGTGTCCCTCATTCTTTCCAAAATTTGAAGCATTATAGATATTTTTGTTTGTTCATTTGTTTGTTTTTGTTACAGGGTCTCACTCTGTAGCCCAGTCTGGAGTGCAGTGGGGCGATCATAGCTCACTGAAGCCTCAATCTTCTGGGTTCAGGCGATCCTCCTGCCTCAGCCTCCCCAGTAGCTGGGACTACAGGTGTGCACCACCACGCCCAGCTAATGTTTTTATTTTTTGTAGAGATGGGATCTGGCTATGTTGCTTGAACTTGTCTCGAACTCCTGGCCTTAAGTGACCCTCCTGCCTTAGCCCCCCAAAGTTCTGAAATTACAGGCATGAGCCACCATGCCCAATCCTACATTACAGAAACTTAAGAGGTCATTGAGTGGGGTCACTGAAGTTGTGTCAAACAATGTTAAAATAAATGGTCATTAGTGCTAAAAATCAGTCAAACTGGTTGTTACTGTTGTATAAAGTAAATCACGTGACTGAATTTTTCACCGTTATTGGTAATAACAGCCCCTGTACTTGTGCAGAGTTGTAAAATGTGGTTCTCATCCCTGGCTGTACATTAGAGCCCCATAGGAAGCACCAGAAATATATTATAAAGGAGTTAAATAGGCCTCTCTGCAGGGCGAGCCCTGGCTGCGTTCCTGGGGTGGCTGGTGTGAGAGCTGTGGGTGTGGCTTCAGGGCTCCTCCTGGTGCCAGCTTCACAGCATCGTCAGGGAAAGCCTGTGAGAGGGGCAGGGTTTTTGTTCTGGTTTTGTTGATGGAAAAGGACTAAAGAGCTGAGGTCCAGGGAGGTGAATGAATTAGCCAAAACTAGAGAGGGGAAGGACTGGTTCCTGGGTCTCTGTCCAGCGTCACCTTGTGATGGCATCAATTCTCAGCCATCACAATTCTCTGCACAGCTAAGGGCTGGGGGACTTACACCCATGTGGCCTGGTGTGACCCTTCAACAGTCAGGGCCAGGCATGGATAGACCAGCCCAGCCCAGAAGGTCAGCTGGGGCTGCTGTGTCCTGGAAGCCTTCCTGTAGGGTCACAGAATTTCAGCATGGGCAGATTCTCTAGAGACTGCCTTGTCTAGCCTCCCCATTTTTTTTTTTTTTTGAGAAGAAGGTCTGGAGGTGTGATGTGACATCCCTGAGTCCTTACTGCCTAGTGAGACCAGCATGCTGGTCACTCGGCCCCAGTACTGAGTGAGTAACCCTGTGATATCAGTTGCCCTGTCCCCGAACGGAGCTTGGGGCCCAGTTGCTTAAGATGGCAGGGGGCAGAGCTCAAGCTTTCAAAAGAGGTAGAATTGAGCCAGATGCTCTTGGAACCCAACATAGCCTTCTTCACCTCCCAAACCACTCCCGGGCAATACAATCCCTTGTTGACAGGTGCGGGAAGGTTCTACTTCCCCCTTGAGCACCTCCCAACTTCCTTCCACCAACCTGGCCATGTCTACCTGCTTGATAGAGACCACAGCCAATTTTGTTGCCCTGGTCTTGCAGATCAGTTTCTGGTAACACTCTGGTTGCTTCCATTCCCTGAATTTCCATGGCACTATCGACATGTTCCTGGAACTGGATGCTCTGCCCCGCACCACCACCTGCCCAGGTGAGAGGTAGCCAGCGAGGCCCCAGGCAAGGCTGCAGTGTTTTTCCAGCACCCACATTAGGTTTTTGGCAGCACCAGGATCTTCTCTTTCCTGGTGCATGGATTGGCTTTCATCTCCCAGGCAGGAAAGACCACATTCCAGCTTTTCCCAGACTCTTTGCTACTTGGCAAAAGAGCCAGGTGGAAAGACAGCTATTTTTTTTTCTTTTCCAGTACATTACCTTAAATGCTTTTCTCTCCTTTCTGAGAAGCTGAGAGTGTATCTCTTATCTCTGATCCCTGAATCTTGAGGTAATTTATGGCAGATTGGCCATGCCATGGCAGATGTTGTATTAGGAGAGGTCCCAGAAGGGGAAGAACTAACACTGAGACCGACTGTGTACCAGGTACGTCTCAGCCTGCAGTCAGAATCAGAGAGACACCATTCTGATACTAAAACAATTTTTTTTTCTAGGCAAGGTCTCACTCTGTCACCCAGGCTGTAGTGCAGTAGTGTGATCATGGCTCACCACAGCCTCCACCTCCCAGGCTCAAACCTTCCTCCCACCTCAGCCTCCTGAGTAGCTGGGACTACAGGTACATGCCACCACACCCACCTAACTTTTGTGTTTTTTTTGTAGAGACAGCGTCTTGCCATGCTTTCCCAGGCTGGTCTTGAACTCCTGGGATCAAGCAATCCTCCTGCCTTGGCCTCCCAAAGTGCTGGGATTACAGGTGTGAGTCAGCATGCCCTGCCTGAAAAAATTTTTTAACCCAAATCTTTACTGAAACCTTCCTAAGAGGCCTCAAGGAGATAATTCCATAGGAAAACATCCACAGCTATTCTTCACCTGTCTTCTGTCTCCAAAATTTTTCAAAACACTTAAAATCATCTTATGATCTTAGCTGGTACTATGCATTGTTCTCTCCTCTCTTCCTTCTCTTTCAACTTCCTAATCATTATTATTTTTTAAGTTTCTCCAGAGCTTTCTAATGTGAAAAAATCCACACATTCTCTGCTCTTTTGATTGTGCAGACTTACTTATTACCCTTAACCACAACCAAAACCCAGGCCAACAAATTTCCTTTGCTCTGTAAGGAGTGGGACTGGGCATGGGGAAATGAAGCAGAGAGCAATGTGGTGAATTATATGGTATACTAATTAGGATTAGATTTGATTGTATTTAATGGAAAATCAAATATGAGTGGCTTAAACAAGAAATTCAGAGGCAGTCCAGGGCTGCTATGATGTCTCTGTGATCATTGGCATCTGAGTGCCTTTTGTCTTTTGTGTTTAGTACTAGGTTTCACTATGGTAACAAAATGGCATCTGTAGCCCCAACCATCGCATACGCGTTCCAGGCATCTGGAAGAAGCAAGGAGCAAGGGGGGAAGGGTTTTAGCAACCTTTCAAGAGGTTTCCTAGAAGCTCTTCAAAATGACGTCCGGTTAATAATTATTGGCCGTCCTCATCTGGAAAGGAATTTGGGACAGTAGTTTTATTAACTGCATCTATTGCAGTCCCCCAAAATAGGAACTCAGTGAGTAAGAAAAAAAGAAGAGTAGATATGAACAGTCTTTACCATACATCCCTGTCACTCTTTGGACTTTTTAAAAACCTCTTTGAAAAAAACTAAACCTTTCATTTTGAGATAATTAATTATAGATTTATACGCAGGTGTAGGAAATAATACAGAGGGATCACCTGTATAGTCTTCACCCAGTTTCCCCCAGTGGTAACGTCTTGTAAAACTATAGTACAATATCACCACCAAGACATTGACCATTGATCCGGTCAAGAGACAGGGCACGTCCATCATCACAGGGGTGCCTCCTGCTGCCTCTTATAGCCACATCCACTTCCCTCCCAGCTTCATTCCTCCTCAACCCTGGCAAATGTTAATCTATTCTCCATTTCTATAATGTTGTCATTTTCAGAATATTTGGGTTCAATTTTTTGTGTGTACCAATAGTTCATTCCTTTTCAATGCTGAATGGTAGCATTCCATGATATGAATGTACCAGTTTGCTTAAGTCTTCATTCTTTGAAGGACATCTGAGTATTTCCAGTGTTTGGCATAAAAGCTGCTATGAATACTTTTTTACAAGTTTTTGTGTGAACTTAAGTTTTCATTTCTCTGGATAAATGTCCAAGATTGCAAGTGCTCAATCACATGGTCCATTTTACATTACGATAACATTGAAAATATGCAAAAAGGTTAAAAGCTCTTTCTTTAACCTATAGGTGCCATCATCTAAAAATAGCACTGTAAAAATTCTGGTGTGTTTTCTCCTCACATCTTTTTAAAATGTGTATTTCGTTTTTGTTCTCATGTTTGTGTGTGCATTTGTGTGGATAGGCAAGGTTATGCTGCTGTGACAAATGATTCCCAAATCTCAGTGGCTTAGTCCAACACATTTATTTCTCATTGATACAAGGTCACTGTCAGTCCAGAGAACCCCCAGGGGTCGCTGTCTTGTAGATGGTGACTCCAGGATCCAAGCTGCTCTAGGATTTGGGCTCTCCTATTCTGACTGCAGCAACATGGTAGTGACACACATGTCATGTCTGTTCACATTTCATTGGCTAGTACTTCTCATATGGCTCCATCTAACTGCGAGGGACAAGAAAACATGCAAAGAACATGGAAGAACATGGCCCATGATGGGATGAGCTGTGGCACTGCATCTGCCATGTAATGTATGAAAAACGTATTTTATTTTATGAGTTAATGTTATTTAGTCAGTTGTGGTGACATATGCCTGTAGTCCCAGCTACTTGGGAGGCTGAGGCGAGAGGATTGCTTGAACTTAAGAGTTTGCAACCTGCCTGTGCAACACGGAAAAACCTCCTCTCTACAAAAAATACAAAAATTAGCCAGGCATGGTGGCGTGCACCTATAGTCCCAGTTATTCAGCAGGCTGAGGTGAGAGGATCGCTTCAGCCTGGGAGGTCAAGGCTGCAGTGAGCTGTGTTTACGCCATTGTACTCCAGCTTGGGCGACAGACCCTGTTTCAAAGACCCTGTCTCAAAAAAATATATAGCACAATCTTGGAATATTATAGCACAAAATATTACAATACAATCTCTTTCCTACACCTTATAGATGATGATAATAATAATAAAATATTAATAATAATAATTATTATTATTATTTTGAGATGGAGTCTCACTCTGTCACCTAGGCTGGAGTGCAGTGGCGTGATCTTGGCTCACAGCAATCTCCACCTGCTGGGTTCAAGTGATTCTCCTGCTTCAGCCTCCTGAGCAACTGAGATTACAGGCACCCACCACCATGCCCGGCTAATTTTTGTATTTTTAGTAGAGACCACCGTGTTGGCCAGGCTTGTCTTAAACTCTTGGCCTCAAGTGATCTGCCTTCCTCAGCCTCCCAGAGGGCTGGGATTACAGGAATGAGCCATCACGCCTAGCCACAAAGTATTAAAAAACAAAATTAGAATGATTTTCAGCATATAAAATAATCTTGATCTTTTCTTTGAAAAATTCTGTTACCTGCCTGGGAAATTCACTTATGTAAAATGGTTCATTCTCCAACTAAGTGAGGTAGACGAGGCCTGACTGTCAGAAGAGCATCATTGCTAAGACAAAGGAACAAACGAAGCCATTTGGATCATGCAGATTTACCCCTTGGGCCAGTGTAAGGCCATTATCAATCTCACCCTTAAGTCCTCCAGCCTGTTTTCATATTTTCTTTCCCATGATGGGTGTTATCCTGAGATAGCTTTATGTTTTAGTTTTGTTTTTAAAACAAAGTAGAACTAAAAGGCAAACAAACAAAACCCCTGACCATTTAGAACCCTGTAAATACAATAAATAGATTGCATATATCGTATTAAAATGTATTTAATAAATAAATACACCCCATGTAACATTCTACCAACACCATCCCCTGAAAAAAGGGAAATAATGGAGGAACTTTGTCCTTTCTTCTGGAAATACTTTTCATTTCATTTTTGTTGAGTTAAACGGCATTCATCTTTCAAATTTGTCGTGTGGGGATTCCTTGAAATAAAGGTAGTCTATGTACGGTTCGGTCAAACTTTCCCGGAGGTCATGAAACAGAAAGGCTTGCAATAAGATTCTCCAATAATGTGGTTTATTCAACAAATTTAAACTGGCCAGTCACAGTGGCTCACACTTGTAATCCCAGTGCTCTGGGACGCTGAGGCAAGAGGACTGCTCAGGGTCAGGTGTTGAAGACCAGCGTGGGCAACATAATGAGACCCCCATATCTACAAAAAGTTCAAAAATTAGCCGGGTATGGTGGTGCACGCCTGTAGTCCCAGCTACTTAGGAGACTGAGACATAAGGATCGCTTGAGCCCAGGAGTTTGAGGCTGCAGTGAGCTATGATTGTGTCACTGCACTCCAGCCTGAGCAAGACCCTGTCTCTAAATAAATAAATAAATTCAAACAATCAGCAAGAAGCAAAGGAAAAGAGGCAGGACAGGTTAACACACGGAGGATAGAGCCACGCGGGCAGATTCCTCGGTTGTAGGCTGCTCGTTTGTCCTGTGTCTTTCTCTCTCTGATGCATGAGCCTTTCCCACTGTTGACGGGGTTTTGAAGAGCAGAATTGAGGGCAAGCAAAGGTCTCCACAGAGGCAATGCCTGCTCTCTTTTTTTCTTTTCTTTTCTTTTTTTTTTTTGAGACAGTCTCACCCTGTCATCCAGGCTAGAGTGCAGGGTCCGATCTCGGCTCACTGCAACCCCTGCCTCCCAGGTTCAAGTGATTCCCCTGCCTCAGCCTCCCAAGTAGCTGAGATTACAGGCATGCACCACCACGCCCAGCTAATTTTTTATTTTTTAGTAGAGCCTGGGTTTCACTGTGTTGGCCAGGCTGGTCTCGAACTCATGGCCTCAAGTGATCCGCTGGCTTCAACCGCCCAAAGTGCTGGGATTACAGGTGTGAGCCACCATGCCTGGCCGTGCTTGCTTGCTCTATCAGAGAGCAGAGGCAAGAACGTGGGTCCCACTGCCCAGCTGCAGCTTCTTAATGATCCACTGGGCAGCAAATGGGTTTTATCTGTGTCCCTCCGTCTGGAGAGCCCCCTTGTTTGTCCTCAGCCCTAGTCCCAGCTACGTTAACTCTTTCTTTGCAGGAAAAATCAGCTGAGCTATACTTAACTAGAGTGTCCAGTATATATCAAGTAGATCAAGTGACTATAAATGGGGAGGTTTCTTAAATTTTTTATATATTTTATTTTTTTTTAGAGATGGGGTCTCACTGTGTTGCCCAGGCTACATTTGAACTGCCGGACTCAAGCAATCCTCCCACCTCAGCCTCCAGAGTAGCTGGGACTTCAAACAATTGAAGTAGAAATTTGTATCTAATTTCGTGGGATAAAAAATAGTCAAGGGAATTATTGCAATTCTTCCTTTGATTTTTTTTCCCCACATGAAACTGTCTCGAATTCCTCCTTGAGTCCCCAGCATTCAGGGGAAGTTTCTATTTCATGCTTCCGTTTGTACTTTTATCATCAAGGCTACCCAAACTCTTTTACTCGACCAGACCTCGGTGGGAATCACAAGTGCCTGTGGATACATGGAAATACGTTTGAATGTATGTTTCATTTGCATGGGCAAGCATATCGGTATTTTTGGGTTCACGTGTGTAATCGATGTTAAGCCCTACCTGAAACTAACAAAATACTGCATTAAGCCTGACAAAGTGTAAACAAAGCAGGTATTTCCCAGTTGTTCCCACCATGAACTGAGGGCACGCTTCCCAGGATCAGTGGCTGTGCCTCCTGAGCTGCTCTGGTCTCGCAAGCCACCAGCTTCTGGGGTGGGCACCATCGCCTATTCTTGTTGCAAAGGGGACCCAGCCCTGGGGCTGCAGGCAGGAGGGTGGGGCTGTCCCAAGAACTAGCTCCTTATCAGAAGGATACAGAGTCCTGAAAATCCCCCCACCCCTGGAGTTTGTGTTTCCTTTCAGATCTCTGAGCATCTTTTGATCTTGAAGCTGATCCATTTTTCCTCTCTCTCTTCCTACTTCCCCCGTCTCTTTCCCCTCCTGTCTCAACCAACCTAGGGAAATAAACTCCTATGCAGGAGATAAGTTACCACAGATATCAGCTACGTTAACTCTTTCTTTGCAGGAAAACTCAGCTGAGCTATACTTAACTAGAGTGTCCAGCATATATCAAGTAGATCTAGTGACTATAAATGGGGAGTTTTCTTAATTTTTTTATGTATTTTATTGTTTTTGGAGATGGGGTCTCACTCTGTTGCCCAGGCTACATTTGAACTGCTGGGCTCAAGTGATCCTCCCGCCTCAGCCTCCAGAGTAGGTGGGACTTTAGACATATGCCACCGTGGCCGGCTTTTATTTTTTATTGCTATGTTTATTCCTTCATTTAATGCCAAAAAAGGCTTAGAGGAGTTTTCTGGCCCCTACACTGACATCACACACAGGAGGTCCTCATTAAGTCTTTTTGCCTAATTGGCTTAATTGTGGTGCATTTGATAAATACTGGAGGAAATCCTGTGCTCTGCTCTGGGGTGAGAGGACCTTGCCACTCTGCGCATTCCGCGGCCAAGCCTGGGAGGTTGGGGACTGTGAAGGGGACGCCCCTTACTACGTGGGGAGAGGCAGCCTTGCTGTGAGCATTGAGTTTGAGTCCGGGAACCTGACCAGGAAGGCTCAGCTGTCTCCTTGCCTGCTCTATGGCCCTGAGCGAACCTTGCATTCTTTTTCTCTAAATCTCAGCCTGTCTCTCTCCCTCACCAGCCTACTGCAAGGCCCACCTGAGAGAGTGAGTGACGATGCTTTGTACACTGCAGAGTGGCCCCACGTAGAGCCCTGCTGTCAGGGCCTCAGGGCAGGGAAGGTTCTAAGGCTGGGCCAGGCCTGGGAGTTGTGTCAGGGAGCTGTGTGACAGACTGGCCACAGTCCTTGTCACTCCAGTTCCATCCAGGTGACCTGCAGCTTCCCAGGGCATCCGAACCCAGCAGCCCCAGGGATAGCCAGGAGGGAGTCGGTTCTGATCTGCTGCTGGGCAGGGGAGGGGTCAGGCCCGGCTGGGAGTAACCTAATCCCAGCGAAGAGCATGTCTGATTGCTTGACCGCTGCCCTCCTGCAGCTGGATTAGCAGCTGTGGCTTGGGGGAATAGGCTTGTTTATCATGCCCGAGACAAAAGGAGGAAGCTGAGAGCAGTTAAAACAACAGTTCTTCCTGTTGCCCCCACGCCTTTCATCCGAGGAGGCCGTTGTGAAGGAGAGTCCTCTTGGTGGTCAGGCCAGGGCCTGGGTTGCCATTCGAGGGGGAAGGGAAGAAGGCGGGGCCTCAACTGCACAGGCGAGGCTCAGTCAATCCCACTACAGCCCCACAGGGCAGATGCGATGTCTCCATTTTACCGAGGATGGTGACTGGCTCAGAGAGGTTGATTCATTCCTCCAAGGCTTCACAGCTGCCAAAGGCTAGCCCTGGGATGCTGACGGGTCTGGCCGCCTGCAGACCGGCTCCTTTTCCCTTTGCCTCTTGTTGACGCCTTCATGCTGGACAAAGCAAGAGTCACCGGCCCCAGATGCCCCCAGAACCCTTCTTTAAAGCCAAGATATTGGGTGTCCTGGAACTCTTGTTATAGACCCAGAAAGTCTGAGCGATGGCAAGGCCCATAAGCATTGTGGAGTCCAACTGCGTTGCAAATAAGTCATTTGACAGATGAGGGAACTGAAGTCCAGAGAGGTGAAGCAACTCATCCACACCAAAACAGCATTTTAGCATGTTGCAGAAGGCAGGTGGTCAGCAGAGCTGTTGAATGATGGAATCTGTGGCAGAGAGCCAGACTCGCGTCCCCACCCCAGCTCCCTGTGCTCTCGGGCCTGTGCCAGTCTCTTCCATGGGGATGGTTTTGTCCGCGGGTTGGTGCTATAGACTGACCCGGGGGATCTTCCAGTGTCTGCTGGCTCCAGGCATCCCACCTGGTGGCCTTCTGCTGATCCTGAGTCCCCACTCTCAGCGCTCCGTAAGTAACTAATATTTATCTTGGATTAGTTCCAAATCTACTGCAAAGTTGCAAGAATGGTACAAAAGTCTCCCACATCCTCCACTGTCTCCACAAGCACTCGCTGCTCTTACCACTTACTTTCTTGGCCATCAATAGCTCTGTGTCACGAGGGAAGGAAAGAAAAGAGCAGAGAAAATGGAGGCTCTGGGCACTGTGTAGATCAGAGACTCCTCCCTTTCTCAATTCCACGGTCCCCTGGAGAGCAACATAGTACAGAAGTTACCTGGTCTTCTTTCGTGACCATGCCCAGTCTCAGTAGGTATTCCATAGGGATTTGTAGAGTGGAGGAATGGATTGATCTCATACAACCTGAATTGCGTTGGCTACATTCCTTCAGGACACCTGGGAGAGCAGAAAGTGCATGAGGCGTTGGATCTCTGGCGTGCGCTGGGAATAACCCGGCATGGTAGGGTGAAGAAGACCAGGGATTAGCCTGGGGTGGGGGAGCATTTCTGGATGCCCAGAAGGGTCCCCTCTTAGAGAAGGTGATAGAATTATGGGCTGCTGAGGCTAACGGGTCAGTTGGAGGGCAACTGAGCCTCCATTTCCTCCCCCAGTTTCCAGAGGGGAAAGCCAGGTCCCGGGGAGGTAAAGTGACTTCCTCAAGGACATGCCGTGGCCAGTGGCAAGATCAGATGAAGACCGCGTCACCCGAGTCCCCAGCCTCTACCTGTTCCCTCCCCGGTTCCATTGCTCTGTGCGTTTATGAGGATTAGCCCATGTTAATGCGGCAAAGCTCACAAACACTGTCATACATCCCAGGTGGCACTGCAGGGAAAAAGTGACTGAGAAGCCCCAGCACTCTCCTAGGGTTGTGGTGGATGCATTTCTGGGGGAGATGGGCCTCTTATTCCTGGTGAAGAGAGTCTTGGGGAGACTGGAGGGGCAAGGACCCTTGGTGTCCCTTGAGGAGAGGGAGTCCCAGTTGGGGTTGGGTAGACTCACACCAGGTGGAAGAGCCATAATGCCTGCAGGTGGACTTGCTCTACCTGAAGGTGGACAGGGGTCCCCGGGGCTGGTGGGTTCTGTGTGGGGGCTCCTGAAATGCTAGGAATAGCAGCCACTGCAGCAGCTGTCCCTGGGCCTGTGGACTCATTCCTGGGGATGGCTCCTAATCCAGCAGGAGCCTGGGTGATTGGCACTCTTCTGCCAAACCTAGAGCCTTCTGCAGTTCCAGTAGGCAGTGCCTCAACAATGCCAGGAACGCTGGGGGTGGTCCCCGGATGGAAATGGAAACCCATTTCTCTCCACACAGCAACACCAGACCTGATCCTCGCTTTCTGTATGTCGGCTGTTTTGCATTCTTTGTGTTGATCTTCCCCACTTGTCACATCACGGAAAACCGGTCCATATGCCGGGAGGAGCCTCACAGATGCTGATGATGACCATGCGGTTGTCCTGGAGGGTGGGGCTCATCCTAGGGTCCGTGTTGCAGCCTCTTGCAGCTCTGCCCACAAGCATCGGTGCTGCTCCTTCTCGGGTCCTGGGAGAGCGCATATTCAGAACTGTTTGCAGAAGAGGGTGACAGGCACATGGTTCAGTTGATTTAGGAGGTGGATAAGTCGGGTGGTGTCAGAGATGAGCCAGGGCACTCTTTTTTCCTGTGGCAGGTGCTGTGTGGCCTGATAACTGTACCATGTTATGCTCCCATCACTTCTCTTCTTACTCAGACCGCTGTGGTATGGTCCAGCCTGGTCCTCTGAGCTCTATCTGCCTTGTTGTAGGAGCTGAGGCTGCCTCAGGCCTGCAGCTGGGGATCAGGGTGACTTGAGCCTCCTGGTCAGGCCCTCGGGCACCCTTCTCCACAGGCAGAGAGGGAGGATATTGTGTCAGCAGTCCTGAAGCCTGGGTTCCCCTCACGTCGGTCAATCGGTTTTCTCAGCTGAAAAACTTCAGGGAGGCTGAAAAGGGATATAATTCATGCATCCCTCATGGAACTATGTGGAGATTAATTGGACATATACCTTGTATTGTATACCTACAATAATTAGAATATGCCTTGCCATGAAGCAGTGGTTACTGAAGCTCGTGTAGTCTGTACTTAGGTCTGGAGAACGTTCCAGGGCAGCTTCAGTCACGCCCTGGAGGTTTGCTGTCCTCCTGGTGCTCTGGGTGGATGGTGGACTCAAATGATGACCACAGAACAGCAGTTGTTCTGCCTCCTGTGCGGGACGCTGCGCTCCTCTGAGTGGGTTTGCGATTTCCCCGGCCTCCCCTGCGCCTAGCACATAGTAGAGTCATCGAGGGTGTTTGTGGGGCGAAGCATGCTCCAGGTTGCACGGATGGGAGTGGTGTCCTTGCCCGGGGTTTTGTTTGGCTGGAAGCTGATGCAATTTGGGGTTTGGGCTTATTACATCCCTGTCTGCCCCGGTCCCCAGATCTACCCTTTGTCCTTTGAACTAAGGGTCTGGCCTTTCTGGGTTGCCTTGTCAGGCTTCTTGCCCTCTGATTTCGGGTTGGATTTGGTCAATGGGGGCACTAGTGGGAGATCAGAGAGTAGAGGGAGAGAGAGGTCAGCATCTCTGCTTCCCCATCCCTGACCTGGCTGCGGCTTTGTGAGGCCAGCATTCCTGGCTCACGGCCCTGGGGCAGCTGCTGTGCAGCTCTAGCTCCCACTGGCCAGCAGTCTTCCCTCATCCCTCCAGCCACAGATGCGGTCATCGCTGCTGCCGTCTCCTGGGAACGTCGCCGTGCTGTTGGATGCAGAGAATTGGACACTGCCCATGTCTCTTCCATAAACCCCATGGTGCAGACCCTCACTTTCAGAGTGACCCCCAAGGCACTGGTGCTCCTCTGCCCCCAGCAGTGAGTGAGGAAGCACACATCTCATTTTGCAGCCTCCGCCCAAGGAGAGGAGAGTGGACATGGATGGCGCTGAAGGATGGGCTGGGCATCCTTAAAGGGATAGCTCATTCTTGGCTCTGAGTTGTGTCAGAGCCATCAAGGGTCTTCAAAGGCTTCCAACTCCTCATCTTGACCTCGTCCATCCTATATCAAGTCAACCTCAGACTGGGAATGAGGGGACCCCTGTGTTGGATGAATGTTGATCCGTTTACTCATTCAGTCTCTCAACAAATAGTTCCCGAGCACCTACAAGGTGCTGTGCACTGTGCTGCCCACTGGGGAGCCAAAGTCAGCGGCCTCATCCTCACCCTTGGTCTAGCGGGAGAAATAAGGCGTGTAAACACACGGGGATTCTACAGGCCGTGAGTTGGCAGGAGAATGAGAGGAGCGGAGACAAGGAGCTGCAGGCATGCAGGGGGAAAGGAAAAAGTCGGGATGAGATGGGGGTCCCTCCCCAAGACTTTAGGTGGAGATATCTGTATACATCAATAAGTCAGATTGCATAGCTCAGGAGCTGATTGTTACCAATGAGTTAAATGAAAACATGTGAAAGGTGCTTTATAACCACCATCTCAGACATGCCGCCTCCATTTCCAGAGGAGAAAAGGCTGAGGAAAAATGTTCTAGAACGTTCTAGATGGTGCCAACTCAACTCTAGGATCACAGAGTATTGCCCAGTTATAGCTAAATCTAAGCAGGGAAAATGGGGGATTTCCCACAGTCGGACATTGGTGCCCCTGGTTGCTTCCCGTTGTTTGTTGGAAGCAGGGCAGGAGTGCAAAACCACACTCCTGCCTTCACCCGAAGCCTCTTCCGGGCCAGGGTTGCCCCATCTTTGTGCTCTTTGCTTCCTCGACAGGACCTGTCCTCTGGTGGCCCCTGAAGGCTCCCTCCCCCACTGCCCACCGTGTGAAGCACGATGACAAAATGACAAAAACATTCTCAAGGAAATGAGCTGCTCTGTTCCTGGGGCCACCGCAAGTGTCAGAGAAAGCAGGTCTGGGAGTGATTCACTCACGTCCATGGCCTGACTCCAAATCCGCCCCGTGCTGGCTTCCCCCTTCCTGTTTTTGAATCCAGACCTTGCCTGGCAGTGTCTTCCCCGCCGTGGAGAGCCCCCCAGGACCCATCGCCCTTGGTCTTCGTCTGTTCAGGGGTGGGCTGCTTCCCTTCGGCCTCCAACCAGCCCTTGTCCACAGGCTCGGGCGGCACTGGCAGAGAGAACCCAGCGCTTGCGGTCTGAGAGCCAGCTCCAGCCTTGCTGTGGTCGTCTCGGAAGTGGAGGAGGGGGGACAGGGACAAACCGTGGAACTTTGCCAAGCCTCGGATGTCTCCTTTGTTCAGTGGGATTTCCCGGCCATCTCTCTAGGTAACTGTAGGAACAGTTGAGATAATGTTTATGTGTATATATAATCCTGCTATACACGGAAAAGAGCTTCACACATGTCATTATGTATTTGAAGAAGTGCTCCCTACCCATAGTGTGTGTGTGCGTGTGTGTGCGCGCATGTGTGTGTGCGTGTGTGCGTGTGTGTGCGTGTGTGTGCATGTGTGTTTGTGTGCATGTGTGTTTGTGTGCATGTGTGTGCGTGTGTGTGCATGTGTGTGTGCGTGTGTGCGTGTGTGTGCATGCGTGTTTGTGTGCGTGTGTGTGCATGCGTGTTTGTGTGCGTGTGTGTGCATGTGTGCATGTGTGTACGTGTGTGCGTTTGTGTGTGTGTGTGTGTGTGTTTTTGCAGGTGCTGTTGCCATGACAACATTCTCGCCTGGGCCGTCTAAAATATCCTGCTGGTTGATCTTGGGTGATCACCGCTTTCACAACGTTAGGCCCTGTTCCGAAGTCGACCATGGCTCCCAACTGTGGCAGCCGTAAACAAACCTCCTCCCCACAAACCCGGCAAAGCCATTCCCCCTGAGAGCCAGGCATTCACTCCACTCGAGCAAGACTCTACCTGCAAAGGGGGCTCCCTTAGCCCCACTCTGCTGGTGCACACCTCCCAGCCCCCACAAGCCCAGCTGGGAAGTCTCATCCAATTTCTCCCGCTGCGATGACCAGTCTCTTATGAATCTCTGTTGTAGACTTAACACCACGTGTTGGCAAGCAGTTGTCATTCCATCATGTCCAGTGTTTTGGCTCAGTGGATTTCAACACTGGCTGAGAATCACCTGGAGAGCTTTTTAAAATGAAAAAATTCACTTCTTTGTGCAAGACGTGAATTTAGAGGTCACTTTACTGATGGGAACCTGAGTCCCAGCAATGGAGGGCAATTTGCCTGTGGTTATCTAGGGAGGCAGAGCCCAGGCAGGAGGCTGCCTGCCGGGAGGTGCAAAGCTCCCTTCTCTGACCCCAGCTCCCCTACGGGCTGGGAAACAGAAAGTGAAAGTGAAACCCTCCACTCTGCAGAATTTGTCTTGACATTTTCTTTCAACCTGTCCTTGACAACTCTCAAACTTTACCCCTCTTTCTCTTTTCTCCACTTGAAGGCCCAGGCTGGCTGAGAGTGACATCTCTGCCATCCCTTCCTCCCAGCTCTCTGCGTGTGTAGGAACAGTCCTGGAACTCAGCTCTGCAGTGGGGCAGAGGCAGGACTTGTTAGATGGAGAGGTCAGGTCAACCTCACATGAGGCCAACTCAGTCTGTGCCTTTGCCTCTGCCCATCCTCCTGCCTGGGGTGTGGATGGGGTGGCAGAGAGAAGAAAGGTCAGGGACTGAAGATGGCAAGATGGGGTCTGCTCCCCCCTCCACTGCACTCCCAGCTGGGGGTCAAGGGAGGACCATCTAGGTATAGAGATAGATGCTCTGGGGACAGAGGGCCTTTGCCCAGCTAAGCCCTCTTGACTTGACTACGCCCTCATGACTGAGCTCTGAAGGAGACCCCCTCACCACCCTGACTCCCACTCAGGATGGGGCCTCAGCAAGGCATGTTAAAGGCAAAACAGATTGGAGAAGACTCTGACCTTTGACTCCCTGAGCCACCTTGATGCCTACGTGGTGTGGACAGGGCCATGCGGGAGTAGGGGATAAGTGGTCTTGGTGAGCACAGAGACTTGGGGACAGACCACTAATGCCAGGCAGAATGGGATCTCAGTCAAACTCCAGGGCCCACAGCAGCCTTCCTCTGACTGTGAGGCATCTTGAGGAGGGAATAAGTGGTAAGGACAGCAGGGTAGAAAGACAGGAGGAGCTGGGGACATGGGTGGCACCATGGAGCCCCCATGCCAGCGTGGGAGTGGCCATCTCTAGACTATTTCTATGTGAGAAGAAAATAAACCTCTACCTGGTTTAAGTCATTTATGGGGAGGGTCTCTGTTGCTGACAATAAAATGCAATTGTTGATTGCATTTGGTTGCACAGTAGCCCAAGCTGCCTTGGGACCACACCTGTGGTTTAAAGTTGTTTGCTAAGTTGAGCTGAGATCTGCCTCAGAATCCAAGGAAACCCTGGCCAATCCTAATTCCCAGTTCCACCAGGACCACCCCAAAGAAATCGAGTCCATTCCTCCTCTCCAGCTTCTCCCTATTCCTTCCCATTTACTTTTCGTCTTGATGTTCTTTGCTCCATCTATCTGTGACTATTCATTGGCTCCCAGGCCCCCTTAGTCACCTTCTCACTTTCTCAGGGCCATGGGTAGCCCCCAGGCAGGGCCCATGCCCTGCCCATGCACTTTCCAGACCCTTGGCAGCTACCTCCAGCACCAGCAGCTGCTGGATTTGCTTGTTCCTTGGCTGTTTATATGTTTCCTCCATGCACTTGCTCCATGATTGGGCAAGAGAGCTTTCTACCTGTCCTGGGTTTTATTATCATCCTGTTCTGTGCTTACCGTACTTCTCACTCCATTCTCTTTCCTGCTCAGCTGTCTAAGCATTATTTATTCTTCAAACATTTGTCCAGCACTTGTGATGTGCCGAGCACAGGGCCAGAGGTGCACCAGACCCACTTCCTGCCTTCAAGGGAGCTCTGACGAGGCTGCACATCCCGCTTGGTGTTGTAAGCCCTGCAAATCCAGGCCATCTCATTAACCTACTTCCCTTACTGATGAGTGGCCTGGAGACTATTAGCAAGTGTGTGTTTGTGGGGGATGGACAGGAAGATACTCTAGTGCTTGTTTTTGTTTTGTTTTTTGACAGTTTCCAAGGATTCTACTTCCAGTGTCAATATCAGGTTTCTTCCAGTCCATGAGTTGTCATGGATGTGTCCCTCTTTTATTACCAGACAGAACGGGAACTATCATTGGGAAAATTTTCCCAGTGACTACAGTTTGGACAAGAAAGTCTATATTCAGGAACGTGATTTCTTTTCTTCTTTTGAAGTCATACCACCGGGGCTCCATGGCCAGCCCAGAGCTCCACTGTCACTCTCTCTGTTGTTTCTCCTCTCCTTGTTTTTTTCTCATCACCAAGGATTGGATCACAGGTTCTTAGCCTGGGCTTCCTGGATCTCTGGGGCTGGGGGTGGAGGGTGCATCTATGATGAGCTGCAGGAGCCCATGCACTTGTAATTGTGTGTAGTATTTTGTGTTTATGGGAATGTGCTTGTTTTTCAGGAGGGGCATTGGTGTTATTCATGGTTTTCACTATCATTTTGAAAGGGAGGGGGGCTATTACCTAGACAATTTTAAGAATGAACGCCTTTGGTAATTTCTCAAGAGGTCTCTCAGATTGAGGGACAGCACAGCCTCATGTGCTAACTTTTCCTACAAACTCCTAGTGTAACCTCAGTGATCCTGTGGTTTAACCTCTTTGTTTATGGCTCAGACAAGGGAAGCACAGACAATTCAAGTAGGTCACTCAAAGCCATCAGCTTGTTACTGGCAGAGCCTAGTTGGGCTCATGAACCTGGAGACCTCCAGAAGCAGCTGGGTTGCTCATCCATTAAAGAGTGAGGACCTTGGTGCTGTCTGTATTCTTTCCTGGATTATAAATGCCAGGAGGCATGAGCCTGCCTCCCCAAGCTGTGCCTCAGTCTCTGTGTCTAAGTAAAGGTCTGGCACACAGTAGGTGGTCATCGTTTGCTGCTGGATTGCTTTGTGCCTGTTCATCAGAAGTACTAACTACCCTTGTGGAGCCCTCTTTGCCTACTTGCTCTGTTACTCTCCATCTGAATTTACTGCCCAGAACCTGGGGCGCCAGAGAGTTCTGTTGTGTGGAACGCTGTGATGTTTCCCTAAACTCTTACTAGTTTAGGAATTGGCTTAGGGAAGATGTCCTCCTCTTAAGGGGTAATTACCTTCTTAAAGGGTAATTCATCCCACCCCCTCCTTTTAAATATTTTTACTTTTTTTTTTATATCTCGTATTGTGATAAAATACACACCAGATAGAATTGGCCATCTAAACTGTTTGTAAGTGTACAGTCCTGTGCCGTTGGTGTGCGACCACCATCACCACCCATCCCCAGAACTCCCCAGGGTGAAACTCTGCACCTCTGAAACATTAACTCCCCTCTCGTACCTCCTCCCAGCCCTGATGTCCCCCATCCTACTTTCTGTCTCTATAAAATTGACTGCTTTAGGGACCTCATACAAGTGGAATTATACAGCACTTGTCTTTTGTAACCGGCTCATTTCTATTCACTTAATGTCTTCAAGGTTCATCCATGTTGCAGCATGGGCCAGATTTTCCTACCTTTTTAAGGTTGAGTAAGTCTCCTTTGTTTGTCTATATCGCATTTTGTTAATCTGTTCATCCGCGGATGAATGTTTGGGTTGTTTCTACCCTTTGACTACTGTGAATAAAGCTGCAATGAACGTGGGTGTACACGTATCCCTTTGAGCCCTGCTTTCAGTTCTTTTGGGGAGATACCCACAAATGGGATTTCTGGATCATGTGGCAATTCTATGCTTCCATTTTTGAGGACCCGCCATACTGTTTTCTACAGCAGCCACATCATTTGACCTTCCCACCAGCAATGTTCCAACTTCTCCCCATCCATGCCAACACGTGTTTTCTGGTTTTTACAGTAGCCGTTCTAATGGTGTGAGGTGGCATCTCACTGTGGTCTCTCCTTTTTTTTACGAGTCACGTTCACCCACCTGGTAGGCCTGACCTATCAGGTTGGAGCACAGTGGCTCCTGCCGCTCTCAGCACCCAGAATCAATCGAAATCACACTTGATGACGTGCTGTGGCTTTCTCGTGGAAATGTGAGCAATTTGTGCTTCGCTTTTTGTCATTCTGTCTTTCCCAAACTTTGATACACACAGATTTGGGGTTTTTTCCATGTGTTAATATACCTGAAATCAGGATGCATCTTTGCAATGAATGGCGTGTCTTTGTCTTCATTTGTCACTGTTTCTTTTTTTCATTCTTCCTTTCTTAAATGGTTTGTAAAATACCAGTGCTCTTATGACCTGTGGCAAGTGCGAGCCACTGGAAGGTGGTGCTGAAAACGGCTGCCTGACCCCATGCAGCCCGTGTGGACCTGTGTGATGGTGGAGAGCGTGCAAAGGACCCAGCTCCCTGCTGCATGCCTGCAGCTCTTGTTCTCTCCGGGGGCTGCATGCCCCACGTGTTTTTCTCTGGGGACATGTGAGCTTCCCATCATGCTCGGCTTCTTTCGGTGATCCGCGTGTGATATTGATCAGCCCTTCAAGGTCTCGCAGCAGCCCTGTCCCTCTCCCTGCTCAGCCCTCTGGGGCCTAGCTTGGGTTCCTGCCACTTGCATTCTCTCCTGCAAAGCCCAGCCTCCCCCATCCTCCCGCTATTCACTCTGTTCCTGAATCCACTGCCCCTGCTGCCTGCGCCCGCTGCCAGCCCCCTACCCAGCCTAGCCCACTTCTGCTCCCAGGGCTGCCAACAAAACTGTTTCCTCCCTGCAGGTCCGCCCTGCCCCTTCCTCCACAGGGGCTGTCAACTCTTGGAGCATTTCCTGTGACTTCTATTTTTTCTCCTTTTGCCCCGTAATCTGTTTTTCCTTGCTCCGTCTACCCCCTCCCACACACAGCTGGAAGGCCTCTGCTTTCCTTCCCTGCTTCCTCCCAAAATCCCCGGCACCGCCCCCTCCTTTTCCATCCCACAATGCTGCCCTCGCTGCCTGCCCCCCACCTGCACTGACTCAGCCTCCCCTGGCTCTGATCGGTACAAGTGGACCCTGGGGTTTGCTGGGGCCTAATCAGCCCCAGGGGTGGATCCCTCGGTCTCTGTGCTCACTGAGACCACCCACCACAGCTCCCCGCTTCCTGCCAGGCCCTCTGCTCCTGCGTGGTCCTGTCCACAGCCGGGGGCACCTGGATGGTTCAGAAGCAAAATGTTGGAGCCTCCTCCAATGCATTCTACCTGCCCGCACCTGATGAGGCCCTGCCCTGTGTGGGAGGTGGGTTGGGGGGCGCCTTTATCGCTCAGTCATGAGGCTTGGCTGGGCAGAAGCCCTCCGCCTATGGAGCATCTCACACCTCATCTAGATGCTTCCCCTCCCACACCCCACCCCCACCCCATGGGCTCCCCACTTGACCCCCAGCTGGGCACAGAGTGGAGAGCAGGGACCACACCCCACACGCACCCTCCAGCCTGGCCCCCTCTTCCCTGTGTCTTTCCTCCCAGCATTTCCTCGCATCCCGAAGGCCCAGGTTCCTGGACTCACGCCCCAGGTGAGTGGTACTGGAGGAAGAGCCTTCTCCCTCCTGGGAGCTTCTGTGACCCTGTAGGTGGCCTGATTCCTGAGATGGTGGAGAGTTGCTTGGTGCAGGTAGGGTGTTCTCTCTCTGGGCGCGGCCTGGCGCCCACCCAGCATGTTTTGTTAAGAGGTCAGGTCTTCCCCTGCTCCTGATTGGAGGAGAAACCTCATGATTTTGAAAGGAGGAAACCAGCAAGGGGAAAAGTGACTGATACGCGATTTTGCGTATCAGCTGATTGTTCACCCTCAGTCCGGCTTCTGAAGGCCGGTCTGGAATGTAGGAATGCAGTGATTGTCCCCTGTCATCCACTGGACAAAGTGGGGGATCTGACAGGAGCCTCGGCTCCCAACCCCACCCAGGCTTCTTCCTAATTCAGAAACCCAGCTTCAGAGTCACTGAAGGTGAGGTGCTTGCTGTTGTCACTCTCTGGGGCCCACATCTCAGTGGGGCTCTTCCTGTTCGACAAGACAGAAACCCCAACTCAAACCCACTCAGCCAAGGAGAGAATTGTCGGCTCGTGGAACTGAAAAGCCCAGTTTTCCAGGCCGGGTTTTGAACACCCCGACGCAGGGATGGCAGATGTCCGGCAGCCAGAATGGCTTTGCTCCACCCTGACTCTATGGCAGCTGATCCCAGCTTGCAAGAAGCCTCCGACCTTCTCCTCCCGGCCTTCCACCCCAGCTTGCAAAAAGCCTCCAACCTTCTCCTCCCAGCCTTCCAACACCACCCAGCTGGTCAGAGAAGACGCCAGGGCCATATCTATTTGCTGTGGTCCTAATTTCTTCCTAGAGCCAGAGAGGCTAATCCCTAAGTTGTTTTTAGGCTTCAGCTCAGGAGTCTCTGCATCACCTCCTCCAGGAGGACTTCCTTGACCTGCAATGCCATTCCTTTTACTCTGCATTCAGTCACACCCAGTGTATATTGTGGTGTATGTGTGAGTGTGTGTGTATGTACACACATACACATCAGAACATTTGTTATTGTGTGTAGGAGCGTGTCTGTTTGTCACATTGGAATGTGAAGTTTCTGAAGATCGGTGCCATGTCCTACTAATGGTTGCATCCCAGGATGCCACCCAGAGCCTGATGCAATAGATGCTCAGAAATCTTTGTTGGCTACATGAGAGAGGGAGTGATGAGTGACAGAATGTGTGGAGAATGTGATGAGTATTCTGAGAGTGAGGACTGGAAGGTGATGCCTCTTCCAAGAAGAAAACCTTCCACGTTTGCAATTTCCTTCCCCATGGCTGCAAGATAAGGTCATACTGGGGACAAGACAGTGCTGAAGACACAGTGATGCAGGGATATGGAGGTGCTGGGGACATGGTGATGCCGGGGACATGGAGGTGCTGGGGACATGGTGATGCCAGGGATGTGGAGGTGCTGGGGACACAGTGGTTCTGGGACATGGTGATGCTGGGGACATGGAGGTGCTGGGAACATAGTGGTGCTGGGGATATACGTGGTCATTTTAGTGGCATGATGATGCTGAGGGACAGGGTGACAATGAGTCACAGCAATGTTGGGGACATGTGGTGCTGTGCTGGGGACATAGTGATGCTGGGGACATGGTGACTGTAAGTGCATATGACTCTAGGGACATGGTAATGCTGGAGACATGGAGGTCCTGGGAACATGGAGGTGCTACAGATGTGGCTTTGCTGGGGACATGGCAATGCTGGGGACATGATGACTCTGGGGACATGGAAGTGCTGGGGACATGGAAGTTCTGGGGACATTGAAGTACTGGGGACATGGAGGTGCTGGGGACATGGTTGTGCTGGGGACATTGTGGTCCTGGTTTCATGGTGGTTCTGGGGACATGGTGACTCTGAAGGCATGTGGTGGGAACATGGTAATGCTGGGGACAGCCTCAAACTCCTGAGCTCAAGCAATTCACGGGGCTGGAGTTTGAACTCAGATCTGTCCCATGCCCAACTTTTGTCCTTCCTTCTGTTCCATCCAAATAGATTCACTTGCCTCTCCATAGTGGAGTGGAGCACATTTGGGGTGGGCAGGAAGCACCTCTAGAAAGACGGGAAGAGACAGGAAATGCCAATCCCCCAAGCTGCTCTCTGACCCCTCTTCCTCTGCCCTGTTACAGCGGCCAGAGCCCCCACACCATGAACAGCACCCCCAGGAATGCCCAGGCCCCGAGCCACCGTGAGTGCTTCCTGCCCTCTGTGGCTCGCACCCCCTCGGTCACCAAGGTCACGCCAGCCAAGAAGATCACCTTCCTCAAGCGAGGGGATCCACGGTTTGCTGGGGTCCGCCTGGCCGTTCACCAGCGCGCCTTTAAGACCTTCAGCGCCCTCATGGACGAGCTCTCCCAGCGCGTGCCTCTCTCCTTTGGGGTGCGCTCTGTCACCACACCCCGGGGCCTGCATAGCCTCAGCGCCCTGGAGCAGCTGGAAGATGGAGGCTGCTACCTCTGCTCTGATAAGAAGCCCCCCAAGACCCCCAGTGGACCAGGCCGGCCACAGGAGAGAAACCCCACTGCTCAGCAGTTGCGGGATGTCGAAGGCCAGCGTGAAGCCCCAGGCACCTCCTCCTCCCGGAAGAGTCTTAAAACCCCCCGGAGGATACTGCTGATTAAGAACATGGACCCTCGCCTCCAGCAGACAGTGGTTCTCAGTCACAGGAATACTAGGAACCTGGCCGCCTTTCTCGGCAAAGCCTCAGATCTCCTGCGCTTTCCTGTGAAGCAGTTGTACACGACCAGCGGGAAAAAGGTAGGCTGTTGGGGTCTGACGGTTCCTTGAAAAGGTTCTTTAGACCTGAGGTCAAAATACTCACATGGAAGAGAGAGATTATTCCTTAAAAAGAGGCATTTGATTGCCCTGCTGCTAATTAAAGGTGAACAGCATGGAGACACTCAGTCAAGTCAATAAATCAACAAGCAGCTGTGATTCATGTTTTTAGGTATATTTAGAGAGCATGCGGTAAGTGGCAGGCATTGTGCCTGTGTACTCTTTTTTTTTTTTTTTTTGGCTTTGTTTTTTTCGAGATGGAGTTTAACTTTTGTCACCCAGGCTGCAGTACAATGGCATGATCTCGGCTCACTGCAACCTCTGCCTTCTGGGTTCCAATGATTCTCCTGTCTCAGCCTCTGAGTAGCTGGGATTACAGGCATGTGCTACCATGCCCAGCTAATTTTCTAGTTTTAGTAGAGACAGGGTTTCTCCATGTTGGTCAGGCTGGTCTTGAACTCCCAACCTCAGGTGATCTGCCCGATTCGGCCTCCCAAAGTGCTGGGATTACAGGCATGAGCCACCATGCCCAGCAGCCTTGTGTACTCTTATTGTTGTCTTATCCAATAACCTATTATTGCAGGGGTTCAGTGTAGGAAACAAACTACTCAAGTTACCTTAAGTAGAAAGTGATTTAATACAGGGCGTTGGAGGGCTTCATGTTTGGGAAGCCAGAGAGTGAATTGGAAGCTGGGTCTGCAGGAATGGCTCCCAGCATGTGCAGGAAGCTACTACCTCTGCTGGAAGCCACTATGATTATTGAGTTCAAGGACATGCGTGAATGTAATTTTTGCCTTTCCAGGTTCTGCCGGACATGAAATTCCACCAAAGGTCGGCAGAATGGAGGATGGAGGTTGACTGACCTAATTCACAGTCTCCTCAAGATTCAGTCCTGTTGCTCCTTAACATCTGTATGCACCATTCCACCAATACTTCATAAATATCATATCACTGGGCACAGTGGCGCACGCCTGTAATCCCAGCACTTTGGGAGGCTGAGGCAGGCGGATCACCTGAGGTCAGGAGTTCGAGATCAGCCTGGCCAATAGGGCGAAACCCTATATCTACTAAAAATACAAAAATTAGCCAGGTGTGTTGGCGCACACCTGTAATCCCAGCTACTCGGGAGGCTGAGGCAGGAGAATTGCTGGAACCTGGGAGGCAGAGGCTGCAGTGAGCCAAGATCATACACTGTACTGCAGCCTGGGTGACAGAGCCAGACTCCATCTCAAAAAAAAGTCATATGATAACATCATTACAAAAACTTTGTTATAAACATCAGCTACAGCAGCCTGCACTCATGGAGTAACAGAGCTCTCCCTCCTACAATCAAAAACACGTTCACCTTCTCCCCACAATCGCATTATCACTGGACCCTTCGTCTTCTATGCTGTGACAACCTCACCTTGATATCGTCTATCTCAAGGTCTACTTAGGTAGTCCAGCACCATCAAAGTACCCTATGTTAAGAAGTATAGGAAATAAAGAACAAAGAAAAGGGAAATTGATTAATATGTATACCTAGCAGAGCTATGACAAAAATTAGGCTATCTACTGCAAGGCCTTCGTTGGTGTTTAAAGCTTCTTTCCACTCTCCACTCCCTGTTCCTCTGTCTCCCACCAGCACCGCAGCTGATTATGCTTATGTACTCAGCAGAGTGACCGAACCATATTCCTGAGGGGTCTGAGCCCTTGGGGTTCCTCACTACATGGGCCGTGGTCTTGTGTTCATGTTTATCCCTGGACATGACAGCCAATGGGCTGCATGGGTAATAGATGACTTCCTCCCTATCCCATTGTGTAATAGTAGCCCTATTTCCCCCTTAGACAATCAGAACCAGCCACCCCAGCCAACACAGAACTTCCTTGTTGCCTATTGGCTCATTGTCATGAGAAGCCTTGTATGGCCAAGGTGACCGTCTCAGCTTTCAGCTCCATGGGGCCACTGTTGTGTCTTCCTTTTTTTTTGAGACAGAGTCTCACTCTTGTCACCCAGGCTGGGGTGCAGTGGCGCGATCTCGGCTCACTGCAACCTCTGCCTCCTGGATTCAAGCAATTTTCCTGCCTCAGCCTCCCAAGTAGTTGGGATTACAGGCATTCACCACTATGCCCAGCTAATTTTTGTATTTTTAGTAGAGATGGAGTTTCACCATGTTGGCCAGGCTGGTCTCGAACTCCTGACCTCAGGTGACTCATCTGCCTCGGCCTCCCAAAGTGCTGAGACTACAGGCGTGAGCCACCGCACCCAGCCCACTGTTGTGTCTTCTAAGGGGGAACATTCTCCCTTGGGTCCTGAGATCTCCAAACCCATGCCATAACCCATGCAGCTTACTTCTATCCAAAGAACTAATTTTATAGCAAAAGAAGTGAGACCCTGGACTAACATCCATGGAATTCGCTGTATAGCTTGCAGACACCAAAACTGCTGGGATGGAAAGCAAAATGTTTGCAGTGAGGTCACAGGTGTTGTAGACTAAGATACAGGTGTCTTAGTCGCCAGAGAAACAGCACTATGTTTCAGTTGCCATTTCAGAGCACATATCACTGTATCAGCCATACTTCAGTACAGGAAACAGAATCCTCTCTCAACATCTTTTTTTTTTTTTTTTTTTTTGAGATGGAGTCTCCCTCTGTCACCCATGGTGGAGCGCAGTGGCATGATCTTGGCTCACTGCAACCTCTGCCCCCTAGGTTCAAGCGATTCTTCTGCCTCAGCCTCCCCGAGTAGCTGGGACTACAGGCGCCTGCCACCATGCCCAGCTAATGTTTTTTTGTTGTTGTTGTTTGTTTTGGGTTTTTTTTGTATTTTTAGTAGAGATGCGGTTTCACCATGTTGGCCAGGCTGGTCTTGAACTCTTGACCTCAGGTGATCTGCCCACCTTGGCATTCTAAAGTGCTGGGATTACAGGTGTGAGCCACTGTGCCCAGCCCTCTCTCGGCATCTTAAGCAGGAAAGAATTACACTCAGAGGGTTTGATGCTTAGAGATTCAGTGAAAGGCTGGAGGAGCACAGGCTGGGTTCCTGGAAAAGATTCCCAGAATGTCACAAACCAACCTGTCAGGGATGTCTAGGAAATGAGGAAGGTGAGTTTTGGGGGGTTGCCTCTGGAATGACTGTGCTCTGAATTACCCCACCATTGCTGGGATCCCAAATGGGAAGATGATGGGTACTAGAACAACGAGGGCATCTTTTGATGTCTCAGTGGCACATGCCTCTCTGCATCTTTGACTTCCTTTTGCTTGTGGCAAGAGTCAGGAACAAAAGGAAGATGGCCTGTGCTTCGCTGCCACGTTCCATGCCCTGTTCAAGTGCATCTTATTAGTGGGACTTATTTCGCATTTAGATCCCAAGCTGCAAGGGAGTTCAGGAAATGGGCTGGCAGCTTTCTAAACTCTGCAGTACTGGGCCAGTCATGGTGGCTCACACCTGTAATCCCAGCACTTTGGGAGGCCGAGGCAGGTGGATCACTTGAGGTCAGGAGTTTGAGACCAGCCTGGGCAACATGGGGAAACCCCATCTCTACTAAAAATTTAAAATTAGCCAGGCATGGTGGTGCGTGCCTGTAGTCCCAGCTACTGGGAAGGCTGAGGCAGGAGAATTGCTTGAACCTGGGAGGTGGCGGTTGAACCTGAGAGGTGGAGGTTGCGCCACTGCACTACAGCCTGGGTGACACAGCAGGACTCCATCTCAGAAAACAAACAAACAAACAAACAAAAAAACACGAAAACCAAAACAAACAAAGAAACCTCTGCAGTACTGGAAAGCATACCAGAAAGAGAGTGGGATAGAAACAGCTGGTATGGGGCATAGCATTCACTACACAAACTCACAAGGTAGCTGATATTACTATTATTAATTTATTAATTACTATTATTAATGTTTGAGACAGGGTCTGGTTCTGTTGCCCAGTTTGGAGTGCTGTGGCCCAATCTCAGCTCATTGCAGCCTCGACCTCCTGGGCTCAAGTGATCCTCCCATCTCAGCCTCCCAAGCAGCTGGGACTACAGGCACATGCCACTATGCCTGGCTAATTTTTTTGTTTGTTTGTTTGTTTGCTCTTTGTTTTTGAGATGGAGTTTCACTCTGTCACCCAGGCTGGAGTGCAGTGGCACGATCTTAGCTCACTGCATCCTCCGCTTCCAGGGTTGAAGCAATTCTCTGCCTCAGCCTCCCAAGTAGCTAGGATTACAGGCGTCTACCACCACGCTCAAGTAATTTTTTTTTCTTTGTATTTTTAGTAGAGATGGGGTTTCACCATGATGCCCAGGCTGATCTCAAACTCCTGGGCTCCAGGGATCTACCCACCTCGGCCCCCCAAAGTGCTGAGATTACAGGCATGAACCACTGCATCTGGCTGGTAGCTGATATTATTATCCCCTTGGGACAGATAAGAAAAGTGAGGCACAGAGGTTAAGTAATTTGCTCCTAGTTGCATGGCTGGCCAATGAGAGAGCCAACATCAATGCTTGGAAAATGAAAAAGAACATGCTCTGTGCTTTAAAGATGGAAATACATCCCCAAGCATTGCTAATTACAACGTAATGCAAGGATGCTTTTGAGTTAGTGGCATTACCGTGGACTAGCATGTGCCACATAAACAGACAAATGAGACGAGGTCCCTACCTTCCGTTAGCTACCGTTTAGTGGGTGCGATTTTTGATGGACCAGGAGTCCAAATCAAAGAAGAAATGGACCTCGTCATTTAAAACAAACTTCTAGGCCGGGTGCAGTGGCTCACGCCTGTAATCCCAGCACTTTGGGAGGCCGAGGCCGGCGGATCACGAGGTCAGGAGATCGAGACCATCCTGGCTAACACGGTGAAACCCTGTCTCTACTAAAAATACAAAAAATTAGCTGAGTATGGTGGCGGGCACCTGTAGTCCCAGCTACTCCGGAGGCTGAGGCAGGAGAATGGCATGAACCCGGGAGGCAGAGCTTGCAGTGAGCCCAGATCGCGCCACTGCACTCCAGCCTGGGTGACAGATCGAGACTCCGTCTCAAAAAAAAAAAAAAAAAAAAAAAAAAAAGAAAAAGAAACAGAAAAAAACAAAAACAAAAACAAACTTCTAATTACCTAGGCTGAAAGATCTGGTGCACAACAGACTTCTATGACATTTTTTGGGGAAGAGAATGTAATGTTCCTTCTTTTTTCTTTTTTTTTTTTTTTTTTTTTTGTTAATGAGCATACCCTTATAATTTTAGAGAATGAGAAAAAACATGCTCTGTGCTTTAAAGATGGAAATACATTCCCCATTCCCCAGCATTGCTCATTACAATGTAATCCCATCAATAGTGCAAACCCTCAGATCTGCAGGGGCTTCTCGGTCCAGGGACCAGTTTCCTGGAAAGGAATTCTGCAGTGACATGGCCTGCCCTGAGCCCAGGAGTGCATAGGGGACATTCTGATGGGTCTGGGGAGGGTCAGGAGCCCAGAGACCATTTTAGGAGTCTGGAAGGGAAGGGGTCCCTGCAGGAAGAGTGGTGCCTAGCCCCTCTCCCCTCCACTTGGGCAGAGGCAACAGACTCAGACTGTACCAGAAAACACAGATTAGGCAGCACAGAGTCTCCTTCATTTGGGAAAAGAATGAGAGAGTGAATCGGGCCCCGCTGTGGGAGCTGGAGGGCGTGCTGCTCCAGCTGCTTCAGGGAATACATATTCTGGAGGGTGGACATGTGGGCAGAAATGCGGCCTACAGAAGTCTTTTGCAGCAGGGGCATCCAGAATGCCCTTTGATCACGGGCCTCACGCCTGGTGGAGGGAGGGGTATAGCTAGAGCGGGAGATCGTGGTGGTGGGACCTCAGCCTCCAGCTAGTGATAGAGGTGTTATGGGGAGTGGATAAGACCCCTCCTTGGACCAGGAGTCTGGGGTGAGATGTGCAGAAATCAGGACAGGGCTGGTGAGACTGGATCCTTCCTCCCCCAGGCCTCAGGGTAGAGGGGTTTCTGCAGCCCAGGCCTCCTGACCCCGCCCGCTCCTCCCTCAGGTGGACTCGCTGCAGGCCCTGCTGCACAGCCCCTCTGTGCTGGTGTGTGCCGGGCATGAGGCCTTCAGAACCCCAGCCATGAAAAATGCCAGGAGAAGCGAGGCTGAAACTTTATCTGGGCTGACTTCAAGAAACAAAAACGGTGAGTTGGTTTTTGGGTTTCCCCCATCTGATTTGCACTGCATGGTGGTTCAGTAGGGCTGAGTGGAAAGCCTTCCAGGTAATTCAGGAAACTTCCCTTTGGCCCCAGATCTTGGGTATCCCAGTCATTTTGGGATCTCTCTTGCCTCTTCCTCCTTCTCAGTACTGTCAATCTTACTTGGGTTCAACATTTGACCAAGATAGGAGAGGGCAGTGCTTGGTATATAAAAGGAACAGAGGCTGGGCATGGTGGCTCATGTCTGTAATTCCAGCCGTTTGGGGGCCC
Organism: Homo sapiens; assembly: GCF_000001405.40. NCBI lineage: Eukaryota > Metazoa > Chordata > Mammalia > Primates > Hominidae > Homo > Homo sapiens. The sequence continues at coordinate 10,616,160 of NC_000008.11, read as the reverse complement.
AAAGCGAGAGGATAGCTTGAGTCTAGGAGTTGGACACCCGCCTGGGCAACATAATGAGACACTGTCTCTAAAAAAAAAATACAAAAAAATATGCCAGGCATAATGGCACATGCCTATAGTTTCAGCTACTTGGGAGGCTGAGGTGGGAGGATCCCTTGAGCCTAGGAGGTTGAGGCTGCAGTGAGCCGTGATCGCACCACTTCACTCCAGCCTGGGTGACAGAGCAAAATCCTGTCTCAAAATTAATAAATAAATGGAACAGGGATTAAGAGATCTTGAATTTAAAGTTTCTAGAATCTAAAATAAATTTTATTAAGAGCCACAGGCACAGAGGCTCACACCTTTATTCCTAGCAACTTGGGAGGCCAGGACAGGAGGATCACTTGAGCCCAGGAGTTCAAGACAAGCCTAGACAACAGAGCAAGACCCTGCCTCTACCACAAACATCAATAAGTAATGAACAAATTAGCCAGGCATGGTGGCGCATACCCGTGGTCCCAGCTACTCAGGAGGCTGAGGGGGGAGGATGATTTGAGCCCAGGAGTTTGAGACTTGAGTGAGTCATGATCGTGCCACTGCTCTCCAGCCTAGGCAACAGAGACCCTGCCTCAAAAAAGAAACAACTACAGTGGCCATGACATCATGGCAGCAATGGGCCGTGTGCCTGGCGTTGCATCCTTTCAGGGTCACGATGGTCTCAGGCAACAGTGGTGGCCTGCATGGGGGTCAAAGGGACTAAAACTAACCATGACCACAGATTATCCATCCATCCATACAACCAACCATATATCCAGCCAAAGAGCCACAGTCTGGACTATGTTATTTTTTTAAAACTACACACACTTATTTTTAAAAGCACAATTAACAAATGCAGTCTGATGATGGAAAAATTTGGCGAGTAAACAAAGTACTATCCTTTGTGAAAAGCTCAGAAACACCAACAAGCACAGGCTCAGTGATCACTGTAGGTCAGGTGCTGGAGGCCCAAGGGACAGGCTCGGTGATCACTGTGGGTCAGGCACTGGAGGCACAAGGACAGTTTACTCTGGGTCCCTCCCTGGAGGAGTGTCCAGTCTCATTTGGTCCCTGTGGAGGGCCAGGACTGGGCAAAGCCATCTTCTGCCCAGATGTGCACCTGGGGTTCTTTTGCTGGCCATATGCTCAGCCTCTGCTAGCCCTACCCTTTTGCCACATGTTGGCTCAGGAGATGGAATTTGTTTTTATTTATTTATTTTTATTATACTTTAAGTTTTAGGGTACATGTGCACAACATGCAGGTTTGTTACATATGTATACATGTGCCATGTTGGTGTGCTGCACCCATTAACTCGTCATTTACATTAGGTATATCTCCTAATGCTATCCCTTCCCCCTCCCCCCAGGAGATGGAATTTGAAAGCCCTTGGGGGCTTCATTCATTTGTTCTTTCTTTCTTTTTTTTTTCCTTCCTTCCTTCCTTCCCTCCTTTCTTTTTTCTTTTCTTTTTTTTTTTTTTTTTTGACGACAGAATCTTACCCTGTCACCCAGGCTGGAGTGCAGTGATGCGATCTAGGCTCACTGCAACCTCCGCCTCTCGGGTTCAAGTGATTTTTGTGCCTCAGCCTCCCGAGTGGCTGGGATTACAGTCTCCCACAACCACGCCCAGCTATTTTTTTGTGCTTTTAGTAGAGATGGGGTTTCCCCATGTTGGCCAGGCTGGTCTTGAACTCCTGACCTCAGGTGATCCGCCTGCCTCGGCCTCCCAAAGTGTTGGGATTACAGGCGTGAGCTATCACGCCTGGCTCATTCTTTCTTAGAGCCACTCCTTTGCATCCTTAGCAGCCCTTTCTTCTCTTCTTCATGGCTGGGGTGCAGGCTTGACTAGCAGGACCTGAGATGGTTCGCCCAGGTCCTTCCCTGCAGCCATTTATCAACCAGGAGCTTGATGAGGCTTAGGGTGATAAATCACCACTAATAATCACAGAGAATATAACAGTTTACAGTCAGGGTCATATGCAGCAGTTTATTGATTTCACCTGCTGTGCTGGGTGTGGGCATGAGGAGGGCCAGGAGCAAGATCTGGGCACTGCCACTCTGCCTGCCAAGTCTGCCATCTCTCGAGAGCCTACTATGTGCTAGCAACTATAAAGGAAGTTTTATATGCACAGCCATGCATCAATACGAACCGAACCAATCAATATTATTATGCTTATTTTACGGTTCAGAAAACAGGCTCTGCCAAAAACTACGCAGCTAGTAAGCAGCAGAGTTGAGATTGAATTCAGACTGAAGTTCTCCTTGTTAGACAATGCCAGTTCACAGACTGGTAGCTCTGTGGATGGTCATTCTAGAATAGCTCTGCCCTTATCATGCTTTTTTTTTTCTTTTCTTTTTTTAATGGTCTTGCTCTGTCATCCAGGCTGGAGCGCAGTGGTGCATAGCTCACTGCAGCCTCCAACTCTGGGACTCAGGGGATTCTCCTGCCTCAGCCTTCCGAGTAGCTAGGAAGCTGGGACTGTAGGGGCATACTACCATGCTTAGGTAATTATTTCTTTACTTTTTTTTTTTTTTTTTTTTTTTTGGAGAGATGGTGTCTCACTAAGTTGTCCAGGCTGGTCTTGAAACCCTGAGCTCAAGCAGTCCTCCCGCCTCGGCCTCCCAAAGTGCTTGGATTACAGGCCTGAGCCACCGCGCACAGCTGTCACCGTGCATTTTGGAGGCAGTGGTGATGCTGAGGTCGTGGGAGGCTCGTGACTGTTTTATTCCTTTATCCTGATGCTGCCCCCATGGCTCACAGTCTTTTCTTCTTTTCTTTTCCTCTTCACTGCGTGCCAGGGAGCTGGGGGCCAAAGACCAAGCCGAGTGTGATCCATTCGCGGTCTCCGCCAGGCAGCACGCCACGGCTGCCAGAAAGGCCTGGTCCTAGCAACCCCCCGGTGGGCCCTGCTCCTGGCAGGCACCCTCAGGACACGCCAGCTCAGTCGGGCCCGCTGGTGGCTGGCGATGACATGAAGAAGAAGGTCCGCATGAATGAGGACGGCAGCCTGTCCGTGGAGATGAAAGTCCGCTTCCACCTGGTCGGCGAGGACACGCTCCTATGGTCCCGGAGGATGGGCAGGGCCAGCGCCCTCACGGCAGCCAGTGGGGAAGACCCCGTTCTGGGGGAGGTAGACCCCCTCTGCTGTGTGTGGGAGGGCTACCCTTGGGGCTTCTCAGAGCCTGGGGTGTGGGGACCCCGGCCCTGCAGGGTGGGATGCAGGGAAGTCTTTGGCCGAGGCGGGCAGCCAGGGCCCAAGTATGAAATCTGGACGAATCCCCTGCATGCCTCCCAGGGAGAGAGAGTGGCAGCTCGGAAGAGGTGGGGACTGGCCCAGCACGTCCGCTGCAGTGGCCTGTGGGGCCACGGGACTGCCGGGAGGGAGAGATGCAGCCAGGACAGTGCCAGCCCAGCCTCCAGCACCGGCCTCCCCGAGGGCTCGGAGCCAGAGTCCTCCTGCTGCCCCAGGACCCCGGAGGACGGGGTGGACAGTGCCAGCCCCTCTGCCCAGATAGGGGCTGAGCGGAAAGCTGGAGGGAGCCTGGGTGAGGACCCCGGCCTATGCATAGATGGAGCAGGGCTGGGCGGCCCAGAGCAAGGCGGCCGCCTGACACCGAGGGCCCGGAGTGAGGAGGGGGCTTCTTCGGACTCGTCAGCCAGCACCGGCTCTCATGAGGGATCCAGCGAATGGGGTGGGCGGCCCCAGGGCTGTCCAGGCAAGGCAAGGGCCGAGACCTCTCAGCAGGAGGCCAGCGAGGGAGGCGACCCCGCTTCTCCAGCCCTGAGTCTTTCATCTTTAAGGAGTGACGACCTGCAGGCAGAGACGCAAGGACAGGGCACCGAGCAGGCCACGGGAGCGGCTGTGACAAGGGAGCCTCTGGTTCTGGGCCTTTCCTGCTCCTGGGACTCGGAAGGAGCCTCTTCCACCCCTTCCACCTGCACTTCATCCCAGCAGGGGCAGAGAAGGCACAGAAGCCGGGCCAGTGCAATGTCCTCACCCAGCAGCCCTGGCCTTGGCCGAGTGGCCCCGAGAGGCCATCCCAGGCATTCTCACTACCGCAAGGACACCCACAGCCCACTGGACTCCTCTGTAACCAAGCAAGTGCCGAGGCCTCCTGAGCGGCGAAGGGCCTGCCAGGATGGCTCAGTGCCACGATATTCTGGAAGCTCATCGAGCACCAGGACACAGGCCTCTGGGAACCTGAGACCTCCCTCCTCGGGCTCTCTTCCTTCCCAGGACCTTCTGGGAACCAGCAGTGCCACTGTCACCCCTGCAGTCCACTCGGATTTTGTTTCTGGAGTCTCCCCGCACAACGCTCCCTCTGCCGGGTGGGCAGGGGACGCGGGGTCCAGGACATGCTCGCCGGCCCCCATACCTCCCCACACATCCGACTCCTGCTCAAAATCTGGGGCTGCCAGCCTGGGGGAAGAGGCCAGGGACACGCCTCAGCCCTCCTCACCCTTGGTTCTGCAGGTTGGACGGCCTGAGCAAGGGGCGGTGGGCCCCCACCGAAGCCACTGCTGCTCACAGCCTGGGACGCAGCCGGCCCAAGAGGCCCAGCGGGGACCCTCCCCTGAGGCTAGCTGGCTGTGTGGCAGGTACTGTCCCACCCCGCCCAGGGGGCGGCCCTGCCCCCAGAGGCGCTCTTCCAGCTGTGGGAGCACCGGCAGCAGCCACCAAAGCACTGCCCGGGGGCCAGGTGGGAGCCCGCAGGAGGGGACACGCCAGCCAGGCCCCACGCCGTCCCCAGGCCCCAATTCAGGGGCATCAAGGAGAAGCAGTGCCAGCCAGGGTGCGGGGTCTCGGGGGCTGTCCGAGGAGAAGACCTTGAGGAGTGGGGGAGGCCCCCAGGGGCAGGAGGAGGCCAGTGGTGTGTCACCCAGCTCTCTGCCCCGCTCGTCTCCAGAGGCTGTGGTCCGCGAATGGCTGGACAACATTCCAGAAGAGCCCATACTCATGACATATGAGTTGGCGGACGAGACCACAGGTGCAGCTGGGGGTGGCCTGAGAGGCCCCGAGGTGGACCCTGGGGATGACCATTCTCTGGAAGGCCTGGGGGAGCCAGCTCAGGCGGGACAGCAGTCCCTGGAAGGGGACCCCGGCCAGGACCCAGAGCCAGAGGGAGCCCTCCTGGGGAGTAGTGACACTGGTCCCCAATCAGGAGAGGGTGTCCCCCAAGGGGCAGCTCCAGAGGGAGTTTCCGAGGCCCCTGCAGAGGCCGGAGCAGACAGAGAGGCCCCAGCAGGCTGCAGGGTGAGCCTGCGGGCACTTCCTGGCCGGGTGTCTGCCTCCACGCAGATCATGAGGGCGCTGATGGGCTCCAAGCAGGGCCGGCCCAGCAGCGTGCCCGAAGTGTCTAGGCCCATGGCCAGGAGGCTCAGCTGCTCAGCCGGGGCCCTCATTACTTGTCTGGCCAGTCTGCAGTTATTTGAGGAAGACCTTGGGTCTCCTGCCAGCAAAGTGAGGTTCAAAGACTCCCCTCGGTACCAGGAGCTGCTCAGCATCTCGAAGGACCTGTGGCCAGGATGTGACGTTGGGGAAGACCAGCTGGACTCAGGCCTCTGGGAGCTCACATGGAGCCAGGCTCTGCCAGACCTTGGGTCCCATGCCATGACGGAGAACTTCACGCCCACATCCTCCTCTGGTGTGGACATCAGCAGCGGCTCTGGAGGCTCAGGGGAGAGTAGCGTACCCTGTGCCATGGACGGCACCCTGGTGACACAGGGGACAGAGCTGCCCCTGAAAACCTCCAACCAGAGGCCTGATTCAAGAACTTATGAGAGCCCAGGGGATCTGGAAAACCAACAGCAGTGTTGTTTCCCAACCTTCTTGAACGCCCGAGCCTGCGCTTGTGCCACCAATGAGGATGAAGCAGAAAGAGACAGTGAGGAGCAGAGGGCGAGCTCGAACCTGGAGCAGTTAGCTGAAAACACAGTGCAAGAAGAGGTGCAATTAGAGGAAACTAAAGAAGGAACAGAAGGAGAAGGGCTGCAAGAAGAGGCGGTGCAGTTAGAGGAAACTAAAACAGAAGAAGGGCTGCAAGAAGAGGGGGTGCAGTTAGAGGAAACTAAAGAAACAGAAGGAGAAGGACAGCAAGAAGAAGAGGCGCAGTTAGAGGAAATTGAAGAAACAGGAGGAGAAGGGCTGCAAGAAGAGGGGGTGCAGTTAGAGGAAGTTAAAGAAGGGCCAGAAGGAGGACTGCAAGGAGAGGCTCTTGAAGAGGGTCTCAAAGAGGAAGGACTTCCAGAAGAAGGAAGCGTCCACGGGCAGGAATTGTCAGAGGCCAGCTCTCCGGATGGGAAAGGCTCCCAGGAAGATGACCCAGTCCAGGAGGAGGAAGCAGGAAGAGCCTCTGCCTCTGCAGAGCCGTGCCCCGCAGAGGGCACAGAGGAACCCACAGAGCCCCCTAGTCATCTCAGCGAGACGGACCCAAGTGCCAGCGAGAGGCAGAGTGGCTCCCAGCTTGAGCCTGGTTTGGAAAAGCCGCCCGGAGCCACCATGATGGGCCAAGAGCACACGCAGGCCCAACCCACCCAGGGGGCTGCAGAGAGGAGCTCTTCGGTGGCCTGCAGCGCGGCTCTGGACTGCGACCCCATCTGGGTGTCCGTGTTACTGAAGAAGACGGAGAAGGCCTTCCTGGCCCACCTTGCCAGTGCGGTGGCTGAGCTCCGAGCACGCTGGGGCCTGCAGGACAATGATCTGCTGGACCAGATGGCGGCCGAGCTGCAGCAGGACGTGGCCCAACGCCTCCAGGACAGCACCAAGAGAGAGCTCCAGAAGCTCCAGGGCCGGGCGGGTAGGATGGTGCTGGAGCCTCCAAGGGAGGCCCTCACCGGGGAGCTGCTCCTGCAGACCCAGCAGCGCAGACACCGTCTCCGGGGCCTGCGAAACCTCTCGGCCTTCTCTGAGCGGACCCTGGGCCTGGGGCCCCTCTCCTTCACCCTGGAGGACGAGCCAGCCCTCAGCACAGCCCTGGGGAGCCAGCTGGGCGAGGAGGCGGAGGGGGAGGAGTTCTGTCCCTGCGAGGCCTGCGTGAGGAAGAAAGTGAGCCCTATGTCCCCCAAGGCCACAATGGGGGCAACCAGAGGTCCCATCAAAGAGGCCTTTGACCTGCAGCAGATTCTGCAGAGGAAGAGGGGAGAACACACTGATGGGGAGGCAGCAGAGGTGGCCCCTGGCAAGACCCACACGGACCCCACGAGCACTAGGACTGTCCAGGGAGCTGAGGGAGGGCTGGGGCCGGGGCTGAGCCAGGGGCCTGGAGTGGACGAGGGTGAGGATGGCGAGGGGAGCCAGAGACTCAACAGAGACAAAGATCCCAAACTCGGGGAGGCAGAGGGAGATGCAATGGCTCAGGAGAGAGAAGGGAAAACCCACAACAGTGAAACCAGTGCGGGCAGTGAGTTGGGGGAAGCTGAGCAGGAGGGAGAGGGCATAAGTGAAAGGGGAGAAACTGGGGGTCAAGGCTCTGGGCATGAGGACAACTTGCAGGGTGAAGCTGCGGCAGGAGGTGACCAAGATCCAGGACAGAGTGATGGGGCCGAAGGCATAGAGGCCCCGGAGGCTGAAGGGGAGGCCCAGCCAGAGTCAGAAGGTGTAGAGGCCCCAGAGGCAGAAGGGGATGCCCAGGAGGCTGAAGGGGAGGCCCAGCCAGAGTCAGAAGATGTAGAGGCCCCAGAGGCAGAAGGAGAGGCCCAGCCAGAGTCAGAAGATGTAGAGACCCCAGAGGCAGAATGGGAGGTCCAGCCAGAGTCAGAAGGTGCAGAAGCCCCGGAGGCAGAAAAGGAGGCCCAGCCAGAGACAGAAAGTGTAGAGGCCCTGGAGACTGAAGGGGAGGACGAGCCAGAGTCAGAAGGTGCAGAGGCCCAAGAGGCAGAAGAGGCGGCCCAGGAGGCAGAAGGGCAGACCCAGCCAGAGTCAGAAGTTATAGAGTCCCAGGAGGCAGAAGAGGAAGCCCAGCCAGAGTCAGAAGATGTAGAGGCCCTGGAGGTTGAAGTGGAGACCCAGGAGGCAGAAGGGGAGGCCCAGCCAGAGTCAGAAGATGTAGAGGCCCCAGAGGCTGAAGGGGAGATGCAAGAGGCAGAAGAGGAGGCCCAGCCAGAGTCAGACGGTGTAGAGGCCCAGCCAAAGTCAGAAGGTGAAGAGGCCCAGGAGGTTGAAGGGGAGACCCAGAAGACAGAAGGGGATGCCCAGCCAGAGTCAGACGGTGTAGAGGCCCCGGAGGCAGAAGAGGAGGCACAGGAGGCTGAAGGGGAGGTCCAGGAGGCAGAAGGGGAGGCCCACCCAGAGTCAGAAGATGTAGATGCCCAGGAGGCAGAAGGGGAGGCCCAGCCAGAATCAGAAGGTGTAGAGGCCCCAGAGGCAGAAGGGGAGGCCCAGAAGGCAGAAGGTATAGAGGCCCCAGAGACTGAAGGGGAGGCCCAGCCAGAGTCAGAAGGTATAGAGGCCCCAGAGGCTGAAGGGGAGGCCCAGCCTGAGTCAGAAGGTGTAGAGGCCCAGGATGCAGAAGGGGAGGCCCAGCCAGAGTCAGAAGGTATAGAGGCCCAGGAGGCTGAAGAGGAGGCCCAACCAGAGTTAGAAGGTGTAGAGGCCCCAGAGGCAGAAGGGGAGGCCCAGCCAGAGTCAGAAGGTATAGAGGCCCCAGAGGCAGAAGGGGAGGCCCAACCAGAGTTAGAAGGTGTAGAGGCCCCGGAGGCTGAAGAGGAGGCCCAGCCAGAGCCAGAAGGCGTAGAGACCCCGGAGGCTGAAGGGGAGGCCCAGCCAGAGTCAGAAGGAGAAACTCAAGGTGAGAAAAAGGGGAGCCCTCAGGTCAGTCTAGGAGATGGCCAATCTGAGGAGGCTTCTGAAAGCAGCAGCCCAGTCCCTGAGGACAGGCCCACTCCACCCCCTTCCCCAGGTGGAGACACTCCCCACCAAAGGCCAGGCTCCCAAACAGGCCCTTCCTCCTCCAGAGCATCCTCTTGGGGCAACTGCTGGCAGAAAGACTCAGAAAATGACCATGTACTTGGAGACACAAGGAGCCCTGATGCCAAGTCCACGGGGACCCCTCATGCAGAGAGGAAGGCCACCAGGATGTACCCAGAAAGTTCTACTTCTGAGCAAGAAGAGGCCCCTTTGGGCTCAAGGACTCCAGAGCAGGGGGCCAGTGAAGGTTATGACCTACAAGAGGACCAGGCACTCGGAAGTCTCGCCCCCACTGAGGCAGTGGGCAGGGCAGACGGCTTTGGCCAAGATGACTTAGATTTCTAGACAAGATCAAGCTAGAAAACAATCACGAGCTTGGGAGCTCTGTTTTTATTCATATTTTTTCTACAAAACTGAGCAACGTTCAGTCCACTGGAGATGTCCATAGTACATGGACAAAGACCAAGGACTTGCCAAGGACACAGCCCATGCCATGCTGTCCTGGGACTCTTAAGTCCAGAAGTGTCAGAGAGCTCTGCGGCCCGTCCCACACGCAGTGTGAAGAAAGGGGGTGTCTGCGGATCTGCCCGGTTATCGGAGGTCAGCCCGGCTCCTATTTATTTGTCTGCAGAGCCCGAAAGATGGAACTGATTGGAAAGGCTCCAGTTTAGCTTTTGTTTGTGGGTTTGTTTTCTGCTAGCAAGTGTTGCTCTCTGTCTTTTCCCTGTTGATCTCCTGTTACTTTTCTCCTTGGCTTCTGTTGGCACTCACCTCATTTGACTTTGAGGTGCTTTTTTTCTAGTCTTGAATATATTTGATGACTCTGCAGAAATACTTGGGCAAAGCAGGTAACTTCAGAGTCATTGGATAAAGTTTGTTCTCAACTCCAAAGTCCAAGTTGTTTTTTCTTAATTCATACATTTTGTAATGAAAAAATGGAAAATGCAGAAAAAAGCAGAGAGGAAGAAATAATCCTGTCACTCGGAGACTTCTGTTTGCAATTGAATGTATTTCCTTCTCCTCCTAACCATTTTACAGTTGAGATGATTCTTTATATATATATTTACATATGTTTTAAAAACTTAACAATGTAAAGATTTCCCCTATTTATCTCAGAATCATCATAAACCTATCTCTTAACATTATTCATAAACCTGAATAATGTGCCATTAACGAGTATATTGAATACTTTCTCATTTTCCTATTTTTGACCTTTTAGATGGTTTCCTTTATTTTGCTCTTAACACTTTTTTTTTTCTTGAACTTCTGATTAATTCCTTAGGATAGACTCCCAGACATGGAATTACCAGGCCAAAGGATATCAACATTTTTAAGGCTTTTGATATCCTGCAGCCAAACTGTTTTTTCTAAAGATCTGTACTCACGGTGAGAGTATGATCAGTGTTTGGTATTGTCATTAAAATTGAAAAATCATTTGCAAATTTCATTGGCAAAAAAATAGTATCTTATTTTAATGAGGTACTATCTTAGATATAAATTTGATAACTAATGAAATTAAAATTTTTTCTAGGTTTTAAAAAACTATTTGAATATAAATGATTTGTGCATGCTTTTGACCCATTTTTCTACTGAGATCCCACCTTTTTTTTTCTTTTAATGAATTGATTTGCCTGTGCCCTTTATAAATTTTTTTAAATTCTATTTCTCATTTGCAAGATTTTAAAAATGCCCTCTCTGCACACCCTTCAAAAGCAGGGCTTAGACTGAGCCACATGCAGGTAGAGAGCTCCTGGATGGGGTAGAATGTCTTTGACTGGTTCTCACTGGCTTTCCTGCATATACCAGAGCATTCATTTTGTGGCATCCAGATGTATTAAAATGGAGTCTGTGCTACAATGGCAGGTACTGCCCCTGGTTATCTAAATGTATCCACACAAAGCAAAGGTTGGGTATCTGTTGTCTGTACATGTCTGCAGTCTTCTGTCTACAAATGGAGATGTTATTTAAAAATTCTGACATGTGCCAGGCATAGTGGCTCACGGCTGTAATCCCAGCATTTTGGGAGGCCGAGGCAGGCAGATCACCTGAGGTCAGGAGTTCGAGACCAGCCTGGCCAACATGGTGAAACCCCATCTCTACTAAAAATACAAAAATTAGCAGGGCCTGGTGATGCATGCCTGTAATCCGAGCTACTCGGGAGGCTGAGGCAGGAGAATCACTTGAACCCAGGAGGCGGACGTTGCAGTGAGCCAAGATTGTGCCACTGCACTCCAGCCTGGGTGACAGAGTGATACTCTGTCTCAAAAAAAAAAGAAAATTGACATGTTTTAAAAATGTTCTGCAAAGGTGATTCCTTAAGGTGTTTACAATAAAAGCATAATTTTATATAAATGTAAACTATGATATATTTGGGGGGTAGTGTTTCTTCATATTGGATGAAGGGCTGGTGAAGAATTACACTCACAAGTCACATGTCAATCAGAACTGGCATCTTAGCTAGAAGCCCCCAGTGGAACAGATTGCACTGTGAGCTTGTTCTGGAAATGGTGACATGTAGAGGCGTGCAGCACTTGTCACCACTACTGGCTGGCATGAAGCATCCACCGGGCACCTCTTCTGTGATTTGAAGTCCCCATTCTTTCTCTGAGAGATGCTCCAACCCCTTTGTTTCACTCCCTGCCCCCCCACCCCCACCCCAATGCTAGTGACAGCCAGTCCTGTCACCTACTGACCTGGCACCTCATTAAAATGGCATTGTCCATCTCTAGTTAACAGCATGCAATGAAAAGAGCATGGGACCTGGAGCTGAGGGACCTGGAGCTGAAGGGCCTGGGCTGAAGTCCCAGTGACCCCCAACTCAGTTTCAGCATCTGCCAAATGGGCTAAATGATGTTTTCCTCACTGTAGTGTTGAGAAATAGATAATATGAAACTTTATTACACACATGGTGGGGATAGATGCATATTTTAATTATAACTGCTAAGTATTTAGTGCCTACAATGTGTCACGTATCATACTAGACTCTTGATATAAATGATCATTTGTGAGATTTAAACTTCTCAACATGTCTGTGAAATAGGCAAGTAGGTGTTCCATTTCACAAATGGAGAAACCGAGGCTTAGAAGAGAGACAGACTTGCCCAGACTCACACAGCTAGTTAGGAACAAAGCCAGGATTTAAACTCAGATATTTCAGACTCCAAAGTCCACATCTTCCATTGTATCATAATTTTTCTTTTTTGTTTTGATTTAGATCCTGTAAATAAACACCTTAGCTAGAGGTAGCCAACACCTTGTTGAATGACGTTACTGCAAGGTAGTGACTACTTAGGGGAGTAAATTAAATGGGATTTTTGGTTCAGCTGATTCCATTCTGCCTCCAGCAATGTTCTCCTTCTGTACAGATATCAGCAGCTGCAGATAACCTGGGTTTATAAAGCCGATCATTAAACTGAAAAGTTACCTGCATTAAAATGAAGTTATCTGCCCATGGGATTCTCCTTTTAGTTTGCAAACACACCCACCCCGTATGTCTGCAGTTTATATTTAAAAAATTTGTTAATGGACAACTCTGTGTTTCCTTCTGACCTGGAGATAAAGAATTTCAGGGCCATCGGCTGAGAGGATTTTTGTGTCTTCTCCTTGATTCCTTTCTCTACAGCACTCTTTCAGCATCTCTTAAAATGCTGGCATTCCTATAGCCTCAGCCTGCCCCAAATCAAAACCCATGTCATGTGTCACTCAGATGCTGACGAAGCAAACATAGTATCAGCATAATGTGAAAGCTTTTGGCCAGGGGAGTTTCTCCTTGAAGGGGAAGGGGAGGGAACCACGCCCTTTTCTCCTGTCTATTGTCCAGCTGGTGGGGATCAGAGACTCCAGTTGAAAAGGATCACCGTTTAGGGGTTAGAACGAAAGACCCATGTCCAGCCCCACACCTAGAGATGCCGACTTTATCAGTCTAGGGCAGGGCTTCAGCACAGTGCTCTTGGAGGGGTTTGAAGTTCAGTGGAGGTAGGTGACGGCTGATTCAGTCCAAAACACCACAGCTGTATGAGTGGCTGAGCCCAGACCAGATTCCAGGCCTTTCTCCATCTCTCACTCAATATCCCCCATCCTAGAACTAGGAGAGGCCCTGCAGAGAAACGCAGGCAGGCAGCAAAGCCACTCCCTTGTCATCCAGACCAGTTGTCCCCTCACCCACATGCCCCCATTCCTCTCCATTCAAACTCCCTGCGTCATTGGGGTCTCCACGCGAGGACAGGCTGTGTCTCCAGAAGGGCCCGTCTAGCCTGGCCAGGGGAGAAGGGGACCCATCCTTAATCTTATGAAGCGTTCAACATAAGTGCATGCTTGGAACCGGGAGGTTCCTGAGGTTTTCAAAGATCTCACAGGCCCGTGGGTTTTTTTCCTTCAGTTAAATGAACATGAAAACCACCTACGGGGCTTTAAGATGAACAGTTCCACTTATGAAATTCTGATCCAGTGTGTCCGAGGCCTAGGAATGTGCATTTCACCAAGCTCCCAGAGGAAAGCGGGCACAAACCCCCGCCGCCTGCCTGCATTCTACATCCGGGCCACCCTCCCACCAGGATGTGTGGTCCTCGGAGGGGCTGAGCACCTCTCACCAGCCCCGGCCCGAAAAACGCACACACGGACACGCACACACACACGCACACACAGACAGCTGCTTCCTTGCTCTCATTATGTAGTCTCCCCAAGGGACAGTGGGGGTCAGCCAGAGTCAAGCTCCCGCTCCGTCTTCCTCTCCGGAGAGGCAATTAGGGTGGATCCGGAGCCATCTCCCTCCTCTGACCCTCCTGCCCCCGTGTCCACAGGCACAGCTGGCAGTCCAGGCCCCCATCTATGGAGACGGGACTCAGCCCGCACAGACACACGCCTGGGCTGCAAAGGCGCCGGGGCTCGCTCCCTCTCACTAACCAAGTACCCCGAGCAGAGGGACCCTGGCTTGTTTCGTGACTTCCGCTGGATCCAGCCAGGACTGGCCTCCTGGGGTCATCGGCCTGGGGTCTGAACTGAGCCTCCAGATCCAGGCGGCGGGCGGCAGCCTCATAGCGCTCGTCTAGGGACCAGGTCTCCAACCTCCCATTGGTTCAACCCTCACCCTGAGAGGCTGACCGAGCCCACCTGTGCCCTCCTAGGTCCCACATTTTGAGACCTGGTTGGGGTGATCATGGCCCCAGGCACTCAGATTGTGGGTGAGGCCCCTGCAGCCCTGTGAGTGAGGAGCATACTCCCCTCCGGCCCTGCCCGCCTCCTCCATCACCTCTTTCTCTCCTCCCCTCTCCGCTCACCGCCCCCACCACCCGCTGGGCCCCAAATCACTGCTGGCTATGATCCTATTTTCCAAAGGCTGGAGTGTTCTCAGTCATCATGTCCCTAGACGGTGGTGGCCAGCACTCCTAAGACACTGATCCCAACTTGGTGACCATCTCTGGCCCTCTCTAGCCCATTTCTGGCACCTCGAATGGGGAACGTCGGCGTCTCCCTATCCTCCACTCACTGCCCGCCTCTGCCCTCAGCCCCCTGGGTGAGCCCATCCGTGCTCTGCTGTTCCTGCTCCTGCTTTTGAGCAGAGGACTCCCAAGTCCATGGCTCAGGCCCAGGATCTCTCTCAGCTCCCTTCACCACATTGCCTGGGAGCCACACACCCAGCAGAAGGCACCCTCTGTCCTCGTCCTCAGCCTGCTCTTGTCCCCATGGCTAGACCTGGCCCCCAGCCATCCCAGGCTTATCCATCCCCACCCCCAGCTCCCAGCCCTGAATCAACTAAAGCTGCCCCAGGCCCAGCAGTTCCTGCCTTCCCAACCCCTCCACCTGCCTCCTCAGGGTGTCCCCACATCTAGACTTGCCCACGCCACTCTGTCCTCACCACTTGCCACCACTTGCCTCTGGAAAAGAGAAAGCTCGCCATGCTGCTTCTGCCTGCAACTGCCCAAGGGCCTCTCACCACCCCCAGCCAGGGCCAGCCCCTCAGCCTGGGTTCTGCTTACCCCATTTCCCTACCTCCCTTCCTCCCCTCCTCCTCCTTCTCTCTCCTCCCGCCCCTCCCCTGTCCTAGCCTGCTGTCCCCTCCCTCTTCACCCATCTTCCTCTTGCCCCAGCATAGCAGCTCCCAGTGTCCAGGAAGCCACCACTCCAGCACCAGATGCCTGGGCCTGCAGGGCCTTTGCTCTAGGGAGTACTCCATGCCCGTCCTGGGCACAGCACCCACAGGCTCACACCAGCCTGGGCTAAAGGGCCTTTGCCCTGTGGAGCACCCAGCCCCTTCCTGGGCTCAGAGTGTGCCCACAGGCCCACACCACTGCCTTGGAGGTCAGGGCTGCCCACGGCCCCTCCTGCTGCCGGCCTGCTGACCGTGACCTGCACATCACAGATGCCTACCAAAAGCCTTATTGTTAATGACTTGGAAAAAAAAATGTATTTTTACTAAGATATTTTACTGAAGCTCAGGGACGAGGAGGAGGTTTCCTCCTGACTCCCTTTCCAAGGAGGGTGGCTCAGGTGCACCCTGCCCAGGCCCCGTCCTGGAGGCAGCACCGGGGAGGCGGAGGGCAGGCTCTGGGGTGCACCGAGGGGTTCCAGCCTGGCTGCACCAGGAGCTGCCGTTCACTGAATTGCCTACATCTGGAAAGGAGGAAATTAATAGTCCCCACCCCACTGAGGTGTTGAGATGCCTGAGACAAGGCTGCAAAGCCATCAGCCGCCCCTGGTCACCACGGAAGCTCCTTGTTGGCAAATGTCATCACTCTGTTCCTTTTTTTCTTTCTTTCTTTTTGAGACAGAGTGTAGCTCTGTCACCCAGGCTGGAGTGCAGTGACACGATCTCAGCTCACTGCAATCTCTGCCTCCCGGGTTCAAGCGATTCTCCTGCCTCAGCCTCCAGAGTAGCTGAGATTACAGGCATGCGCCACAACACCAGGCTAATTTTTGTATTTTTAGTAGAGACGGGGTTTCAACATGTTGGCCAGGCTGGTCTGAAACTCCGACCTCAGGTGATCCGCCCACCTCGGCCTCCCAAAGTGCTGTAATTACAGGGGTGAGCCGCTGCGCCCAGCCGCTGTGTTCCTTTTATCTAGCACAGTTGGGTATGTCAGTCCAAGAAAAGCAACTTGAGGCATTTTATTTGGGGGTGAGGGAGTTTCCCCTAAGACCAAGGCTGATATGCTCCAGTGAGAGGGGAGCAGGATGTGGGTGGATGCTGTGGATGCTACAGGCAGCAGGGGCCTCCCCGAAAGCAGTGGGACAGTGACGCTTGGCCCAAGCTTGTGGAACGAGCTTTGATGCGGGAGATAACGGTGGGGGACGTTCCAGATGGAGGTGGCCACAGGAGTGTGGAAACAGAGAGGCCAAGCATGGTCTCAGATGGTGAAGAGGGAATAGTCAGGGGCGCAGGTTAGAGAGTGCATGGATGTGTGCAGGGCCCCACTGCTGAGGACCTTGGGACCTCCGGACCCCAGGACAGCCCTGTCCTTGGGCAGAGGTATAGACGCAGCCCTGGGATCAGCTGGGGTCTGACTGAGGTCTGCACTCCGGGAGCTGCACCACTGCCTTTTCCCCTGGGCTTGGGTCCTCACCTGGGGAACTCAGCTCTGCCTGGGAATTCCTTCCATGGGGACTTTGCCTTGTTCTTAAAGATGCAATCTCCTCCCTCTCCCCAGTACAACTTTCCTTCACTCATTGCACTCTTAATATCTATACCACAAAGGCTTTTGTGTGCAGAGTCACTTTTAATCCTGACAACATCCCTGCAAGTTTGTCTTGGATGAAGAGACAGGTTCAGAAGAGACTCCTCCAAGGACATTCGGCAGGTGGATGCCAAAGGCAGGATTTGAACCAAACCCCACTTCCTCCAAGGAGGGGCTCCCTTTTCCACACAGCCTGCCCTAACCCTATGGGCCAAGAGTCCTCTGGCCTGCACCCCCTGGGCTGGGCTTCACCCCCATCATCTCTCCTCGAAGCCCCATGGCCCCTGGCTGCTCTGGCGGAGCCTCGCTGGGCTGCACTCTGGGCCCTGCCCTCAGTCTGCAGGACAGAACCTCCCAGACTCTTCTAGGTTGTGTCTCAACCCCACCCCAGGACCCGACCTGACACCCTCCACCGGCCTGTCTTTTCTAAGGAACAGGGATTCTGCGGTTTTCCAACTGTGGGCAGTCTTGGAAAAGTGTCGAGTGTTTTTGCTCGTCCCAGGGATGGGGGACGCCGGTGCTGTTTTACCTGCAGGGGTCAGAATACCAAACATCCTGCAGTACATGGGCCTGTCCCACATGAGGAAAAATAGCCTTGCTCCCAATGCCCCAGTGACTGCTCCACTCTACAGCTGAAGAGACTGAAGTTCAGGGTCACGGTGCCTGGCCCAGAGCCCACAGCCAGGAGGGGTTGAGCATTCCCCTCCTGATTCCTCAGCCTTCCCACTGCATCCCAGAAGGAGCAAGACTGCCCCAACACTCCAGCCTGGCTCAGCACCACCCTGTCTCCAGGCAAAGCAACGGACTGGGTGACTTCCCAAAGCTCCACCAACCACAACAATTCCAAGAAAGGGCAAAGCCAGAGACAGGCACCCGCGGGGTTAAGCAGTGGAAAAGTGGGAAGGGCGAGAGCTGGAAAGTGACTCATCTCCCTGGAAAAGGCTGGGCCCCGCATTCTATTTGCCCCAACACCGTGAGATTGTAGTTGGCTTGTGAGAGACAGGCCCCGGCAGGACAGGCAGCTTCCCAAAGTGTTGGGGACCCAGAGGTACAGAGAATGCTTTACAGCTCTTCTGTTCTGCCATCGAGTAGCAATGGGTCTTTTCTCATTTTTGACCTCAGCTTCCAAGTACACCTGAGCTCCCCAAATGCACATCAGAATTAAACCTGCAAAAAGTTCTGAATTCAAGAGATGAAGGTGAGGAAAGAAAACTATAGGATAAGATGAGTCCATTCCCTCCTGGGTCAAGAACTCTTCACCCCTACTATGAAGCTAGATGGTGCCCACTGCATCCTGGTCTGAGCAGCTGTTCTGGGTCAGGCCATGTGGCAGCAGCTGAGGCCGCACAGTTGAAAGCACTGCCCCTTCCTGTCCCCACTTCAGTGCACACCTGCCGTGTGCACCACCTCTTACTCCCCAGGGGTTCGTTGGTCACAGGTACTGCCCTCCTGATGGATAAGTGACAGAATAGAATAGCAGTCCTACTCCATGCACCCAGGGGTCACAGTGACAGCACCGAACCCAGAGGGTGGCTGAGGAAATGGAGAGATGCAGAGAAGTGGCCTGGACAGCAAGTGCCATGTGAGGTCCTGGGCCGGGGACAGTAGCACTGAGAGGCTTCTCCCGGAGGTAGGGCTTGGGCTAGGATGGCTAGTGGTCACGAGCTGGGGCTAGGGGGCTGAGGGGACCTTAGGATGCGGTGAGTCCAATCACGAGAAACCACAGACAGGTTACACAGCATGCACATGTGTGCATGTGTGCACACGTGCATATGTGTTTATGTGCATGTATTGGGGGGACGGAATGGTCTCTGGGTAGTTGGCGTGGGGCAGAGAGGGAGCTGAGAGTGACAGAAATGCTGCCCAGTTGAGGAGGGGACTCTGATGTCCCCCAGGCCGGAGACCTGAGAGGCGCACATTTGGAAGGTGTGAGTGTGTTGGTAGAGTGGCCGACACTGGGAGGAGGAAGCGTGGGACCTCCTCAGGGTCTATCAGAAGAATAACGTGGAGCTTTGGCCAATGAGGGGCAGGCCCGCGAGGTCCTGCCTGTGGCCTTGTGAAGATGGGGCTTCAGCCAGCCCAGCCGCCAGCTCAAGGCCTGTCCCTGGGTTGAAGGCCACGCAGCCACCAGGTCCCCCAAACACAGACCCAGAAAGGAGTGGCTGAGAGTCGGAGAGAGGTGAGGGTCACTATCGGTCGGGCTTGTTTCTTGTAGGGGACGTGGCTGTGTGTGGCAGAGAGAGCCCAGGACTATCAGGATGCCTGGGTTCCTGAGGGAGGGCATTCAGGCCAGCATGAGGAGTCTGGCCTTCTCTCTTCCAGATGTTTCTGCCTGAGGCCACACACTTCTCCAGCCAGAATGGCCTTCCTTACTACGCCTGGCTTCTCATGCCAGCTCTGTCCCCAACCAGCATGGTGACCCAGGGTGCCTATGTCTCTGGAGGACTCAGGCGCCCCTTCTCCGCTCTGGGAGCCAAGGATTCGAGAGGCCCATGCTGTGGTTAGCAGCCACAGCACCAGTGCCAAGACGAGAAAGGAGGACTTCTCACCATACCCAGAAACCCTCGGTGTCTAGGGCTGTGACAGTCAGCCACTGAAGCCCCGTCGCTGTTTCCCAATTCTCATGCCATAGAAGCACAGGACTTTGCCACCAGGAGGGCCACACGCCTGCTGCGTCTTAGCTCTGCCATGCTGTCTCTCCGTGTCACTGCAGCTTGTGTAGTGCAGCGCTCTCATTCGAGAGAGAACAGCATAGAGGCCCAGAGAGGTTGTGTCCCTGCCTAAGGTCACACAGCAAGTCAGTGCCAAGCTAGGCGTAGGAACCGGGTTCTCTGATTTGCAGGCTCCATGGGCCTGAGAGAGTAAGCATCAGATCGCCACCTTCCTGCACAGGGGTGGGCACAGGGCCGGGGTGGGGAGGGCAGCGTTCTGGCCTAATTAAGACGCTGTCGAAGAGCGGGAATGTGAGAGGCCCTGCTCGGAGATTAGTGCCCCTCCATAGATCATAGGCACGGCAAGGACATAATAAATAATCTGCCCAAAGGTTTTAAAGGTAAAAATCAGCAAACCATTAATAACGTCCCCAGCACCATACATCACGCTGAAATCTTCCCATTACGCCGCTCCCTGAGCCGATGTGTGTTTTCTTTGCTGTCTTTTTTTTGGGGGGAGGGGTGCGGGGCAATTACAGTTGATTTTATTCTTTTTAAAAAACATTTTGCTTTAAGTTTTGGGAAATGTGCAGAACGTGCCGGTTTGTTGCGTAAGTACACATGTGCCATGGTGGTTTGCTGCACCTGTCAACCGAGGTTTTAAGCCCCACATGCATTAGGCATTTGTCCTAATGCTCTCCCTCCCCTTGCTCCCAACTCCCCAACAGGCCTCGGTGTGTGATGTTCCCTCCCTGTGCCTTTTTTCCCTCCCCTTTCTAGTGTGTTCCTCCGGAGCCTTGAAGCCCCTTCCACGCAGCCTGCTGAGCCCAAACGAGGATGCAAAGCCTTTCAGGGTTTACACCCGGTTTACACTCAGGCGTGGTGGCAGCCAGGGGGTGAGACGGGAGCTGCCCACTCCCTCTCTCAGCACTCTAGGCTCTGCTTCCACATGTCCTTCCAGGAAACAGGATGGAGTCTCAACCACCCCCTGCATCCCAGCTCTAAGCAGTCACAGCTCTGCTGCTTCTCAGAAACAGAAGACGTTTAATTAATTAATGCAACAGGGCCCCGTTAAATAACAGAAGTGCTGATGGTGCGTTTTCCATCCCTGGCTTGCCTTCCCTCAGTCGGGAGCCCCAAGGCAGGAGCCCCGAGGCAGCCAGCAGGCACTGGGGTCCTGGTTCCCCACATTTGGGGGTCTGGATGCATTTATTTAGCATTTGCGGGTGAGCTGTGGTGTGCAGCAAATCAAGAGCTGGGGAAGGAGTGAGGAAGATCAAGGAGAGAGCAGCTAGAACAGTGGCCCAGGCTGGGCCAGTCCCATCCTGGCAGGTAGCGCTATGAGCGGGTGACTTGCCCTGGGGTGCAGGGAGGCACGGGGTTGTGGCAGCGCAGGAGCAGAACCAGGGGCTGTGCCGGGGTGTCCTCTCCAGCACAGGGGGTGAGACCTTGACCGAGCCACACCCTTTTGACCTGAACCTCCTCAGCGGCACAGCAGGTGACTTATTCGACGATTCTGTGAAGTTCTTTGCGGGTCCCAGGCCTCGCTCCTTCATTAATTCCTTGAAGGAGACGTGGATTGAGAAGCTCCTAACACTGCCGCGGTGAAAGTGGTCTCTGGAACGAAGAATCGAGACTGAAGACAGAAGAATTCCGTACTCACCAGTTGTTGGCTTCTGGGAAGACCCCCTAGGGGACCGTTATAGGGGGACCCTCCTGGCCACTTGGAGAGGCGTGTTCTGGTGTCAGCTCTTTGGTAATAAGCTGGATGACCTTGAACGCTGAGCCAGCTCCTTCACTCTTCTGGGCCTGTTTCCTCACCTACGACATTGCTAAAGTCCTTTTCCACTCTGAAACACGGGGCTGAGTCACCCCTAAATTTCCATGACACTCCCTGGAGTAGAACCAAAGCCATGTGCTGGACTCGAGTAGTTCTGGTTTAGAGCCTGGGGTCCACCAGACTCAGCCTTTTTTTTCTTTTTGTTTTTTGAGACAGAGTCTCACTCTGTCACCCAGACGAGTTCAGTGGCACGTTTACAGCTCAGTGCAGCCTTTACCTCCCAGGCTCAGGTGATCCTCCCACTTTAGCCTCCCAAGTACCTGGGACTACAGGTGTGCACCAGCACTCCTGGCTAATTATTTTGCTTTTTTTGGTAGAGATGCAGTCTCGCCATGTTGCTCAGGGTGGTCTTGAACCTCTGGGCTCAGGCCCTCCTCGGCCTCCCAAAGTTCTGGGATTACAGGTATGAGCCACTGGCACCCAGCCCCTGCCTCAGGCTTTTTCAACCATGGCTAAGACATGAACTTCTCCACGGCTCAGGGTTCCATTGCCCTCCCCTCCCCAGCCCCACAGAGATAGATCAGAGGAACGCAGCAGACGACACCTCACGGGTGAGTTGCCCTGTACATTTTACAAAGCCCACCTGGGTTTCCTCTGTCCCTCAGCATGACCCATGAAGAGTCAAGGCCAGGCTTGCTAGACCCACCCATCTGGACAGATGAGAAAACTGATGCAGAAAGATCAGCGGGAGACTTGGAGAGCTCCTCCAAGGGAAGGGTCTCTTGTGGGGAGAATCTGGAGACCGGCAGAGCATGAGTCAGCAGAGACGGGGGTGTGGGCTTCTCTCTCCCCTGGCAGGCATCCCTGAAAGCCCACATCCTCCGGAGGCTGGTGGAACTTCCAGAACCAGATCATCCAGCCAGCCATTGTCCTGCCTCGATCTAGCCCGGGGTCCCCAGTAGCACATCTGTAGGTCCTAAAGGTGCAGCGTGTGGACCCCATCACGCCTTCTTCCGTGCCTGCAGTTTGCCCCTCTGCCACTCTCTGCTCATGAAGAGCATGACTCAGGGCAAGTTCCCGATGTCTCTGCACCTCAGTTTACACGTTCGCCTCCCACATACCTTGGTGGTTGTGGGAATTCAGGTGGTACAGACACATCATCGTGAATGTTTAATAAGTTAGTTATTGTGACAGGCTGACATTGGCTTCAACGGTTTTGAATGCTGCTGCTGCTCAGCCAGGAGCAAGAAAGCACATTCACACTGGGGTGGGGGTGGAGTAAATGGGGAAAGGCTCCTTGAAGAAAGAGGAGAGCTGGGGTGGGGGAGATCCCAGGGCAGGGAAAAGAAGTGTCCACCGTGCAGAGGCCTGGAAGACGGCCAGGGTCCAGCCTGGCCAGAGCTCAGGCGTCGGGGGAGAGGGAGGCATTTTGGCTTATGCCTGGCTCCTGGAAGCCAGGCCTCACTCCCTGCCCAGACACTAATTCTGATGATGTAAACCACTTTGCCACCCTGCTGTCCTGAGATTCTCTGGCTTCACCACCTCCCCCCTGCCACCCTACTCCCTGTCACTGTGACAGGCCCTCGGTCCCTCTCAGGCCCTGATGGATGGCCCCCATGCTGGGTGTCATACATCTCCGTCTTCCCTAGAAGCTGTGACACAAGTAATTGGTGTCACCACTGTTGATTGCAAGCCAAGTGCTGACAAAACAGACCACAATAGGAGCTCTGGAGCAACAGCCTTGATTGTGTTGGGGAGGGCCCTGCTGGGGACCCAGTCCAGTGTGGTTCCCCTGCGTATGTGAGGGAGAGGCAGTGGCCCGTTGGACCACGGCAGCAAATGCAAAGGTCTCCTGGTCCCCACCCGGAGAAGGTGCTAGAATCCCTCTGAACTGCACAGCTCCATGCTGGGGACCCACCATTGGCCCCAGGGCAGCACCTGGCGTAGAACATGCACCTGCCCAACCTGGGCAGTGGCGTGTGGGCCCCCTAGGGGTGGAGTCGGAGGCCTCAAGAGCTGCCCTCCCTGGCTCCTACCAGCTGAGCCTGCTGTTCCCCGTCACAGCTGATGCTTTGAGGTGACTGCAGGTGTCCGCCAGGGGAGGTGCTGGGGGCTGGGCTCGGCGGGTGACCCACCACATGACAAGGTGCACTCTCATCAGGCCAGGTCTTGGCCTCCTGCTGTCCAGGGTGGAGAGGGGCTGGATGGCCTCTCAGATGTCTTGCCTTTCACAAGAGGGCGGCAGCCCCACCCAGAGCACAGGGCTCAGCAGGGAGGTCAGCAAGGAACCAGGAGCATGCACGGCCAGAGGAACGGCTCCAGCTCTGACTACCTGACACCTAGCCAGGGCCCACTGAGGAATGGGCAGGCTGAGGACTGCGGGGGCCTCTCTATACGCAGGCAGTCTGCCCCTACCTGAAGCCACACAGCAGAGGGCTGGACACGTGGATGGTAGACAGTGGCCTCTGTCTCTGTTCCTGACCGGCCGTCCTTGTGCTGCCCCTGCCTATCATTGAGAGAATCTCCCAGAGACAGCCCTGGGAGGGGCAGGCTGTGGTCACAGTGAGACCCCGGGGTAGGAGTCCATGGATTTACACCACGTCCTCTGCAGGAAGACCTTGCCTGAGAAGTTCCTTTGGTTTTAGTATCAGAAAAGAACACCTGGGCTTCCTCCTCCACGTGACGGGCCGTGGTGTTTCTTTCTTGCTATGTTAGCGGCTGACCTGGCCATACTGGCTTCATGGTGTGACCTTCGTGGATTTGGCCTCACTCCTGGCTCCATTTTACCTTTCTTCCGTGTTTCTTTTCCCCTCAATTTTGTTCCTTATTAATGTATTTTATCCCGTTATACTGTTTGCATCTTATAGGTTGCTCTAAGGCCTTTTCAGTATAAGGTGGAGCTGGGGAGTGAACCCACAGACGTGGTCTCAACCCCAGCCCTGTGAATGCTGCAGAGGAAAGGGGCTTAGCCTTCGCTCCCTGGGCACCCCCGGTGAGGATTCCCGTTCCGGCTGGGAGGGTGGGATTATAGATGCCACTCACAGGCAGAGGCAGCTGCTCTTGGGGACCATTTCAGCAGCTCCCACAAGGCACGTGGCCATCTCCACAATATGGTCCGATGTTGGGCCAAGCCTCGAGGTATTTTGTTTCCCTGCTGCCCCAGTGGCCAGCCTACCTGAGTGACGGGCAGGCCCACCTGGGTGTCCTGTGCTGGACACAGATGCACTCACGGGCTCGGGGTGAGAAGGCCTCCTGCTGGGTGTTGGAGGGACAGGAGAGCGACAGAGTGAGAGGTTCCTGGATCCCCTGCGATCAGAACTGTGGCCATCCTGGGAGCCGCTCGATTCTCACTCTGACAGGTGACCTGCCCTCCTGCACATGGAGGGCAGGAAGGACCCATCTCAGGGGCAGGAGTCCCTGTCTCCACCTGCCCAACCCACAGGGATGTGTGGCTGCCTCCCTGGGGAGTGGAGCCTGTGGCGTCCCCCAAGTGCCCGCCGCAGCGCAGTCTCCAGCCTGGCCCCTGGGACCCGCGAGTCCTTCCTCGCTCCCGCTGGCCTGGGAGAGTCCTGCCGCCGGCTCATTGTCCTGCTTCTGCCACTTTTCCTCTGCAGCATTGTTCCCGTTATCAGCATCCTACACCCTGCAGCGGCTGTACAGGAAAGCCAGGCTGCCGCTGAGGCTGCCGCTGGGGCTGTCGCCGAGGCTGCACGGACGGCCCAGGTGTCCTGCTGGCAGGGGCAGAGGCACAGGCGGTCTCACAGGCCTTTCCCCGAGTCCCGGCCGTCTGGTGTGCTGGGCAGAGGGGTACCGAACACATGTCTGTGCTCTCTGTGTGGAATCCTGGTCTCGGTGCTCAGGGTGGGGGAAAGGAGACTCCAGCCCAGGCACCCACTTTGCCGCTATGATGTTGGGAGGCGTATGCTGTGCCCCCAAGTGTGTCTGTTGAGTTGATGCCCTGCACAGGTTGGAATCTCTGTGCCTCAGTTTCCCTCTCTGTTAAGCACAGGCCTATTGCTTTATTGAAAGGACCAAAGAAAGTCGAGGAAATGCGAGTCTTTGTGGACTGTCCATCAGACAAGAAGAGGTTAGGGTGGCTCGGTTCGAGTGGTCTGTAGCATCCACTATTCCTTGCCCTTTCTGAAGTGAGGGGTTTAGATTGGAGCGGGCCTGGTATGGAAGCTCCTCCAAGGAGTTTTGGGGAGAAGGGGCTGGTGTAAGGGAGAAGGAACCCCACTTTTGGTCTGTGCTGGACTAGAATATTCTAGGAACCTCACTAAGAGAGTGGTAATGACTTAGCAGATAAAAAATACAAGACACGTAGTTAAATTTGAATTTCCAGATAAACAAAGACCACTTTTAAAAATATATGCACATTCTGCGCAATATTTGGCGCAGGCTTACTAACAAATTGTTCTTTATCTGGAATTCAAATTTAATTGGGAGTTCTGTATTTTCTTGGGTAACCCTATTCTAAGACCCCCGTGTAGGGTCTGGAATGCTGCAGGGAGGTCTTTGGGATGTTCTGGCCGAAGGAGGTGGGCGGGGGGTCTGTTCCTCCCTGGAGTTTCTCCCCAGCATCCTTCCCTGAGCTTTTTAGGGGAGACCTGAGGGCCAGGCTGGCTCTCCAGGGCTCAGGGGATGATCCGAGTCTGACGCCCCCGGCGCAGCCTGGCTCAGATGTTCGGGCCCAGGAACCTCTGCTGTCGTCTTAGATGGGGCCACTTTGTCAGGGGGCGTGGGTGCAGTAGGGAAAGCCGCCTGGTGGCCCCGCTGGTCCGGGACAGATCCTTGGAGCCTTCTCCAGCTCTGTCCCTGCAGGCGGCTGTGTGTCGCCCTCTGCTGGCAAGTGCGGATACGACAGGGCTTTGTGCGCCCAGGATAATCTGGATGGCAGCTTTTCTGGGAAGAAAAATTCACCCTCATGAATCTTGGTTACTGAAAAAACCCATTTCTTTCCCTCTAGCCA
Source organism: Homo sapiens (assembly GCF_000001405.40). Lineage (NCBI taxonomy): Eukaryota > Metazoa > Chordata > Mammalia > Primates > Hominidae > Homo > Homo sapiens. The sequence goes on along the minus strand of NC_000008.11, from coordinate 10,590,169 downwards.
AGCAGGAACTCGGAGATATCAAAATATAAAACCCTTTCATTTTGTGTTGCAGAAGGAGGAAACTCAGAATCTTCTAGAAACAAAAACGTACCCAACAGGCTGGGAAGTAAGGCCTCCCAGCCATTAGAAGGATGGAAGCACCGGGCAGGGATGGCCACACTGAGGGAACCTTCTGGCTCCTGGCGACCCAGTTTGGCAGGGCAGGACGCCCTCTCCCGAGACCTTCAAGTGACCAGCGATCTCAGGACGAAGCTCCTCACACCCTGCCCGGCAGGCCCGACGGCACCATCCCTGCAAAGAAGTCGGGGGGTGAGCGTGGCGTGCGAGGAGAGGGGCCGGCGACACCAGCCAGAGAACACGTTCCCCTCTTGCGCTGAACGCCAGAATGGGAGACACTTCACCATCAAGACAGCCACAATCTGGATTTGGCGTGGTGGCTCACGCCTGTAATCCCAGCACTTTGGGAGGCCGAGGCGGGAGGATCACCTGTGGTCAGGAGTTCGAGACCAGACTGGCCAACATGGGGAAACCCTGTCTCTACTAAAAATACAAAAATCAGCGGGTCATGGTGGCTGAGTAATCCCAGATACTCAGAAGGCTGAGGCAGGAGAATCTCTCCAACCCGGGAGGCAGAGGTTGCAGTGAGCGGAGATTGTGCCACTGCACTCCAGTCTGGGTGACAAAGTTAAGACTCCATCTCAAAAAATAACCAAAACAAACAAACAAACAAAAAGACAGCAGCAATCTGAATGGGAAAATGGGCCAGTTGTCAGCATGAGCCATGCAACTGAAAGGATGGGCTACACACATAGGGCAGACCCAGGGTTTGTGGCGGCCAACAACCTCGACACTGGCAGAAGCAGAGTCCAAGACAGTGAATGCATAATTAGGCTCAGAAGTTCATATTGACTGGGCATGGGGAAGTTAATCACAACAAATAACAGATTTTAAAATAGGCTTTATATTTTAGAGCAGTTTTAGGTTCACAGTAAAATTGAGCAGAAGGTCCTGAGAATCTCCATATATGCCCCGACCCACACACACAGCCTCCCCCACTATCATCACCATCCCCCCACCCCAGAGTGGTGCATTTGTTACAATCGATGAACCTACATTGACTCGTCATCATCACCCAGAGTCCATATGTTATATTAGGGTTCATCCTTGGTGTTGAACATTCTGTGAATTTTGGCAAATGTGTAATAACCTGTACCCACCATTACATTATCATACAGAGGAGTTTCACCGCCGTAAAAATCCTCTGTGCTCAGCGTGTTCATCCCTGCCTCCCCACAACCCCGGGCAACCACTGAGCTTTATACTGTCTCTATAGTTTTGCCCAAATAGTGCACTTTTCAAAAGCTAAAAATCTCCACAAATATCACAAAACCAGAAAAATGATCCTTACAAGCTTCTGGGTCTGTACATTTCAAATCTTCTTTCTCTTCCACTGGATACGCACGGAAGCCCTAAGACATGTTCCCGCAGAGGTCCCGTGACCAGCCTTGTATCTTCACCTTGTGGCACTGGTGGGTCCCCAGAGAGTGCCTGCAGGCCATGTCTACACCAGGAAAGTTATCGACGCTTACGTTCTACGGAAATGGCTGAGATAGATTAGATAGCTAGAGAGATGGTTAGATCGATAGATAGGTGGATTGATGATGGATACATGAATAGATAGATGGATGGATGGATGGATGGATGGTCAGATTAGATCCCATTAAAGCTGCCTAAATAAGTCTTCAACTCAACATCCCCTTAGCCAGATTTCAAAAATGTCCTTGGCCACTCCAATGCCACCCAATAGGACAAGTACAACGGAAGGAAAGTCAGAGGGAAAACAAACAACAGTCTTCACCAATTTGTGATGAAATTTACTTTTGCAAATTTCATGAACAAATGGCTGTGGGAACACGTTGCGAGAGTGCTTTGAGGCTTCACCTCTGCTAGCTTTACCCACAAAGCTCCCACACTATACCTTACACTAAGGCCAAACCTCAACACAAATAATGTTAACATTAGCCACAAAAAAAATGGCTAATATTGAAAGAATTATCAGTATTTCAAGTGTTTTAGGGACATTTTTCCAAGAAGCATAGCCTGGTAAGAGTGACTCTGATTTTTGCATGTGTTTATAGAAACCAGGCTTCCTACTTGTAAGCCCAATAAAAAATCAAATGCTCTTTATTTACCATTTACAAGATCAAGCTTTATCCTGAACTCTCAGACAATGTTACATTGAATCTTCCAATGTTTAAATTAGGCCCAATTTGTCCTGTTCCAACCCTACCCTGTCCTCCACCCTAGAGACATTAACATGGTAGCGAATGCCCGGTAAACAAGAATAATAGAGGGAAGGCATTTTGGGGAAGTAATCTGATCTGCTGCAATGTGAACCTGAGGTTCAAAGTCAGTGGAACAGAACGGGAGGAAATGGAACACAATGGGTGCAGGTTGGTTGAAGGGTTTCTCGATAGGGAGGATCTGCTGTACCCACACTGAGTTCCTGAATAAGGCAGGAGAGGTCTTTGTGAACGTACAGCCTTCTCATCTATTGGGCTGGGTGGACTTGGTTTGGGAGAGACTGGGCAGCTGGTCAGATGACCACTCTTAAGATGTCAGAATGCTGACTTTCTCTTGGCCTAGGTTCATGCCTGGATTTTAAGTAAACAATGCCCTCTACTGCTAAACAGCTAGCATGACAGCTGTGAGGGCTGCACAGCTTTCCCATGGGAGCTCTGTCTTCAGGGAACCCTCCAAAGCAAGTGGAGCAAGGTGCACATGAGAGTTTGATCCTTAAGACACGGACCACCTTCAGCAAAAGCAGAGATTTCCATCTCAGCAACGTATTTAGTGTGAAGCATCGGGGTGAGGTTTGACTACATGGCTCTTAGAACTGTGTCAACACTAGGATACAGGACTATCTAGATTTGGTTGGATAATTTAAAAAGCAAAGCAAAACACTTTTTCTGCCTGTTTAGATCCAATGGATTGGCTGGCATATATATCTCCCCAGGTCAGGTCTTTGCAAACAGAATGGGAGGCTTTGTCAATTCGGAGCTTATTCTAAGAAACAAGATTCAAGCACACCTATCTCTCCAGGACCTCCAATTTTACCTAATTTAAGAGAGGGGAAGGCATGGACATCTGTGCTTTATGTAACTTGAATGTTTCCCTGGGAAACCTGAATATTCTTTGAAAGACGCTTGGAGCTACAATGTACATGGTAATTTAAAATAACCCGGGCTCAGTCATTGGTGACAAAGGCCCTGTGTCCATGTTCTCTGGCTTCCTTGGTTCCCTGGGTGGCAGAGCTGTCACTCCCTTCTTAGCTGGGCTTTTCAGATGAATGCTACCTCTCTCTTTGACCCCTCCCTGTAGGCTGAGGGAGGAGGCCAGCCTCCTTTGACCTCAAGGACTTTGCTTGACTTGCTCAACCTCACTCTTCCGTCCTGCAAAATGGATTGAACTAGATGATGGCTGTAGTATCTTCCAGCTCCCTCTGAGAACCAACAGTCCCACTTCTGTCACCACCAGGCTTCCACTGGGCTCCTTCTGGGTAGACCAGTCACCTCACTGTGAAGGGGAGAAAGGGTCCTAGTAGTGGACGTCTAATGCCAGGTGGCCTCTGCAACCTGGGACCCTACTTCTCTCTGTACAATCTGTGTGTTAACATCCGAGTAGAGTAGCTCTCTCCTCCTCCCCATATGAGAATGAATGGTGTTAAGGAATGGCCTTCATGCTCTGTGGAAGGCAGGCACATCTCACACCTCCACTTAATCACTGTGGATGAGTTGACAAGTTGTTCCAGTGGCTTAAATGGTTACATCAGGCAAAAATGCCAAAACTCACCTGGGTTTACATTTTCAAGTCTTAAAAGTAGCAGGGAGTCATACCCCAAGAATTCAGGCTTGTTGTCTTTTCTTTCTTTCTTTTTCTTTTTTTTTTTAGACGGAGTTTCGCTCTGTTGGCCAGGCTGGAGTGCAGTGGTGTGATCTCAGCTCACTGCAATCTCTGCCTTCCTGGGTTCAAGCAATTATCTGCCTCAGCCTCCCAAGTAGCTGGGATTACAGGTGCTCACCACCACACCTGGCTAATTTTTTATTTGTTTAGTAGAGACAGGGTTTCACCATGTTGGCCAGGCTGATCTTGAACTCCTGACCTCATGATCCACCGGCCTCAGCCTCCCAAAGTGCTGGGATTACAGGCATGAGCCACTGCGCCCGGCCCAGGCTTATTTTCTATCTAGACTTGCACCCCAACGGACTGCACACTCAGAAGCATCTTTAGGCATTCAGGTTGTTAGGCAATTGGGTGCCTGCCCTGTACCAGGTACTAGGCTGGGAGGCCTGTGCCCGCCAGGAGCGCCTGGCCAACTCTAGTTACCCACCCCCCGGGGGCACCAAGCCTCTGTCCTGAAGGAAACAGCTCCCCACAGAGATCAGACTCCTCCAGTCGTGCTCCTTTTGTTTCTCCTCTAAGCTCCTTGGCAGCTGAGGATGGGAGGAGAGAGCCAGATAAAATCAAAAAGGAATCCATGCGATTTAACCAGGTGCCTGGAGAGCTTCTGGGAAACTCCCAGGGGCATGGAACCACCCAGAAGGTAATAAATAATAGTGACAGAAACCAGCGCCGAATGTCTCCCCTTTCATCTTCTGTTTCCTCCATAGGGTCTTGGCGCCTGGGTTCAACGCTGACTTGGGAGTTTTGTTCTACTGTTTGACTGTGCCTCGGTATGAAAACAAAAGCTTTAACTTCCTCTGACTGCACGGCGACCCTGGGTCCGGCGACACTGGGAGGACCGAGGAGAGACTCCCCAGGGGCAGGGTCCTGCTCATCCCCACTCCCTCCCACCCTAGCAGGTCTCTGTCTGGGGAATCATGGCACCCTGATCTATGCTCAAGTTCAAGTGGAGAACTTGGAAGGTGACAAGCCAGGCTTCATATCTTGTTAAACCCACATGTGCATGCGCGAACACACACACACACACACACACACACGTGCACACACAGCCACACACACCCCTCTCACTGTAAATACAGGATTCAGCCTATAAAAGAAACAATGAGAGCTGGATTCAATGAGGTTCCCCCAGCAAATGGAGTGTTTAGGGTTTTGTTGGAACTCTATTGTGTAGACCAGAGTTCCTTAATACAGTGAGACAGTGAGCAGCTTCCTGTTATGGAAACAGTCAAACCCTGACATTCAGCAAGTCAATCTATAGAGCAACTGGATAAACAACCAAGATAATCATCAGCCATCATCGGCACAATAGCCAAAATGGCATTGCTTGGGGACAAGGGGCTGGCTCAGACCCAAACAATTCAGATGAATACAAGCCATCTCCTGGCCAACAGGACCATTCATTGTGCCCGGGATTGTGCACGCCGCCCTGTATGCCGGGCCGGGAGTGTGCATGCCCAGATCCAGATGCTGTTTATAGGTCTGCTCCCCGGGAGCCGTGTGTCTGGCTCTCTGGGTGACCTTCTGAAGGCCTGTGTAGGGCACTGGGTCGGGACAGGTGTCCCATCTTTGCCAGCACTGACATTGGAGACAAGACTCTAGATCCCGTCAGCTGTGGGGTAAAAGCTTGGCCAAGCCAGGCCTTGAATGCAGTTCTTAGCTTCCCCGCCTGCAGAAAGAGCCTAACGATGTGTCCAACTCTTCTGCTTTCTTTCCTCTGAGGGCTGCACACGTAGCTGCGCCTTTGACTAGAGAAGAAGGGACGGCCGGGGAGGCTTTATTTTAGGAAGTGTCTGAACTCTGGACTTGGCCCTTTCACAGTTGCTAGGCTTGTTACTGGAAAGGGGTCTGGATCCAGACCCCAAGAGAGGGTTCTTGGATCTCATGCAAGAAAGAATTCAGGGCAAGTCCACACAGTGAAGTGAAAGCAAGTTGATTAAGAAAGTAAAGGAATGAAAGAATGGCTACTCCATAGACAGAGCAGCCCCCAGGACTTCTGGTTGCCCATTTTATGGTTATTTCTTGATGATATGCTAAACAAGGGGTGGATTATTCATGCCTCCCTTTTTTAGACCATGTAGGGTAACTTCCCAATGTTGCCATGGCATTTGTAAACTCTCATGGAGCTGGTGGGAGTGTAGCAGTGAGGACGACCACAGGTCGCTCTCGTGGCCATCTTGGTTTTGGTGGGTTTTGGCCCACTCCTCCACTGCAAACTGTCTTATCAGCAAGGTCTTTGTGACCTGTATCTTGTGCCAACCGCCTATCTCATCCTGTGACTAAGAATGCCTTAACCTCCTGGGAATGCAGCCCGGTAGGTCTCAGCCTCATTTTACCCAGCCTCTATTCAAGATGGAGTTGCTCTGGTTCAAATGCCTGTGACAGGCTGAACGCAGTGAGACGCTGTCTGACACTGAGAGAGTCCTGGTCCCTGATAAGTCCTTACTCAACTCATGTCCAGCTGGTTATCCTGCCCTTGACATCTGATTCACACCGAGAATGACACAAGCCCTCTACCTCAGTGGCATCACCGATCACCCATGTGTTCTGGCCTGGAGGGTCCAAGAAGGTCTTACAACCCTCTAATCTTTTCTGTAGCTACCAACGTCTGTCTGAAAGCAAGTGGCCAGCATTTGACTCTTTGGGTTACCAAAGGTTGGCGTGCATTGCAAGTTGGGGCATAGTGTCAGGAAAGCCCTGTTGGGGGTGGACGTAAGCCTGTGAGGGAGATGTAGGGCCTCACTCTCTTTGTTTGGGAAAACAGAGCAGGTGTCAGACAGGGCCTGGGGAGTCAGAGGGCCTGGATAGGACACTGTAGGGGCAGGAGGGACAGAGGAGGCTGGCCTGGGGTCTGGGGAACTCTTGGAATTATTCAGGGGCAGAGGGGAGAATCAATCCGTGAGTGCTTGTCTGTAACATTAAATTCTGAAATCTAACACAAAAGAGTGGACTAATATATTTTTTTTCCAGGTATAAACACTACTTTACTCAGTCTCTATTTTTCTTCTACACATGATGGATGCCATTCCAATTATGAAACAAACAAAACTGTCAATATATAAGGCAATCAACAGAACCAGACTCAGAGATGGTCCAGATATTGCAGCTATTATACAGCAACTTTAAACATAACTATAATTACTATATTAAAAGATATACCAGAAAAGATAAGCAACATATATGACAGTGAATTTCAGCAGAGAGAAAGTACAAAAAGGAGTTAAATAAAATGCTCGAAATACAAACAAATCAGATACAAAGGATTAGTATTAGAAGCCCATGGATCCCTATCCAAAATTTAGTTCAGATGGGAGTGGACTAATAATACTTTATTTTGAGTGCTCAAGGGGCAGGGATTCACTTTTCAGAGCTAGTATTGCATCTCAGAGACTACTCCAGGCTAAAGGCTGAGGCTCAGAGGGAGGGTGTGCCTTGGCCGTGGTCACAGCATGAGTGTGACGGGTCAGAGGTGGGAGCCTGGACTTTCCCAGTCTGGCCTTCCTCCCTACACACCTCACAGCTCCCACCCCGCAGAGCCTGAGATGGCAGCAGATGTCCTGAGAGCTTCCCAGCTTCTCAACCCCAGAAAGAGGCCTGACCCAGCGCCCTGCTCAGGGAGTACTTGCATTCATCGTTCCCCGAATCCCCAGCCTACCTGCCTCCTAGGAGCTCACAGCACAGGGCCTCCCCGGCAACCTCTCAGCAGGGAGGAGGAAAGCAGGCTTGCTGGGTGCAGCACCCTTTCATCCCTGCCTGAGAACTAGGCTTCACCCGGGCCAGGAGAAGCCCGTGACCAGCCACCGGACCTCACCTGGGGCCACTCTGCCTTCCCTGACGTCCAAGGAGAGGAGGGAGACAATGGTGAATGCTAGCAAGGACGACACACACACAAAAAATCATATCCCAGGACACCAAACTCACTATGCCAAAGGGAAAAGTTCAGCTAGGAACTGAGTCACACAAAAACTATCCTCCTTTTGTTCCCAAACGCAAAGCTGTAATGGCACATTCTTACTTTACCTCATGTAAAATGTAGATTTACTTTCACATGTGAAATATGGATTGGCTGGGCACAGTGGCTCACGCTTGTAATCCTGGCACTTAGGGAGGCCGAGGTGGGTGGAGCACTTGAGGTCAGGAGTTCGAGACCAGCCTGGCCAACATGAGAAAACCCCGTCTCTACCAAAAAAATACAAAAATTAGCCAGGCGTGGCTGTGCATGCCTGTAGTCCCAGCTATTTGGGAGGCTGAGGCATGAGAATAGCTTGAACCCAGGAGGCGGAGGTTGCAGTGAGCTGGGATCACACCTGGCTAATTTTTCTATTTTTTGTAGAGACAAGGTCTTACTATGTTGCCCAGGCTGGTCTTGAACTCCTGGGCTCAACTGATCCTCCCACCTTGGCCTCCCAAAGTGCTGGGATTACAGTCATGAGTCAACACGCCCGGCCTATTTTGTATCCTTTAACAAATCTCCCCTTATTTCTCCCTTCACCTGCCCTTCCCAGCGTCTAGTATACTCTATTCTACTTTTTGCTTGTATGAGATCTTTTTTTTTTTTTAGCTTCCATATAGGAGTGAGAACATGTGCTGTTTAGCTTTGTTCCTATCTCCAGCCTGGGTGACAGAGGGAGACCCTCTCCCAAAAAAAAAAAATAGGATTCAGTGAGTGCTAACCAGAGCCTCAGGGGAAGGGAACCACTTGCTCATTTCCTACCCTCAGAATGTGCTTCTCCACGCCCTAGAACACTTTGGGGGTGCAGGCAGTCCCCCCCGGGAAAGACCTCGGTATTAACTGATAACATCAGCTCCCACTTGCCAAGTGCTAACTGCCTCGGAGCCCTCTGCTAACTCTAAGCACATTGCCCCACCTAATCCTCGCCCCCACCTCTCACATTAGGTCTCGTTATTTCCGCTTTCAGAGGAAGATGCGGTGCTCAGAAAGGCCGCCGGAGCTCAGCATTTTCCCCACACTTCTGCCTCACAACCATGTGAGGTGTTATTTCTACAGGATGGTTGGCAAAATTGGGATTCAAAAATCTTCAGCCACTGGCCCTTGCATGTGGTGGAGCTGGGATGAAAGTCCAGACCTGGGGACGTTGCTCCCTGGGTCCACTCTGTTGCTACTGGCAGGGTGGAGGGAAGGCTCACCATGGGAGCCCTGCAATGGCCTGCGGGCACTCCCATTGCTTCACTGAGTGGAGGAAAGGAGGTGAGGAGCTTGTCATTGCTTTCAAGGGACAATGAGGCACATCACATATGATGCATGAGACAATTAACTAGGGGGTCCCAAGACCTGGGAAGAGGTCTTGCTTCTGTTACTAGCTGTGTGTCATGGGCAAATAACTTAACCTCTCTTAGCCTCCTTTTCCTTTAACTCTAATTTGGTGTATTAGGCCATTCTTGCGTTGCTCTAAAGAAGTTTGGGAGGCTGGATAATTTATAAGAGGTTTAATTGGCTCACGGTTCTGCAGGCTGTACAGGACGCACAGTGGCATCTGCTTCTGGGGCAGCTTCAGGAAGCTTCCGGTCATGGTGGAAGGCAAAGGGGGAGCAGGTATGTTACATGGTGAGGGCGGGAGCAAGAGCAAGGGAGGGGGTGCCATACACTTTTAAATGACCAGATCTCATGTGAACTCAGAGCCAGAGCTGACTTATCACCAAGGGGATGGCCTAAGCCGTTCATGGGCGATCTATCTCATCATGCAAACACCTCCCATCAGGCCCGACCTCCAGCACTGGAGACTACAATTCAACCTGAGATTTGGGCAGGGACACACATTCAAACTATATTACTTTCTTCCCGGCAAGAAGCAGAGCGGGAAATGGTGAGCAAGTAACAATCAAGATGCTTGCAGATAGTGATAATGTGATAACTGATATGGAGGAGAGGAACAGATTTGGTAGGGGGATGGGAGAGAGAGAGGGAGGGGATCGCATCAGCCTGTCCCTGCTGAATCTGTCCCTCACCCCCACTCCCGCCAAGCTGGAGCCAGGACTGACCTTTCTCCCCTGTGCCTGAGTCATGGGTGATTTGCCTCCTCTTGTACCCTGGGCATGAAAATCTCCATCCTATGTTTCTTCCACCTGCCTCCCCCTTTCCCTGCCCGGAAGGCATGAAAGCAGTGGCCTTGCTGGTGGTCATATTCCAGTTCTCCTTCCAAGGGGATTCCTTTGCTACTGGGATAGAATTTTCAGCTCTGTGGACAGTTGTTTAGTGGCTGGCTCACTTACCTCACAGCCCTGGCTGTGACCGCAAGCAAAGTCCAGAAACCAGGTGCAAAACCACATCTGCATCAACACAAGGAAACGCCAGGCAGCCAGTTCTCCCCACCTCCCATTCCATACCCTCCCCCAAAATATGAAGATTAGAAAGCCATCTACAGCCAACACAGCGTACCCAAAGTGTGAATTCTAGGCCATGGGGAGCCTGGGAGGGATGGGGGGTGGGGCTGTCCTGGTTTGCACCTTTGGAACATTCTGGAAAGTAAGACTCAGAGCTCAACTTGGAAATTGCAAAAGTGTGAGGGGTGTGGTTCGGCAGTGGAATCGGTGGGGAGGTGCTGACCTGGGGATAGAAGGTGCGCTGGGCCCAGTGGGGGGCCGGGTGGGGGAAGGCTGGGTTGCTGCTATGGGATCTGCTGTTTCAGAGCAGGGTCTTGACCTGGAAGATGGCTGGGGTTTGCACAGCTGGAGCAGACGAGGAGAACCTTCTCCCAGGGGTGGCACCTGCCTCCTGCTCTCAGTTCTCTCTTCTTCCAGGTAAGAAGATGGTATTGTAGTAGCCTCCACTGGGTGGACTTCTGGAAGGCGCAAGCGGCCCCTGAAGGGCCCTGGAGCCATTTTAGAATCGCTCATAATAAAACTGGATGGAAACACAACAGAGTATGTAATTGAGTTCCTCGACTTCACAGATGAGGAGACCGAGGGCCGTTCAACTAAGATCACGCGGGTAGAAAGTGGCTGTCTTGTGGCTGTCCCGTGATTCAACATAGATTTTTGGCATCTAGTTTGGTGGCTTTTTTTTCTACCACACTTCTCATCTGCCTTACGCCCGGCAGCCCTGAGCCTGACACGCCTACAGACTGAAGGATGGAGGAGAGACAGGCTTGCATCCTGCAGAGTCTAGCAGAGGCCCTGGGTCACTTTGCTTCCCAGAGGCACATCCGATTTCCCATACTTGTTGTAAGAGAAACTAAAGTCGTCCAGTTCCAGTGGTGCTTCAGAGCCCAACAGACTCCCCCAGCGTGGCCAATATTCAGCTGGCCTGGGATCTTCTGGGCGGTGCCACTGTGCTAGGCTGCAGACCTGACTTTTTGGCCGAAAAGACAAAAGATGGTCTCTTCCACTCATTAGTTATGAGAGTTCTGACAACCCATGTAACTTCTATGAGCCCCCGTGTTCTTATCTGTACAATAATCTATACTCTTCTTACATCAATTAGTCGCTAGAACAAAAATAAAATGTCTGCTATGAAAAGTCCATAGCTCCGCATTCAGCCTGAACTGTTTATCTGTGTCTCCTCCTCCTGATCATGGCCTGCGGGAGCTGAACATGTGCATTATCTTGGATGTCATTACTCATAACTCTAATTAGTGATTACCAAAGGCCTCAGGGGACTAATAAGAATACCCATCAGATACTTGGACTGCCCAGAGTTGGAACTTGTATTCCCAACAACTTCCTCTTTTTGAACCAGCCTTATATACCTGGGATAAATTCCACTTGGTCTAGGTATATAATTCTTTTTGTCCAGTGTTGGATTTGATTTTCTGATATTTAATTAAGGATTTTTGCATCTATGTCCATGCAAATATTGGTCTGTAGTTTTCTTTTGTTTTGTAGTATCTGTCTGGTTTTGGTATTACGGTAACACTGATCTCATAGAATGCACCCAGGCTGGAGTGCAGTGGTATGATCTTGGCTCACTGCAACCCCCGCCTCCCAGGTTCAAGCAAATCTCCTGCCTCAACCTCCCAAGTAGCTGGAATTAAAGGCTCGTGCCACCATGCCTGGCTAATTTTTGTATTTTTTGTAGAGAAAGGGTTTTGTCATGTTGGCCAGGCTGGTCTTGAACTCCTGGCCTCAAGTGACCCGCCCACCTTGGCCTATAGGCATGAGCCACTGCACCCGGCCTCAGAACAGTTTCAGTGAGAGAATTGCTCTGCTCCCAGTAGTTTCTGTAAATACTGATTTCTTGACTTACAAACCTCTCCTGTAGGTGGAACCCAGAGAAGCTGGGCATGGAGGTGGTTATATTTAGGGCTCACAACTGGAGGTTCTACCACCAGCCCTGGCGATGCTACAACAGCTGGATCAGCACAGTGATCCTTGTAGAGGTATGCCTCCCAGACACTGCAGGCTCTGTTCCAGGCTCTGTTCCAGGCAGAGGCACGCCTCAGAGACACTGCAGGCTCCATTCCAGACCATGGCAATAAAGTGACTACCGAGCTAAAGCTACTCACACTAATTTTTGGTTTGTTTGTTTCCCAGCACATATAAAAGTTATGTTTCCAGCCAGGCGCGGTGGCTCATACTGTAATCCCAGCACTTAGGGAGGGTGAGGCGGGCAGATCACCTGAGGTCAGGAGTTTGAAAGCAGCCTAGCCAACATGGTGAAACCCAGTCGCTACTAAAAATACAAAAATTAGCTGGGCATGGTGGTGACACGCCTGTAATCCCAGCCACTCGGGAGGCTGAGGCTGGAGAATCACTTGAACCCAGGAGGCAGAGGTTGCAGTGAGCTGTGATCACGCCATTGCACTCCAGCCTGGGTGACAAGGGCAAAACTCTGTCTCAAAAAAAAAAAAAAAAAAGTTATGTTCCATTGTAGTCTGTTAAGTGTGCAATAGTGTGCCACAAAAAGCCATGCATATACTTTCATGTGCGTCCGTGTGAAGAGACCACCAAACAGGCTTTGTGTGAGCAATAAAGCTGTTTATTTCACCTGGGTGCAGGTGGGCTGAGTCCGAAAAGAGAGTCAGCGAAGGGAGGTAGGGGTGGGGCCGTTTTATAGGATTTGGGTAGGTAAAGGAAAAAGGGGGGTTGTTCTCTGGCAGGCAGGAGTGGGGGTCACAAGGTACTCAGTGTGGGAGCTTTTGAGCCAGGAGAAGGAATTTCACAAGACAATGTCATCAGTTTAGGCAGGAACAGGCCATTTTTACTTCTTTTGTGGTGGAATGTCAACAGTTAAGGCAGGAACCGGCCATCTGGATGTGTACATGCAGGTCACAGGGGATATGATGGCTTAGCTTGGGCTCAGAGGCCTGACATTCCTGTCTTCTTATATTAATAAGAAAAATAAAACGAAATAGTGGTAAAGTGTTGGGGTGGCGAAAATTTTGGGGGGTGATAGGGAGAGATAACGGGCGATGTTTCTCAGGGCTGCTTCGAGCGGGATTAGGGGCGGCGTGGGAACCTACAGTCGGAGAGATAAGCTGAAGGAAGGTTTTGTGGTAAGGGGTGATATTGTGGGACTGTTAGAAGAAACATTTGTCATTTAGAATTATTGATGATGGCCTGGATACAGTTTTGGATGAATTGAGAAACTAAATGGAATAAGAGAAGGAGAAAAACAGGTATTAAAGGACTAAGAATTGGGAGGACCTAGGACATCTAACTAGAGAGTGCCTAAGGAGGTTCAGCATAGCCTTGCCGGAAAAGATTATTTATTTACTTTAAGAGTTAAGAGTGGTGGTTTGGGGATAGCACCAGGAGATAACAGCTGCGATGGCTTGGAGAAACAGTGTAAACCGGCAGTGTAAACAAGAGCAGGGCGTGTATGAGTAGTTGAGAATGGTGAATAGGAGTATGGCTAGACAGAAGACAATAGGGATGACAAGTTTTTTGGGGCATAGTCCAAGTTGGTCTGTTGTCTGGAATGAGACTGGGGCCTAATAAAAAGGAGCATCTATAGGGGAGCTTAAATGGGCTGTACTTTGTAGCATTCTGAAGACAGGCCTGAATTCTGAGAAGGGAAAGTGGTAAAAGTATTGTCTATTCTTTTTTAAGTTGGTGGCTGAGGTGGGTGAGGTGTGTTTTTAAAAGACCTTTAGTCTGTTCTACTTTTCCTGAAGACTGAGGACTGTAAGGGATATAAAGGTTTCACTGAATACTAAGAGCCTGAAAAACTGCTGGGCTGATTGACTAATAAAGGCTGGTCTGTTATCAGACTATATAGAGGTGGGAAGGCTAAACTGAGGAATTATGTCTGATAGAAGGGAAGAAATGACTGCGGTGGCCTTCTCAGATCCTATAGGAAAGGCCTCTACGTATCTAGTGAACGTGTCTACTTAGACTAAGAGGTATTTTAGTTTTTGTGACTCGGGGCACGTTGAGTAAAGCTAATTTGCCAGTCCTGGGTGGGGGCAAATCTCTGAGCTTGATGTGTAGGGAAGGGAGGGGGCCTGAAGAATCCCTGAGGAGTAGTAGAATAGCAGATGGAACACTGAGAAGTTATTTCCTAGAGGATAGATTTCCAAGATGGAAAGGAAATGAGAGGTTCTAAGAGGCGGGCTAGTGGCTTATACTATAGCATAGCCTGCATTTGCTGGTGTGTGGCGATTAGGCTTGGTGGAACTGCCATCAATAAACTAAGTGTGGTCAGGGTGAGAAACAGGGAAGGAAATATGGGGAAATGGGGTGAACGTCAGGTGGATCAGAGAGACGCAGTCATGAGGGTCAGGTGTGGTATCAGGAATAATGTGGGAGGCCGGATTGAAGTACTGGCCGGGAACAATGGTAATTGTGGGAGACTCAACAAAGAGTGAGTACAGCTGAAGGAGCGAGGGAGCAGACAGTATATGCATCAGGTGTTTGGAAGAAAATAGATTTTGGAAATTATGAGAGCTGTAGAGAGTGAGTTGAGCACAGTTTGTGATTTTAACGGCCTCTAAAAGTATTATGGAGGCAGCAGCTGCTGCACGGAGACATGATGGCCAGCCTAAAACAGTAACGTCAACTTGTTTGGACAAAAAGGCTACAGGACGCGATCCTGATCCTTGTGTAAGAATTCTGACTGCACAGCCCTGCACTTCACCTGTATGTAATGAAAAGGGTTGGGATGAGTCAGGGAGAGCTAGAGTGGGGGCAGTCTCTAAAGCTGTCTTCAAGGAATGGAAAGAGGAGTGGGGAAAAGATTTAGGATCTATGGGGTCAGCTAGGTTTCCTTTTGTGAGTTTATATAATGGTTTTGTTAGGATGGCAAAACCAGGTATCTAAAGGCGAAAGTATCCAACTATGCCCAGGAAGGAAAGGAGTTGTTGTTTTGTAGAAGGGATTGGGGTTTGGGAGATTAGTCAGACACGATCGGCAGGGAGAGCACGTGTGTTTTTATGAAGAACTATGCCAAAGTCGGTAATGGTTGGAGAAGAAATTTGAGCTTTGGAGGGGGATACCTGATATTCTTTGGAAAATAAATGCTGAAGGAGCAGAAGTGTGTCTTGTTGAGACGATTCAAAGGAGGGTCTACAAAGAAGAAGGTCATCAATATATTGAATAAGGTGAGAAGCGGAGGAGTGGAAAGAAAGTAAATCATGGGAAAGAGCTTGGCTGAAGTAATGAGGGTTGTCCCTGAAACCTTGCGGCAGTACAGCCCAGGTAAGCTGCTGGGACTGATGGGTGTCAGGGTCAGTGCAGGTGAAAGCAAAGAGAGGCTGGGACGAGGGGTGCAGAGGAATAGTAAAGAAAGCATGTTTGAGATTCAGAACAGAATAATGGGTTGTGGAGGGAGGAACTGAGGATAGGAGAGTATATGTGTTTGGCATCATGGGGTGGATAGGCAAAACAATTTGGTTGATAAGGCATACATCCTGAACTAACTTGCAAGGCTTGTCTGGTTTTAGGACAGGTAAAATGGGGGAATTGTAAGGAGAGTTTATCGGCTTTGAAAGGCCATGGTGTAGCAGGCGAGTGATAACAGGCTTTAATCCTTTCAAAGCATGCTGTGGGATGGGATATTGGCATTGAGCGGGGTAAGGGTGATTAGGTTTAATGAGATGGTAAGGGGTGCATGATCGGTCGCCAAGGAGGGAGTAGAGGTGTCTTATACTTGTGGATTAAGGTGGGGGAATAGAAGAGGACGCAAAGGAGGTTTTGGATTGGGAAGAAGGGCGGCAATGAGATGTAGCTGTAGTCCAGGAATAGTCAGGGAAGCAGATAATTTAGTTAAAGTGTCTCGGCCTAATAAGGGAACTGGGCAGGTGGGGATAACTAAAAGGAGTGCTTAAAAGAGTATTGTCTAAGGTGGCACCAGAGTTGGGGAGTTTTAAGAGGTTTAGAAGCCTGGCTGTCAATACTCACAACAGTTACGGAGCCAAGGGAAACAGGCCTTTGAAAAGAAGGTAATGTGGAGTGGGTAGCCTCTGTATTGATTAAGAAGAGGACGGACTTATTTTCCACTGTGAGAGTTACTTAAAGCTCGGCATCCGTGATTGTCTACGGGACTTCCGAGGCGATCGTGCAGCGTCAGTCTTCAGCCACTAAGCCGAGAAGATCTGGGAAGGAGTCAGTCAGACAGCCTTGGGCCAGAGTTCCAGGGGCTGTGGGAGTGGCTGCCAGGTGAGTTGAACAGTCCTATTTCCAGTGGGGTCCTGCATAGATGGGACACGGCTTAGGAGGAATCCTAGGCTGCGGGCATTCCTTGGCCTGGTGGCCAGATTTCTGGCACTTGTAGCAAGCTCCTGGGGAAGGTGGTTCTGGAGGAATGCCTGGACACTGCGGTTTAGGCGTTTGGAAGTCCTCGTGTGCTGGAGATGTGGCTGGGGTTTGTCTCACAGTGGAGGCAAGGAATTGCAACTCAGAAATATGCTGCTACTTGGCTGCCTCTATTATTGTACACCTTGAAGGCGAGGTTAATTAAGTCCTGTTGTGGGGTTTGAGGGCCGGAATTTAATTTTTGGAGTTTTATTTAATGTCGGAAGCAGATTGGGTAATAAAACGTATATTGAGAATAAGACGGCCTTTTGACCTCTTAGGGTCTAGGGCTGTAAAGCGTCTCAGGGGTGCTGCCAAACGAGCCATGAACGGGGATGGATTTTTATATTTGATGAAAAAGAGCCTAAACACTATCTGATTTGGGATAAAGAAAAAAGAGCATTAACCTTGACTGTGGCTTTGGCTCCAGCCACCTTTTTAGGAGGAAATTGCTGGGCAGGTGGGGGAGGGCTAGTCACGGAATGAAACTGTAAGCCGGACTGGATGTGTGGAGGGGAGGTGATAAAAGGATTATAGGGTGGAGGAGCGGAGGCTGAGGAAGAATTGGGACCTAGCTCAGCCTGGCAAGGAGGGGAGAGGTCAGATGGGTCTGTAGAAAAGGAAGATTAGAAAGACTTAGCGATGCTTGGGGTTGGGACTGAGGGGACAGGTGGGAGGGAAAGAAGGAAGATTTGGGAAGAGTTGCATGGGGAACAGAGACTAGGTAGCGACTGATGTGTAAAAGAATGCCTGAACGTCAAGCACTCCAGACCATTTGTCCATTTTACAGCAAGCATTATTTAGATCTTGTAGGATGGAAAAAATGGAAGTGCTGTTTTTTGGCTATTTGGAACTACTGTCGAGTTTGTATTGGGGTCAAGCGGCATTGTAGAAGAAAATAAGGCATTTAGGTTTTAGGTCACGTGTGAGTTGAAGAGGTTTTAAGTTCTTGAGAACACAGGCTAAGGGAGAAGAAGGAGGAATGGAGGATGGAAGATTGCCTATAGTGAAGGAAGCAAGCCCAGACAAAAAAGAGAGTAGAGACACGGAGGGAAGGGGTTCAGGGGTTCTTACCCTCCAGAAAAGTGGGAAAGGGGTCGGGGTGTGGAAATAAGGGGTTGGGGTGCAGAGATAAGACGTCAGGGTGCAGAAATAAGGGATGAGGGTGCAGAGATAAGAGGTCGGGGCGTGGAAATAAAGGATCAGGGTGCAGAGATAAGAGGTCGGGGCGTGGAAATAAGGGATTAATAAGGGATTAGGGCACAGAGCTAAGAGGTCGGGGCGTGGAAATAAGGGATCGGGGTGCAGAGATAAGAGGTCAGGGTGCGGAAATAAGGGATTGGGGTGCAGAGATAAGAGGTTGGTTGGGGCACGGAAATAAGGGATTGGGGTTTCTTGTCCCCTAGAAAAGTGGGATTTGCCGCTAAGGGGTTGAGAAGGAGAAGGGGTTGAGGGGTTCTTGCCCCTCCCCCAGAAAAGTGGAGAAGGGGTAGAGACACGGAGGGAAGGGATTGGGGTACTTGCCCCTCCCCTAGAAAAGTGGGACTTGCTGCTAAGGGTGAAGGACCAAGGCAGGCGTCCCTGCGTGGTCTGACACCTCTGAAACCTGGGTGAATAATCAGAGAGGTTGTCCCTGCAATGATTAAACACTAAGGGAAGGCTGCCTTCCGTAGTCCGTGAGCAGCGCTGGAGTTTTGGGTCCACGGATAAAACGTGTCTCCTTTGTCTCTACCAGAAAATGAAAGGAATTGAAATTAAGAGAAGGGAGAGATTGAAGTGTGGTGCCAAGATTGAAACGAGAAAGAGGTTGAGGGATAGTGAGGGAGGTTGGAGAAGAGAGTAAAAAGAGGCTGCTTACTGGATTTGAAATTACTGGATTGAAATTAATGGATTTGAAATTGGTGAGATGTTTCTTGGGCTGGTCGGTCTGAGGACCTGAGGTCGTAGGTGGACTTTTCTCACAGAGCAAAGAGCAGGAGGACGGGGGATTGAGCTCCCAAGGGAGATCCCCCGATCTGAGTCACGGCACCAAATTTCATGCGCGTCCGTGTGAAGAGACCACCAAACAGGCTTTGTGTGAGCAATAAAGCTGTTTATTTCACCTGGGTGCAGGTGGGCTGAGTCTGAAAAGAGAGTCAGCGAAGGGAGATAGGGGTGGAGCCGTTTTATAGGATTTGGGTAGGTAAAGGAAAAAGGGGGGTGTTCTCTGGCAGGCAGGAGTGGGGGTCACAAGTTACTCAGTGGGGGAGCTTTTGAGCCAGGATGAGCCAGGAGAAGGAATTTCACAAGACAATGTCATCAGTTAAGGTAGGAACAGGCCATTTTCACTTCTTTTGTGGTGGAATGTCATCAGTTAAGGCAGGAACCTGCCATCTGGAAGTGTACGTGCAGGTCTCAGGGGATATGATGGTTTAGCTTGGGCTCAGAGGCCTGGCACATACCTTAATTTGAAAATACGTTATTGCTAAAAATGCTAATGAAGTAAGAACATGCTGTTGGAAAAATGGCACTGATAGACTTGTTTGATGCATGGTTGCCACAAACCTTCAATTTGTAAAAAAAATGAAATAGCTATGAAGTGCATAAAGTGAAGAATAATAACACAAGTTGTGCCTATAAAATGTTCTTAGGGACTATGGGGTGAGCTATCCATATACACGAAGCAGGGTCCCCCAGGTGGGGCAGTCAAGAGAGGCTCTCTGGAGGTAAACCTTCTTACCTGGGCTGGGGGATGAATGACCGGTTCCCTGAGCAGGTCAGAACTATGGGTGGTCCAAGATCTCTTGTCCATTCAGCTAGTGTGTGTTGCAAACCATCTGCTGTGTAAAAAGCCAAGTCATTCATGAGATATTTCCTACCTCCAGAGAATGAACCCCCTCTTTGAGAGTGACAGGGAAGCATGTCTGTGAATCTGCTCCCCTGAAACAGTTAAAGCACAGTGTGGACTTCACACCCCAGCAGCCTCCCCAGCATCCAGTGACAGGAAGGCTGTCTAAGTGGGCCCCTCACCTGGTAGCAGGTATATGTTCCGGGGCCTGCATGGTGTTGCAATACACAGACCGTGGACATCTGTAGGAGGGTGGTGGACCCATGCCCTATGGCCCTCATTCCTCCCTGAGGCCTTGTGCCAGGTCGACTTTGCTCATCTGTGTGTCCTGCCTGGTTCACGTGAACAAAGCCTCCCTTTCCCTGTGTGCAATTCCACAGATGTGTGTGTGATTCTGCAGACGTGTGTGCGATTCTGCAGACGTGTGTGCGATTCTGCAGATGTGTGTGCGATTCCGCAGATGTGTGTGTGATTCCGCAGATGTGTGTGTGATTCTGCAGATTGCGTCCTGTGTGGAATCTGGTTTGGGATCATTTCAGGTAGCACTGGGTGAGCAGGCCATCCCCACCTCCTTGTTTGGGAACTAAGGGCCAGCTTTGGCGAGGCAATTGATGAGCTCAAGGTCACAGGGCGAGTTGGAGGCGGCAGCCTGCAGGCTCCTAGCTCTGACTGCTGCAGTGTTCCCCTGGCGTGGCTATGCCTTAGCTCCTGCAGGCAGATGGATGCTCCTCCTCAGCTTCTAATCCAGTCCTCCCTGCTTTGCCAAGGCCCTCTTGACTCCAGTGTCTCTGCCCCCCATCACCTGTGGCCACCTGTCTCCATGTGCAACTGGATCCCCTCTCCTGAGCATCTCCTATGGAGAATGAGGGGGCGACAGACCTGGGGGAGCTGTCATCTGGTGACCACCTTCTCTCTCCCACCCCTCACCATCTCCTTCAGAACAGATCTCACAGAGCTGGGGCCATAGGGATGAAGCCATGCTCATCACAGAGTCCCGGGAGCCCAGGCCCGAGGGGCATCTGGTGAACACGGTGAGGTCACGGGCACGGGGCAAGGGGCCAGGGCTGGGCGGGGGATGATTTGGCCCCAGCGGCCATCCCGAGCCTGAATGGATGGAAGTCCTGGCGGAAACACCTGGTGGGGACGGAAATCCAGGACAACTTTTATTATCCCTGTTCACAGGTCCATTCAGACTATATTGGGGGCTTCCTATTTCCTCTGCTGGCACCTCACACTCATTCATAACAAGAAAGGCCATTGTGCTACTGAGTTATGGGCCCAGGAGCCCCATGGGGCGGGCATTAAACACATCAGCCCCAATACTTATTTTTAAAATCGTATTCCCTGCTGAGTTGCGATTCTTATTTTTTCCTCCTCCCACAAAGAAAACTTTATGGGTGGTTTTGTCCCAACTTTGAGGGTGAAAAATAAGTGAAGTCCTTTTCAGGCACCCTGTGGGATCCCGCTGATTGGGAGGGGAGCTCCCCACAGCTCCACTCCGATTCCAATCCTGGCTGTACCCGCATAGTCACTGCTTGGCGTGGAGTGAGGGATTTAACCCAATGTTCAGTCCGTAACTGTCAAATGAGGGAGTGAGCAAGATCTCTAGTGTCTCTTTCAGTTCCTAAATGCTATAATTACATGGAGCGTGCAGTGAAGAGTGAAATCTTCTGCTGGGATGTGGCCCGTGGAAAGGAGCTCCACTCAGAGAAAGCAAGGAACCAGGCCCGGTGGCTCTTGCCTGAAATCCCAGCACTTTGAGAGGCTGAGGCAGGCGGATCACTTGTGCCCAGGAGTTTGAGACCAGCCTGGGCAACATGGGGAGAACCTGTCTCTACAAAAAATAAAGTTAAAAGAATTAGGTACGCGCGGTGCTCTGCACCTGTAGACCCAGCTACTCAGGAGGCTGAGGTGGGAGGATTGCTTGAGCCCAGGAGTTTGAGGCTGCAAGTGAGCTATGATCACCCGCCTGTACTCCAGCCTGAGCAAAAGAGCAAGACCCTGTCTCAATACACACACACACACACACACACACACACACACACACACACACGGCAAGATGTGGCCACAAACCTGGTTGTTCATCTCCATGCAAGAGTCAGCCACAGCTCCAGGAATCACAGCTTCCAACACAGACCCTGGCCAGCACCCCATGATACTAGGAGACTGTCTCCAGGGGCGAGGGTGGCTTTCGGCAGAGGCTCCATTTTCAGGTCAGACCCTCAATAAAGAGGCATCCAGCCTTGGTAACCACCTACAGAGCAGTGGCTGGCACTCTGCTAGGGCTCCCTTCCAGGGCTGCTGCCTGCAGCTGCTCAGACTCTCCTCGCCACAAGGGAATTCCTGCACAACTGGGTCTTCCACCTGCCACAACTCGGTGTTGGTATAAGGCCCTATAATGGCTCCTCGAGTCACCGGGTCAGCTCCATAGCTCATGCAACTCATAGTCAAGCGCGGTATTCAGCTGAGCACCCAAGCAGAGCAGATATGCATTTGTTTGTCTTTGTGTTCGCTCCTAATATTACCTGTTAAAGGAAAAATTGTTTTGATGCGTGTTTAAAGGGTAAGGAAGGCTTTACTCAGGACTATCTGGGCAGGTTTCAAGACTGTCACAATAGAGGAGAGAGATTGGCCCAACTTGGAACGTAAGAATAAGTGGGGATTTATCACCAAAGAGCAGTTTAGGGGTTCAGTGGGTGGAAAATCACTAACGGGAGGTATGAACGGGTGGGGATTCTGGCAAAACCGACCTACCAGATTCTCGCTGAAGGCAGAGGCCAGGGTGACCAGACACCACAGAGGGAATGGGGCAGAGGAGGAAATAGACCCGCCGTCAAGGGTGACTAACGGGATTCTTAATTAAACAGAACTCTATAAGGACAGACAAGGAAGCCCAAGGAGGAGTCTGTGCTGAAAAGACAGCCCAGAGGAGCCTGTCTCATGTCTGACCACAGCAAGTGACTTAGTCCTGCCCCTGCCCAAACATGGGAAATGGATTTTCCAGGGAAAAACCATGCCTTTCTCTTCTGGGTCTTGATGATCCTGCAATTGATGAGTTCTCTCCTTTCTTTTCCTGGCAGGGAGAGGGTCCTGGCTTTGGGGGGAGTTGGGTCTGGATCCTGACTCAGTTGCCTTTGGATTCCGAGTCCATGATGGGAGAAGTGCTTTGGGAATGACGGGGAGAGCCCAGGGCTACCGGGTGCACCAGTTCCTCCCCCAGTGCAAGTAGCCTGCAGGAAGCTGGCTTTCTTCTTTTTCTTTCTTTCTTTTTTTTTTTTGGAGTCTTGCACTGTCTCCCAGGCTGGAGTGCAATGGCATGATCTTAGCTCACTGCAATCTCTGCCTTACAGGTTCAAGTGATTCTCCTGCTTCAGCCTCACAAGTAGCTGGGATTACAGGCACCCGCCACTATGCTCAGCTAATTTTTAGTAGAGACAGGGTTTCAATATGTTGACCAGGCTGGTCTCAAACTCCTGGCTTCAAGTGATCCACCTGCCTTGGCCTCCCAAAGTTCTGGGATTATAGGCATGAGCCACTGCTCCCAGCAAAGCTGTCATTTTTCTTTGTCTCTTTTTCTTCTTCCTTACTTAGCTGCTTGTAGCCAAGGGGAGGTGCCACATGGATTGTCAAGCCTGGGAGGAAAGGGCTGGGGTAGGACCTGTTCTCTGTGCAGAGACTCCTCGAACAGTGCCTGCAGGAGTGAGCCAATGAAGAGCAGACGGGATGGGGGCAGAGACACAGGGTGGGCAGGTCCCTGGGATGTGAGGCTTTGTGAGGTTGTGGGACCCTCGGCCCACTGTGGCTTCTGAGAAAGGTCCAGGTTCCCCTTGTCTGCCTTCTTAGCTCTGATCTTGGGTTTTGCTAGTTTGGCAGCCATTGGAAGTGAAAAATGGAAAAGACAAGACACTGATAACCCTAATTACTCCTAGTCCCAGACCTCAGTGGGTCAGATTAGAGCCAGCCTTGTGGTGGGACAGCTGGGCAAAGAGGCCTCTGTAGACCAGCTCTGCTCTCTGCGGTCCTGGGCTGTCTCCCTGCCCTCTTGGAAGGTCAAGGAAGCAAGGAGGGGCTGCCACATCTATCTCCAGTTGTGCTTCATGGTTTACTTACTTTGTCTCATCAACCACTGCGAAAGTCCTTTGATAGATTCCAACATCCCCATTTTACATCTAAGGACATTGGGGTTCAGGGAGGTTAACCTTGCCCTGAGTCACACAACTGCAAAGAGGCTGAGCCAGGATCCCCGCCCTGATCCCCACCCATGCTGCCAAACCAGGCAGTACTACCCGCTCTGCCACAGCGCCACTGTGAGAACCCCATGGGCGCATCTTTGTGTGGTGTGGAAGGGCTTCCTAGGATGATCTGTGTCTCTCCCAGTCAGAAGATTCTTCTTCTCTCAAATCCCGATCACCTCTGTCTCTTTAAAATGGGGGGCTTCCTGGAGAAAAGCAAACAGACCAGCAATGAACCAAAGGAAACCTCTGAAGAAGGAACGGGCCGTAGGGGAGAAGCACATGCCTCCATCTCTCTGGGGTGCAGACAGTGCTTGCTGTGCTGGCCCCACTCACAAGGAACCCTGCAGCCTGAACTGCAGACTCCTTATTCCTCCTGGGCCCAAGGGCCTTTCATCACCTCATCCAGAGCACTCAGCCACTCGTAGTGCATGAGGGTGCACACACACACATGCAAACCCACGCACGCACATGCATGCATGGGGACACATGCGCACACATGCACACACATGCATGTCCACACATACAGGCACACGTGCACACACACATGCATGCACATGCATGGCACACACATACATGACACACACATATGCACACACACACATGCACACACACACTACGGAGTAGAAGCCTAAATCTCAGGAGCCACTCAGGGACACCCAGGACACCACACAACTGCAAGGCAAGTGACTCGTGCTAAGTGGAGTTGTGGCTGCCATGAGGACAGAGGCAAGCGCTCCTCAGAGCCTTCAACACCCCTCAGAGAAGCTTCCTCAGGGCAAGTGAGCTGTACAGCAGTTACCAGGTGGACTCATGGGGACATGGGGTGTGTCGGGGGCAGGTGGGAGGTAGAAATCCCCAGGAAGAAGGAGCTAGTTCCAGAGAGGGGAGCCCCAACAGCTCATGGATTTTCTGAGCTGGAGCCAGGTGGGCCAGAAGACAGGAGGTGAGAGGGATCAGTGAGGGATGAATCGGATTTAAATGCACGGGCACTAGTAATGGGGGAGTGGGAAGAGTGGGGTGGGGGCGCTGAACAGTCCTCAAAGACTGCCTCTGAGTTCGGAGGAGCCCTCGGCCCCCCTGGCCTCCCCTTCTTTCACAGGTTTGACCTGGGGGGCTCCTTGACAGGGCAGCTGGGCTCCAGTTGAACATGAGTGTGGGAGGGGACTCCCTGGGTTCTAGTTTTAGCTCGGTCCAGGCTCCCTGGGTGGCCTGGGGTGGTCCCAGGGTGAGCTGAGCCCCAGCTTCCTAGCCCCGTCTCAGTGGTCTCCAGACACCCTCTGGCTCCTAAATGCCACTGCTCTGCTTCTCGGGGTGGGAGTTTACTGCCTTCCCGGGGTTGTATGTCCACCTCCAGCATAGGGGAGCATCCTTTATTGACAGGATCTAGGCTTCCAGGAGTTTCCACCCTGGTTCTAGTGTCTGCCCTTGAGTTACTCAGAGTAAATGTGCCCCTCTGCTCCATGGCAGCCCCTGATAGATCAGGAACCCCCATCCGCCACCGCCCCACCGGCATCACGGTGCCGTGGTCTTCTCCAGGCCTGGCCTCTGGAGTCCACTTGACTCCTTTGCCTTCCATGGAACTTCCAGGCCTTTCCAGGGCCTTCTCTCCCCTCTGCCTGGTTGGTCAATATTCCTTTGAAGATGTGCGTGTCTCATCAGCTTGTGTCCCTGTGGCTGCAGAGAGTTGGCCCTTTCTCAGGACAGCCTCAATTTCTAAGATGCCACCCTCTTCCCCTCCTGCCTCTCCCGTGTGCCACCAATCACCCAAACTGTTCTTTGCCCAGGCCCTTCCTGGAACCCCGTGTCACTGTCCCCAACCAATACCGGGAAGATGGGGCCGGGGTCTAGGCTGGCTGCACCTGTTGTTAGAGGAGCCCCATTCCTTCTCTTGCTCTTTGAAGGGTTAACAGAACCTCGAGACCAGAAGGCCAGGGTAGGAAGCTGGCTCCGGGGCAAAGAGAAACCCCCTGAGATCTGACTTTCTTATCCAGGCCACAATGCTGAAAGTGAGCCAGTGGGGGAAGGGCCACAGCCAAAACCCAGCCACCCCAAGCAAAATTCTCAATGGGCTGCTCCACAGTGTGCAAAGTTTGGTGGGGGTGGGGGCCAGCCTGTTGACAAGTAGCAAGGTCACGGCCCCCGTTAGCACTGTAAACAGGGGCGCACAATGCCCTCCCTTCCTCCGGAGAGGCAGCTCCTCTCCGGGCCGGTCCCCTGGGTCCAGGCCTCCCTGTCCCCCATCCTTGCGGGAGTCTGACACTGAAAAGCCGCTGCTGCTTCCTCAAGGAAAAGCGAGCCTTTTGTGAGCTCTCGCTTCCTCCTTCTGTGGGAACCACTCCTGGGCCTATGAACATCTGCCTGGGGCGTCTTTCTCAGAGGCCCGAGGTGGGAAAAGAGGAGGGGTGCTGATTGCCAGGGAGGGGGCTGCAACCCGCAGGCCTGGGATTGTCATCACCAGGCTGGGGAAGAGAACAATGGGGGACCCCCAGCCCCCCCTGGCTTGGCTTCCCTCTTCCCACAAGCCTGCTCTTTTGTGCTTAGAGGGAGGCCGGGGGAATTCTTTTGTTTGCTTTTGTTTCCCTTGTTTTGTTTTGTTTTTGTTTGGCATTTGGCTCGCCCCCCAAGGTAGGGGGTCGGGCGTGCAGAGGGGGTGGCCCAGGCAGAGGGGCAGCGATGGGGTTGGTGGGAAATCCCACAGCTCCTCTGGGAGGAAATGTTTTGGGGGCTTCACGAGGTGAGGAGAGTCAGATGCTGGGAGTCAGTGCCAGATGTTTCACTGCTGGGCAGACCCGGCCTCCGAGGCGTGTGCTCTCATCTGGGTAGCTCATGGAG
This sequence comes from Homo sapiens, assembly GCF_000001405.40. Taxonomy (NCBI): domain Eukaryota; kingdom Metazoa; phylum Chordata; class Mammalia; order Primates; family Hominidae; genus Homo; species Homo sapiens. The sequence continues at coordinate 10,563,622 of NC_000008.11, read as the reverse complement.
ACCCTAGGCAAGTGCAGCACGGGTGACAGGTGCCCCATGGTCATCCGAAGGGCCACTGGAGGTGTGGCCTAGAGCTGTCTCTGGAGGGGAAGCTGGAAGCAGCTCAGACTCAGGGACTCCGATCCTTGCTTTCAGGCTGCATTCCAGGAAATGTGTCCAAGGAAGTCCTGCCCATGCTCCCAGGGTGGCTGTCCCAGGGGTTCACCTTGCCCGCTGGCTGGACAGAGCTGATTTATCAAGACAGGAGAATTGCAAGGTAGAAATAGTAACTCACGCAGAGCCAGCTGTGTGGGGGATCGGAGTTTTATTATTACTTTCTTGAAGAAGAGAGTCAAACTCTGTAAAATATTTGAAGAGATTTATTCTGAGCCAAATATGAGTGACCGTGGCCTGTGACCCAGCCCTCAGGAGGTTCTGAGAACATATGCCCAAGGTGGTCGGGGCACAGCTTGGTTTTATATATTTTAGGGAGGCACGAGACATCAATCAAATATGTTTAAGAAATACTTTGGTTTGCTTCAGGAAGGCGGGGCAATTCAAAGCTGGGGGCTTCCAGGCTATAGATAAATGTCAACATTTTCTGGTTGATAACTGGTTATCTGAGGATCTGAGACCAACGGAAAGGAATGCTTAGGTTGACGGAAAGGATTGTGGAGACCACGTTTTATTGTGCAGAGGAACCTTTCAGGTTGCAGACTTCAGAGACAGAGCAGGTTGTAAAATGTTTCTTATTAGACCTAAAAGGGTGCCTGGCTCTTAGTCAATTATCTACTGGATCTGGAAAGAAAGGAGGGAAGACAAAGGGGGAAGGGGATTCTCTATAGAATGTGGATTTTTCCCACAAAAGACTTTGCAGGGCAATTTCAAGGTACGAAAAGAAATATATTTTGGGGTTAAATATATTTTCCTTGTCTCATAATGTTATGCCGGAATCAGACTGAAAAGTAAGTCACAATATATCGTGTCAAATAAAACGCATCTGATGAGAATGTATGGTTTGTAGGGCCTGACTCCCTAGCCCCCTTAGGTAGGAATTTGGCTAAGATAAAAAATCAGAGCTTAGTCCTCAACTTAAATCATTCTCCCCAAGCATTCAGGGATTTGCGTTTTTAAGGATAATTTGGTGGATAGGAGCTCAGAAGAGGGGAGTGCTGATTGGTCATGTTGGAGATGGAATCAGAGGGGGTCCGAAGTGAGTTTTTCTTGCTGTCTTCTGTTCCTGGGTGGGACGGCAGGACTGGTTGAGCCAGATTACCGGTCTTGGTGGAGTGCAGGGTCTGCGAAATACCTCCAGCACTGATCTTAGGTTTTACGATAGTGATGTTATCCCCAGGAGAAATTTGGGGAGGTTCAGACTCTTGGAGTCAGAGGCTGCATGACCCCTGAACTGTAATTTCCAATCTTGTAGCTACTTCGTTAGTCCTGCAAAGGCAGACTGGTCCCCAGACAAGAAGGGGGTCTCTTTGGGAAAGGGCTGTTATCAGTTTTGTTTCACAGTCAAATCATGAACTGAATTCCTTCCTAAAGTTAGTTTGGCCTCTGCCCAGAAGTGAACAAGGACAGCTTAAAGGTTACAAGCAAGATGGTGTCGGTTAGGTCTGATTTCTTTCACTTTCGTGAGCTCTCACAAGTTATAACTTCCTCAGTTATAATTTTGCAAAGGCGGTTTCACCAGCTACAAATGCTATTTGCTCCTCATGGCTGCAAAAGACATGGAACACACATCCCAGAACACCCAAGGGTGCCCAGAGAAGTCACACCTCTTGGGAAAGAAACTGCCTTGACTTCGATTCTTTGCAAGCTCTAGCATGAGGCTCAGGGCACAGGAACACTGGGCTATGGCAAAAGAGCACTGTTCTGCAGAAAAACCCCTCAGCCTCCAAGACACAGTGCCAGCAGTCAGAAAAACAATTGCCCCCAGTCACAGAGCTCAGCCAGACGCCCCAGTCAGCTGCATTTTAGGCCAGTTTGCTACCCCTGAGACCTGTGTAGATGTCAGTGTGGACACTGACATTCTCTTGAGCTCACACCCGAGTGGCCCACACATAAGTACATTAAGAAGACAGAGGAAACGGCCCACTTCAGTAGCTGGGAGATGATTCAGAAAGATTTCCCAGGAACTATCCCTGAAAACAACTGAGTACCTTGTGTTCTGTGTGGATGAAATGAAGACCTCAGCTTCATCAGCTGACGTTCCTGCCACATCTGGGATGCCCCAGTTTGGCTTCCAGAGCAGCAATGCTCAGCCCTGACTACACAAGAGAGTCATAGGAGAGTTAAAACAACAACAACAACAAAACCCATCTCTACAGAGAGAAAGAGAGAGAAATTAGCAGGGCACAGTGATGCAACCATGGTCCCAGCTACTTGGGAAGCTAAGGGGGAGGATTGCTTGAGTCCAGGAATTCGAGGCTGCAGTGAGCTATGATTACACAACTACACTCCAGCCTGAGAGACAGAGCGAGACATTGTCTCAAAACATGCCCCCCAAAACCAAAAAGCAACAACATCAACATAGGCATGTGTTGTAGACAAGAGTTAGGCTGTATCTTATAAAACTGAAATGCAATTATCACAGAAGCTAGCATTTGCGCTCTTGGGCATTTATTCTAGAGAAATGAAAAGTTATGTTCACATGAAAACCTGTACCTGAACGTTCATGGCAGCTTTCTTTGGGACAGCCCCAAACTGGAAACAATCTGGATGTTCCTTCATGGGTGAGGGTGAAACAAACTGTGCTCCGTCCATGCCAGGGAGGTTTGCTCAGCAGCAAAGACGATGAACTCTCGTTGCGCATGACAACTTGGGAGGATCTCAAGGGAATGATGCTGATTGAAAGAAGCCAGTCTCAAAAATGTTCTTGGAGAATGTGTGATTCCATCTAAATAACATTCTTGAAATATCAACATTAGAGACGCAGAACATGAGTGGCTGTTCAGGGTTAGGAATGGGGATGGAGCCTGAGGGGTAATGAGGGATGTCATTGACCTGTGGTCATAAAGCAGTTTTGGCTGTTGTCACTTGTGATGGTCACATGAATCTGCACACATGAGGAAATTGCACAGAATGATACACACCCACACCCACAGGCATGTAAACCAGTGAAATCTGAAGAAGTTAGGCTGGGTGTGATGGTGTATGCCTGTAGTCCCAGCTACTTGGGGGCTGAGACAGGAGGATCACTTGAGCCCAAGAGGTTGAAGCTGCAGTGAGCCATGTTCCCAACAGTGCACTCCAGGCTAGGTGGCCAAATGAGAACTTGTATCAAAAAGAAAAAGAAAAAAGAGAAAAAGAAATATGAAGAGGTTCTGTGGATGGTACCCAGGTCGCCCTCGTGGTTTTGACGCCATCCTGGAGTTCTGCACAGCGTTACCATTGGAGTTGAGGAAAAGACATACAAGCCTGCTGTTCATTGTTTCGCAAATTTCTTTGCATCCATAATTGCTTCCAAATAAAAAGTAAAAACCAAAACCTCAAACAAAGCATTCTAGCCTTCATCCCTTCCTGCTGTTGCGTCCGATTCTTGTCAAGTACACCCATTGAACAAGGCCAAAGCCTCGCATATGAGCCACTGTTAGAGCCTTTTATTACACACAGAGACGGAGAAAAGAGTTAGGCCAAAGGTGCCGTCTCCCCCGGAGCCTCGTCCCACACACTGGAAACCCTGACCAGGACACCACCAAGACAATGGGCTGGATGGCTGGGATAGGAGCTATGGGACACCCCATTGCTAGGGAGCTGGTTCTAGACTGCAGCAGAGTGGTTTTGTATCCTGCACCTTCACTCTAAGCACTGAAAGTGTGGGAGAAGACCTTTACTTCATTAGCCCTGAGGAGAAGGGAGGGGAGGTGGGGGTGGCTCCGGAGCAGCTCGTCATGGGCTCCCATCCTCTTGCGTTCTGGGGAATCACAAACTGTTCTGCCAAGATCCAGATAGGCAGTACTTTGATGGAGCCTGTGTGGATCCACACAAGGTTGTCCGGGCACCACGGCAGAGCAATACCCATAGAACTCTGTTGGAGTGGGCCCTGGCATCAGTATTTGTAAAAGCCTCCCCTCTAATTCTGCTGGGAAGCTGGGCTTGAGATGTCCTGTCTAGCCTGGCAGTAGGAGGAGCCAGAAACCTGCTTTTGGCTTATGCCTGCAGCGTGGCCCCAGGCAAGTCAGCATCCTGCTCCACTTTGGTTCCTCACCTGCAAAAGTGCGGGCCTGGCCAGCCTGAAAGGGAAAGCCACTGGGCGTAGGATTTGGAACTTGCTCCTTGGCCACTCTGGCACCTGCTGCTATGAGCTGCAGCACAGCCTCCCTGTTGATAGAGAAATGGTCAGGACATGCAAAAGCCACAATCATCAACTATAGGCCCCAATGAGGCTTTTTCCTGGCCATAAGCAGGACAGTGAGAAAGGCTGGAGAAAGAGTGCACCTGCTATCATATGCCACAGCTGCATGCTGTGTCTAGAGCTTTCTAGAGCAACTCCTCCCTCAGACTGGGAGAGTCTTTTGCACATTCCCATACATGCGTCTAAGAGGGGAATATGATGGTTTTCACCTACATATAAAAATACATTAGAACAATGTCCTAGATCCTAGCTTATTAGCTTTCTCATTCATTCAGGTAATCCACGTGTCCATTCAATCCCTCATTCATTCAGTCCACGCACACTAAAATATGACTCATCATCACCGAGCTCTGCTTATATCAGGTTTCAACTTCTCACTTGGGATTTCATGTTCAGGCTGGAACTCTGGGGCCTCTAGAAAAGTCCCAGCTCCTTGAGTGACAGAAGCAAATAAAAAGAAAGAAAAGAAAGCCCCAGCTCCTTGCTATTAGATCAGGGCTTGAAATATAATGAAGTAACCAGGATAAAGACAAGGCTAGGGGCTTGGGGAAGAAGCAGGGAGTGGGCTTGGGGTACCTAGGAAGAAAAGGGCTGGTGCATGTGCTGGTAGCCAAATTATTGGTGCTTGGCTGGAGCAATCACACCTGCATGGCTGTGTCAAATGTCTGCATCTGTCTGCATCATTCGTGGCATGTTCACAAATGTTATGTGGACATGGGCGTCCAGGTGATGAAGGTTTAAGGAAGGCCCCTTTCACCAGATGGAACAGTAGCTTATACTGCAGAACTTTCCAGAAACTTTACTGTGCTAACACAGTGAATCTCCAGTATGAAGATGGAGATGCAACCAGGAGTTTCCCAAACATGCATCGATAAGGTTTGGATCTGTGTCCCTGCCCAAATCCCATGTCAAATTGTAATCCCCAGTGTTGAAGGTGAGGTCTGGTGGGAGGTGATTGGATCATAGGGGTGGAAACTTCATGAATGGTTAAGCACCATCACCTTGGTGCTGTCTTGTGATAGAGTTCTCAGGAGATCTCATTATTTAAAAGTATGCGCCACCTCCCCGCTCCTGCTCTTTCTTGGTCCTGCTCCGGGCATATGAGATGTGCCTGCTTCCCCTTTGCCTTCTGCCATGATTCTAAGTTTCCTAAGGCCTCCCCAGAAGCAGAAGCCACTCTGCTTCCTGTACAGCCTGCAGAGCCATGAGCCAATGAAAGCTATTTTCTTTATAAATTACCCAGTCTCAGGTATTTCTTTATAGCAGTGACAGAATGGATGAACACAGCCATGAACACGAAGCATCTCATGGGACCCTTGGAAGTGTTACCTGAGGGCAATGACAAGATCTGTTGGAAGGGATGGCTGACTCTGGGTCCCCGGAGAGGCCAGGCTCATGCCAAGAGCCAGGCAGCCAGGTCAAGGGTGGGGACAGGAGGAAAAGGAGTCAGCTGGGATGGCAAGTGTGTGAGCTGGGAGGTTTTTGTAGGATTTGGGACTAGGAGTGACCTGAAAGTGACAGGAACACATTCTGTCGACTCTAGAGGAAGAGGCAGCTGCTTCTCCCTGGGTTCTGAAGGACTTGGGGCAACCCAACTTAGAGTGAAGGCCGACTCTAGAGAGCAGGAAGAAGAAGCCAGATATCTCATCTGCAGGGAACAAAGATCCTGGCAAGAGAAGGAGCAGCCCTGGGGGGTTGCAGAGGCTTCTGTAACAGAGGCTTCTTCTAGACTCACAGCCCAGGCAGGACGGGGCCTGGTTTTCTAGTCTGAACCAGAACCTTCCCTCCCGTGGTTAAACCATCAGCTTAGCAGTCATAAGAAACCATAACTGGGGGAGCTGTTGGTAGAAGTCTCAGAATCCAAAGGCCCACGAATCAGGATCTCCAATGTTCAAGGGTAAGAGAAGATGGATGTCCCAGCTTGAGAAGAGAGAGAACGAATGTACCCTTCCTCTGTCTTTTTGTTCTATCTGGGTCCTCAGTGGATTTGGTGATGCCCACCTACACGGGAGAAGGAGGATCTTTCTTACTCAGTCTTCATATTCAAATACTCATCTCTTCTGGAAACAGCCTTGCAGATACACCCAGAAATAATGCGTTCCCAGCTATCTAGGCATCACTTAGCCTAGTCAAGCTGATACATGAAATTAACCATCACACCCTCTTTCAGCCTCTGAGATCCAGCATGTCCTCTCTTGCTACAAGGGTGTTGAGCACATTGTCCCCTTTGCCTGGAATGCTCTTTCCTTCATTGTTCTCCTACTTGTCACTTCCTATTTTGGTTTTAAAACTGAGTACTTCCATCTTTCTAAGAACAAGAGAATGAGTTTATTATTTGTTTTCTTCTTTTCTCTTTCCTGCTTTTCCTCTGCTCCCCACTTCCTACTTAACTCTTTAGAAGTGCAGTTATAGCCTTTTACCTCCACTTCACCAGGTACTGTCTACAGGGCAAGTTCAGCTAACTAGGTGCTTAGTAGCTCCAGCGTGGAACTCTCTGTCACCTTGAGAGAGAGCAATCCATCTACAACTCAAAGTATCCCCAACATGAAACTCTCTCCCACCTGGAGATTGCCTCAAGACAGCAGTCTATCCACAACTCAAAGTATGGCCAACATGAAACTCTCCCACCTTGAGATGTTCAATCACTTTTACAACTTAGTTCTGCCCGTGAAGGTGCCAACTGGACCACCTAGTAGATAAAGCACCAAAGTGAGTTACACAGACCCCTACCTGCCTGCTTCCTCCACTGCATGCCATTTATGTCAATTTTCCTTTTTTTTTTCAAGACAGAGTTTCGCTTCTGTTGCCCAGGCTGGAGTGCAATGGTGCGATCTCTTCTCACTGCAACCTCCGCTTCCCAGGTTCAAGCGATTCTCCTGCCTCAGCCTCCCAAGTAGCTGGGATTACGGGCAGGCACCACCATGCCAGGCTATTTTTCTCGTATTTTTAGTAGAGATGGGGTTTTGCCATGTTGGCCAGGCTAGTCTTGAACTCCTGACCTCAGGTCATCCACCTGCCTCAGCCACCCAAAGTGCTGGGATTACAGGCATGAGCCACTGTGCCCAACATGTCAATTTTCCTTTTAAAAGCACCTGCTTTCTGTTCCAAAAGGGAAGCAGCACCCTTAAGGCAGAAAGCCTGTACTTCTTCCCCTAAGCTAGCTCTGTCATAAAAAGTCACTTTCTTTATACTCTTGTTAATGAAACTCTGCCAGCAAAGAACAACCGAGCCTGTGTTTTGGTTACAGTTTCAATGCCATGTTCACAGGAAGACTTCTAGGAGACTGTCCAGAAACCAACTCCTCCTCTCATCTTTGTTTTCTTTCTGCAAAGTCATGTTGACAAAAGGAGACAAACTAAAATATTTGAAGAGATTTATTCTGAGCCAAATATGGGTGACCATGGCAGATGGCACAGCCTAGGAGATCCTGAGAACATGTGCCCAAGGTGGTCGGGCTACAGCTTGGTTTTATACATTTTAGGGAGACAGAAGACATCAATCAATACATATAAGATGTAAATTGGTTGGTCATGGGGCTTCCAGGTCATAGGTGGATTCAAAGATTTTCTAATTGGCAATTGGTTGAAATAATTAAATTGTTATCTAAGGACCTGGAATCAATAGAAGGGAGTGTCTGGATTATGATAAGGGGTTGTGGAGACCAAGGTTTTTATTATGTAGATGAAGCCTCCAGGTAGCAGGCTTCCGAGAGAATAGATTGTAAATGTTTCTTATCAGACTTAAGAAGAGGCCAGACTCTCAGTTAATTCTCTCCTGGATCAGAGAAAGATCTGGAAAGGGAAGAAAATTATAGAATGTTGATCTTCCTCACAAGAGACAGCTTTGTGAGACCATTTCAAAATATGTCAAAGAAATACACTTTAGGGTAAAAAGCTTCAATTTCTTTCAGGGCCTGCTATCTGTCATGTTGGTATCTTATTGCTACAAAGAGTCTGTTTCCTCAGTCTTAATGCCTCTGTTTTCATGTGAATGCTGGCCAGCTGTGCCTGAATTCCAAAGGGAGGAGGGCATAACGAGGCATGCCTGATCCCCTCTTCCCATCATGCCCCGAACTAGTGTTTCAGGTTAACTTTGGAATGCCCTTGGCCAAAAGGAGGGGGTCCATTCAGTTGGTTGGGGGGCTTAGAATTTTTGATTTGCATTCATGATCATTGCAGATGCAAGTTACATATATTTGTGTAGTGATTTCATAGATGCCAGGCTTCCCCATACTGTATATGCTCCACGGAGCAATGCCTGTTCCTTTTTGCTCACTGCTCCATTCCCAGCCCCACGCCCATGGATGGCTTCTCAGGAGGCATCTGTTAAATGGTTGTGAGACAAATGGAGGACGTCAGGACAAACAATAGGGGCAGGTTGGTGGGGCTAAGCATTCAGAGTGAAAGGGATTATAATTAAAACTTGTCTCACCATTGGATCCTTTACAAAATAATTGTTGGGTTATTTTCTTGGTGATGCAGTGATCCATATTGATTTTAGAAAATGCATGCATCTTGGCTGGGGGATCTGGAAGTCTGGAGGGTGGCCACAGGAGCAAAGACCGTGCAGTGCAGGCAGAAGAAGTCCTTGGAGCCCTGTTCCCTAGCTTAGGAGACCACATGCCCCAAACCTGGCTGGCCACCAGGGCTTGCTCTTTTCCTGGGTGGTTCTCAGCAATTTCATGGAGGATGACCCAGAAGGCAGGAAGTCTACTGCCAGTTCCTGTGTGCCCTAGGGCAAGCTATCTAAACCCTTTTATGTCCCATTTTCTTAATCAGTCAATAGGTATAAATAGTAGGGCCTACTTCATTTGGCCATATTGAGGATTAAGTGAGATTTTACATACAGTGCTTAATAGTACACATAAAAAGTGTTAAATAAGTATCATTATGAAATCAGTCATCATTCAAAGGTCCATCAAAGCAAGCAGACTCCTGGCCTCCTCTCTTGCCATGAAATAAAACCAGTAGTCACAATCATGATGAGGCCTAATCCTCCTACCAAGGCAACTTGTTCTCTTTGCTAGTAATTGCCTGGATTTTCATTATTACACAAGAAAAGGGAACCCTTTAGCAATAATTTGAGGCTACTCCCATCACAAAGCATAAGCATCATGAAAATGGGGAGGCTTTTATTCATTTTTTCAGTCATTTGGACAGAAAACACCCTCAAAGATTTTCAACTCAAGGCTATGCCCAAGGGTATGTTTTCTGCCCCAAAAATGGCTCCATGTAGAAGAAAGAGCAAAGCATCAGTTTTGCAGATGAAAGGTGTGAGACCCAGGCGGCTTTGTTTGAGAGCTTCCGGTGTTCATTCTTTGTAAAGTGGGAAAATAGCTTTGCTTTAAAAAAAAAATTAAATTGACAAATTAAAAAAATTTTATGTATTTATTGTACAATGTGGTGCTTTGATTTATGTATACATTGTGAAATGGTTACTCCAATTAAACTAATTAACATATCCATCACCTTACATATTGCTTTTTCATGATGAGAACATTCAAGATCTCTTCTCTTAGCAATTTTCCGGTCTATAATACATTATTACTGTATTAACAATAGTAACCATGCTGTGCAATAGATCTTCAAAATTTATTTCTCCTGTCTAACTGAAATTTTGTGCCCTTTGACCATTTCCCCCTCCGGGTCTCATAACCACCATTCTACTCTGCGATTCTATGAGTTCACATTTTTTAGATTCCATATGTAAGTGAGATAATGCAGTATTTGTGTTTCTGGGCCTGGTTTAATTCACTTAGTCTAATGTCCTCTAGGTTCATCTGTGTCATTGTCAATGACAGAATTTCCTTCTTGTTTAAGGCTGAGTAGTATTTTATTGTGTACATATATATCACATTCTCTTTATCATTCATCTGTTGATGGACACATAGGTTGTTTCTATGTTGTATTAGTCCATTCTCACACTGCCATAAAGACATACCCAAAACTAGGTAATTTATTAAAAAAAGAGGTTTAATTAACTCACAGTTCCACATGACTGGAGAGGCCTCAGGAAACTTACGATCATGGCAGAAGATGAGAGTGAAGCAAAGGCATGTCTTACATGGCAGCAGGTGAGAGAGAGAGCCAGCAAAGGGGGAGGAGCCCCTTATGAAACCATCAGATCTCGTGAGAACTCACTCACTATCATGAGAATAGCATATGGAAAACTGCCCTCATGATCCGATCACTTCCCACCAGGTCCCACCCTCTACAGTTGAGAATTATGGGGATTACACTTCAAAATGAGATTTGGGTGGGGACACAGAACTAAACCACATCTCATGTCTTGGCTATTATGAATAATACAAGCATGAGAGTGCAAATATATTTTCAACATACTGATTTCATTTCCTTTGAATAGATACCCCGAAGTGGGATTGCAGGATGATATGGTAGTTCTATTTTTAGTTTTTGAGAAGCCTCCATAGTGTTCCCCATTTTGGTTGTATTAATTTACATTCCTACCAATGGAGTACAAACATTCCCCTTTCTCCACACCCTCACCAACACTCACTATCTTTTGTCTTTTTGACAACAGCCATTCTAACAGGTGTGAGGTCATGTGTCTTTGTGGTATTAATTTGCATTTCCTTGATGATTAGTGATGTTGAGAAGTTTTTCATTTAGCCACTTATGTGTCTTCTTTTGAGAAATGTCTATTCGGGTCCTTTGCCCATTTTTAAATTGGGTTATTTGTTTTCTTACTACTGAGTTGTTTGGGTTTTTTGTATATTTTGGGGATTAACCCCTTAAAAGATGCATGGTTTGCAAATGTTTTCTCCCATTCCAAAGGTTGTCTCTTTACTCTGCTAATTGTCTCCTTGGCTGTGTAGAAGCTTCTTAGTTTAGTGCAACCCCATTTGTCTGATTTTTTGCTTTTGCTGTCTGTGCTTTTGGGGTCATATCTAAGCTTTGCTTTTTCAACCCGGTGCTCGGTAGATTAAAGTAGGAAGATGTTTCCTGGAGGCCTCCAGCCATCCGTAGCTTTGCCATGATTAACACTCCCATGATTTCACTCTCTCAAAGAATGGGATTCTTTAAAAGTTCCAATCTTGAGGGCATCAGTAAGTTAGAAACGGGCTCTCTGCTTTCAGTCAAATGGATCCCAGCGTTTGTTCTAAGAGAAAGATGAGGAGGTTCCTCATAACCAGTAGCTTCCAGTATTCTTTATTCTAAGCATGAAGACATTTCCCTTTGCACAGAGCACATGAAGGCTTACTGAGGCAAGGCAGGAAACGGTGCCCTTTCCCCAGTAACTTCCGGCACGTTCTGCCGTGCATCTCCACACCCGGCTGCTCTGTAGAGCTATTAGCCAAACGGGCAATGTTTCTGTCGTTTAACTGCCTCTTTGGGCAGGAACATTTGAAAGCAGGGATTTTGCAAAGGTTCTGCTTTTGGAAGAATTTGTTGGTTCCTATTAAATGGGCAGATGGAAAGCACAGGGAATCTGGAGGTGCTTTGCAGTGAGGACAGCACGGGGCTTGACACAGGAGAGGGAGGAGTGCGATTTTTTGTGCCCCCACTAAAAGGATGGGGTGGGAGCTTCTCCCCATCACCAAGTGCTCTCAGAGCCCGTGCAGATGGAGAGACATGGTTCCAATGTTCTCAGCTGTTCCCTTCAGCCGCTGTCATTGGCACATCGGTCAGCGTTGCCAGGGTTAGGAGGTGAAGCCCCTCTGTGGGGTGCCCCTACCTCGCACAAGATGACCTTGCAGGACATGCAGTCACAGGGAAGCTGGTCCTCGATCTGCTGGGATTTGTGTCCTCAGTTCATGCCTCCACCTGTGCTGCACGTCACAGCCTGCAATGCTGCCGGTTACCCTGCCGTCCCCACCAGAGGTCGAGCTCCCTAAGACAGCCACCGGGCACTGCCTGTCTTTGTGTTTCCCAGCACAAAGAAAAGAACTGAACACTTATTCTGATTCAATAACAGGAAGAATAAGTGAATGAATGAATGAGTGAGTGAGGGCATTTTAAAGCCAAGGGTGTTTCTGCCTCACAAGCTCATTGTCTTAGAAGAAAAGAAGGCAAATAAGGAGATCAGTAAGAAGTCCTGTGTGCCCGATTGCTTCCTGTGCCTTTCAACCTTCAGCCATGAAGCACGACCTTTATTGCTTGTTGAGCACAGACAGCTTTTAAAGGATATCCTTCCACTGCCCTCTCAGAAGGAAGGGGTCTTGGAAAGTGCTCAAAGCTCATCACTTGCAGGACCTTCTGAGTATGCTATGAATAAGAAGATAGTAAGAGAAGGTGGCGGCAACAGGGGATTTCAAAATGTACTGGAAGCCTGGGTCCATGTCAGCTGTTGGGGCAGAAGAATGTTTTAGTGGGAGTAATTGATTTATTCAGTGTCATCTGAATGTGAAAGAAGACAGGATAGCTGAGCAAGCAATCCTCCCTCCAGCTTTCCATGCACTCCTACAGATGTGTTTGTGCTCACGCACACACACGTGCACACACACGCATGCACACACACACCTGCCATGTCTTTTGCATGTACATCAGGTGATTAACACAGGTATCGAATGGAAAGCGACATCTTCAGGAGAAGCTGATACAGTAAAAACCAAGGTAACACATCGCAGGGTAACACAGTTATCATCAAGCATTGTCTCGGGGCAGGCAGGCAGGAGAGAGGAAGGCTGGTTGGGAAACTTCAGGCAATCGGTCTCAGAAGTGGGGAGGCAGAGATTGGGTCCCTGTGCTCCAATTTTCTCCAGTCAACTCAACAAAACGGCATCAGCTGGGAGTGTGCTGGAGTTTGTATCTGTCTTGGAAGTCCCATCAAGGGTCCCAGAAATTCTTGTTGTTTAAGGCACAGCAGCCAACTGCCACCAGATGATGCTACACCAGAGCCAGGACTAGTACAGGCTTATGAGGCCAGGGACGTGAGGCCAGGCTGCTGACTCCATAGGCTCGGCCCCTTCCTTCATTGACTTGGCCATAACCAGCCTTGCATTTCAGGAGCTGGGAGTTCTAGACCCCCACTTCTGTGTTATGGGGCTCCCTAGGTAATTCTCTGTGGATAGTGATGACTTGGATAGCTAAAATGCCCTGTGGGCCGGGCGCAATGGCTCACAGCTGTAATCCCAGCACTTTGGGAAGCCGAGGTGGGTGGATCACCTGAAATCAGGAGTTCAAGACCAATCAGCCTGGCCAACATGGAGAAACCCCGTCTCCACTAAAAATACAAAAATTAGCAGGGCATGGTGGCGCGCACCTGTAGTTCAGCTACTTGGGAGGCTGAGGCAGGAGAATCGATGGAACCTGGGAGGCGGAGGCTGCAGTGAGCTGAGATCACAGCACGGCACTCCAGCCTGAGCAATAGACTGAGACTGTCTCAAAAATTAAAAATAAAAGATAAAAATGACTTATGGGTTATCAGTGCTTCTCTATGCATCATTTCACTACAGAAAGACTGAGAGCCAGGCCGGGAACAGGGCCTTACCACCACCTTGCAGATAAGAAAATTGCAGTTTAGAGAAATGACAGAGCGGGGAGCTGCTGGCTGTGCCTGTGCTGTTTCATGGTCCCAAGCACTCCGTCTTTCTCCAAAGTCAGGGGGAGAGACACAGCTGAAAAGGGGCACTGAGCGTTGGAACCGACGTCAGGAAGCCCCTGCCTGGTACCCTAACATGGCCACTGAACAGCAGGTGGGCTGAGCTCCTGGGGCCTTGTTTCGCATCTTAGAACCAGGGTCTTTTCTTGATGATCTGTGGGGTCTCATCACTGTCACATTTAGCAGGGCTTGGTGAGCCCCTGTGTGACCCCCAGTGTGCTGGACACAGGCTGTACGTGGGCTTAGCCCCGTACCCAGCCCACATCCCAACATGCCGATGCCATCATCCACCCTCTGAAATGCCATCAACTTGGGCCATCCCTACAGGCCACCCCTCCTAGGCTCTTACAACCATCTCCCACCGGGGCACTGGCTCTGCAGCTGTCCCCTCACTCCCACTTCCCACACCAGAGTTTCTGGGATTGGATTACATCACTCTTGCTCAAGCCTCTTCAGTGGCTCTCCGCGGCCATGGCCGCTGCAGGGACCTTTCAGAGGCCTAAAGGACAGGACCCAGCTCCATCCTTCATCTGCCCCCGCCTCCATCCTAGCACTTATTATGATGAGGTGACTATCCGTTTACATCCATCTCCCCCTCTAGACCAGGGTAAGCGAATGTTTTCTGTCAAGGGTCAGGTAGTAAATGCTCCAGGCTCCAGGGGCCACCTAGCCTTGGTTGCATCTATTGAGCTTATGCCTGTATATACAGCAGCACCCACAGACGAGATGCCAGGGAAGAGGCGTGGCTGCGTTCCGATAAGACACACAGTGGGCTTGATCCAACCCCAGCCTCAGTCGGACCCCTGCTTTTGACTTTGATCTCTGGGGCTGGCCATTCCTAGTCTGTCTCCCCCACCACCAGGTCCCCAGCACAGTGCCTGACACACGGGAGATGCTTTAATAAAAGGCTTTTGAGTGGATGTGTGACCAGGAGGGCTGCCTGGAGGGGGGCACGGGAGCCCTGTGGCTGCCCTGCGGATCCAAGTCTGAGGCTTTGGAGCCGTGGGTGCCTCATGCTGCCGGGTCCCACCTTGTGCCTGGGCTTCTGTCCCAACAGCTCCTCGTCTGCTTCCGCAGGAGACTTGCAGGCAGGGGGAATGGCCGGGGCTAAGGTGTTGGCCCAGATTCCTGGCTCACCGTGTCAGGAAGGAAAGGGTCCAAAGTGACCCCAGCCTCAGAGTGAGGGAAACCGTCTCCCAGCTCCCAGGACCCAGTGCAGCCCCGCGGTGCCACAGCCCATCGGATGCAATGCCTGGGCCCAGGGCCCCACCCGTGAGGGCCCAGCAGGGTGGCAGCCACCGGGAGGGTGGGGACAAGCCTCTCCTGGAAGGCTCCAGCCAGCTCTCAGGGAACCTCTGCTTCCCTCCCCCTCCAGGGCTGTGTCTGTCACCTGCCTGGCTGCCCCAGGTCTCCAGTCCTGACCAAGCACAGGGAGACACTGAAGCCCTCGTGCCTGGTCTGGAGTCACTCTGCCACCTTGAGGCGACATCTGGGAACTGCACCCCACTCCAGCCAGGCCCACCTGAGCGCTCGCTGCCTGAGCCCCCTCTCCAAAGCCCGCCCCAGCTCCCTAAGGAAGCCTGTTCATTCTGCAAAGCTCTGGGAATCTCTGTTCTGGAAAGGCCCAGAGATCCCCGAGACACTCTTTCACACGGAGCAGTCCTGTCCTGAGCCTCCTGTCCTCCAGGTCTCTGCTCTCATCCGGGCCTTCCCTGTGACCTGGGGTAGGAAGGAGTCCCTCCTCCGCCCACACTCCTTCTTCCCTGTTCTCCTCTGTGCCTCTCCACCAGTCATGTTCAGTAAAGCTGTGTGTTTACGGTGTCTGTTCCCCTAGAGTGTCGGCTTCTGAGGGCGTGACATGTTGTTCCCTGCTCTTCCCCGTGACTGGAACAGCAACGGCACATAAAAGACTCTCGGCAAATGTTTGATGAGTGAATGAGCAACACCAGATCCGGAACAAGCCACCAAGACTGGGGCGGGGCGGGGCGGGGGGTGGGGGAAGGGGAGAGGGAGGAAGGAAGGGAAGGAAAGAAAAGGAGGAAAAAGGAGTGGGAAGGGAAGGGAAAAGGAGGGACGGGAAGGGGAAGGTGCCAGCTTGGGATTTCGAGCCTGGGTAGTGCCTGCTAACGGGGTTGGCCGGAGCAGCAGAGCACCGGGAGGCCCAGGGATGTGGCGAGGCAGCCGCGGTGTCAGAAAGAGGAAGGCAGGAGGCTGAGGCCGAGGGCCCTGGAATCTCGCACATTCCAGGGTTCAGAAAGATCACGGTGGGGTCCACCTCTGGAGTCCACAAAAGGTAAGTGCGGGGTGGGGATAAGTCTAGAAGCAGCTCTGCAAAACAGTGCAGGCTTCCAGTCCACCGGAAGCTCAAAGAGGAGAGAAAAGACATGGGCTCTCGGGGAGGGAGGGGGCGTTGTTGGAGGCCCGGTCTTTGGGTGAGGGGTGATGCCCCTGTGTCAGAGGCCACCGGCTGGCGCACGCCTGGACCACTACGCTCACCCCTCGGCGGCTCACTCTGGAAAGAGTGTTGCAAGAGAGGTTGTCGAGTGACAAGGGTGGCGGGAATTGCGGAGCTATAAATAGGAGCGGTGACTGCAGTAGCTGAGATGTGTGGTTTGGGGATGTCATGGCTCCGTGAAGCCAGAGCGTGGTCTTCCAGCCTGCCCACTGCCATCTGCTGGGCTACAGCGAGGCTGATGTGGCTCAGCATAGGATTCTGTACTCTTGGTCAAAGCTGAGGGCTGGGTCGGACACCGTGGCTCACACCTGTAATCCCAGCACTTTGAGAGGCTTGAGGTGGGAGGATCATTTGAGCCCAGGAGTACAAGGCCAGCCTGGGAAACATAGGGGGAACTTGTATCTACAAAAAATAATTAGCTAGGTGTGATTGCACACTCCTGTGTGCAATCAGCTACTCAGGAGGTGGAGGTGGGAGGATCACTTGAGCCTGGAAGGGTGAGGCTTCAGTGGGCCTTGATTGGGCCACTGAACTTCTGCCTGAGCAACAGAGTGAGACCCTGTGTTTTTTGTTTGTTTGTTTGTTTTGTTTGTCAAGAGGAGGCAGCAGAGGGCTGCCTGTAGGTGGTGAGTTCTCCATGTGCGACCAGGAGGGCTTCCTGGAGGGGGCAACAGGAGCACCGTGGCTGCCCTGCAGAGCCAAGTCTAAGGCTTTGGAGCTGCCTGAGGCTGGGTTGACAGGGTGTGTGGTCAGTTTTCGGATGCTGGATGCCTTGTTACTGCAGAGGCATTCAAAAGTGCAACTAGCTGCTGGGATTGATGTGAAGAGCATCAAGGGGACTTGATCCTGTTGCAGGGAGGGATTTAGGGGTGAGATAGGGAACTGGCTAGCGCTGAGGGTTATAGGGGTCTGTGGCAACCCTGGGGTCATGCGGCTAAGCTTTGTCTGGGGCTGTTTAGTTCCCTGAGTGTTCAGTGTATGGCAGGCTTTGCTCATGGTTTTTTCTGCATCGTTACAGCCTCAATAGCCTTACTCTGTCCATGCAATGATTCTCATTTTACAGGCAAGGGACCTGGGACATAGAGGCTCACGTTCTTGGGGCTAAGTTTTGAGCCATGGCCAGCTTCATTCTGGAAGCTGGCTCAGCTCAGGGGAGCCTAGTTCCCCTGGGCATAAGTGACACCGAGCCCTGCCTTTGCTCCTTGGACCTCAGATGGGGGCTGTCTTCCTCTCCCCATCTGTGCCCAGCAGCTGCTCACGCAGCATCTGAGCCTCAGGGTAATCTGAGGACAGCGCTCTGGCAAGAAGCTCTGCAGGGAGGGGCCCAGCATTCACACACGCAAGCAAAGAGCAATAAGCCAGGACTAAAGATAGAAGATGCCTCTTACTGGGCCGGTTCTGATGTAAAAATGCAGAACTCAGAATTAAACATGCACTTTGCATTGCAGAGCAACAGTGCCCAATTAAGCTATTCTGGGCTAGGACGCTGAGATGCTTTGTGAGTTTTTACTGCTCAAGACAATGAATAACACATGTCTCTACAGTCTCAATTCAAACGATGATTTACGAGCCACACCGAAAGCTTCATTCCAATCCAATGCATATTCTAATGTGATCCTCTTATACCTTAGAAAGCCTGGGCTTGGTAGCCAGGTGGCCTCTATTTCTTGGTGATTAAAGTCTGGGTCTCGTAGGGAAATGCTTCTGAAGTGTGGAACAGGGACTACTGCTGGTCTGAAAACTGCTTGTTACTGGCCCAAGAAGAGATAAGCATAGAAATGGAGAGTAAATGCTTAGAAACCTTTACAGCAACTTAAAGTTAAGTGGGTTATGTGGTTGACTGTAATAATAAAGTTTGCAGCCTGGGCAACATGGTGAGACCCCATCTCTCCATAAAATAAAATTAGCCAGGCATGATGGTGCACACTTGTGGTCCCAGATACTTAAAAGGCTGAGACAGTAGGATCACTTGAGCCTGGGAGGTTGAGGCTGCAGTGAGTCCTGATTGCACTATTCCCCTCCAGCCTGGGTGATAGAGTGAGACACTCTCGGAAAAAAAAAAAAAATAGTGTGGGCTTGCATTTTATTTGTTCATTTTCGATTTCATTTTTCGAGTAGTTCAATTTTATGTTTTATGAAAGTATTGGTTTGAAATAAGTTGGAAATTTCGAAGCAAAACCAAAAACCAAAAGCCCTGGTCTTTTTCCTCACAGATGGTCTGAGAAGCACAGGTGCAGGCCACCATGTCCTGTTTGTTGAGGCTGGGTCAACAGAGCACACAGTCAGTTTTCTGTCCCTGTTAAAGTTAATATAAAAATTCTATAAATACATACTTTATCTCCTTTCTTCTCTTAAAATCTATGAGACATAAAGTTAAATAATGTAACAATTATAGTGAGGTATTTTTGGATTTATAACATATGTAGATGTAAATATAGGAAAATAATAGCAAAAAAAAGAGGAGGAGGAAATAGGACTACGTAGGAAGAAAGTTTTGATCTCTTACTAGAAATAAGTTAGTCTAAACCAGAAGTTAATTCTAATAAGTTGAGATGTGTATTATAAGTTCTAGTGCAACTACTAAGAAAACAACTCAAAAATATAATTAGCATCATTAAAAAATTAAAATGCTACACTAGAAAATATTGACTTGACACAAAAGGCTATAAAGGAAGGTCAGAGGGACAAAAAGGAAAAGCATCATACAGGAAAACCAACCAAAATGGCATATGTAAATCAAACTATATCAATGATCACATTAAATGTGAGTGGACTAAAAATGCAATTAAAAGACAGAGATTGTCAGACTGGATAAACAAACAAGTTCTATGTGTTGTCTACAGGAAACACATTTAAATTCACATATATAAGTAGGTTAAAAATAAAAAGAAACAGATAAACTATGCAAATGATAATGATGAAAGAGCTGATATGGTGCTAATGATATCAACAAAATAGACTGTAAAACAAAAAATTCATTAGAGATAAAGGGAGACATTTTATAATGACTAAAGGGTCAATGATTCAGAAAGCTATAACAACTGTAAACATACGTGCATCTAACAATAGAACATTCAAATATTGGAAGCAAAAAATGACAATTGAAGGAAGAAAGAGACAATTTAATAACAGAAGTTGGAGACTTAAATCTCATGTTAAATAATGGATAGAACAACTATACAGAAGATTAACAAGGATAAAGAGGATTTTGGCAATACTATAAACCAGCTAGACCTAATAAACATCTATAGAACACGCTACCCAATAATAGCAGAATATACTTTTTAAAATACAGTACATAAAATATTCTTTAGGATAGATCATATTCTAAGCCATAAAGCAATTCTCAAATTTTTAAAAGGATTGAAATAATACAAAGTATGTTCTCCAACCTCAGTGGAATTAAATTAGAAATAAATAACAGAAGAATAATTGCAAATATATGAAAATTAAACAGCACACTCTTAAATAATCAATGAGTAAAAAGAGCTTACATGGGAAATTAGAAAATACTTTAAGGTCAATGAGAGTGAAAACATAACACACAAAAACATATGTGATGCACTAAAGCAGCACTGAGATGGAAATGTCTAGCTGTAAATGCTTATATGATGTAGAAACTAAAAGATGTTCATCTCATAAAAGTAAAAATTAGAACAGAGAATACTAGAAACCAGGAAGGATAAGGGAAAGGGGAAGATAGGGACAGATTTGTTAAAGGAAACAAAATGGTGCCGCTGCACTGAGCCTGGGCGACAGAGTGAAGACCTTGGAAAAAAAAAAAAAAGAGAGAAAGAAAGAAAGGAAGGAAGGAAGGAAGGATGGAAGGAAGGAAGGAAGGAAGAAAGAAAGAAGAAAGAAAGAAAGAAAAAGAAATCTGTTGTTCAGGCATGCCTGGCTCTAGGGGCTATAAAAATGTCACCAGGATGTGATGTCTTCATGCTTTGACTTCACTCTCAGGGCAGTCACTTCCGCATGGGGCCCCCAGAAGCTCCGGGCTTACATTCTCCAAGGGTCAGTCCTAGCAGACAGAGAGCTGCTAATCTCAAAGAGCCTGTGCATGTCCCAGGTGAAGTTCTGGGACTTGCCAAGATTGCCAAGCTTGGTTCTTAGGGCCATCCTGAAAGACATCCTGAGGCCCTGGGTTGAGGGCCTCACATTGGTCAGGCCTGGTCCCATGCAACCTCTGGAGTCAGAGGTAGGGTCTACCTGTCCATAAGAAATGGATCTTGAGAAAGGTGACATCAGAAACTTGCAATAAGGAAGAGGGTTCCCCCAAATAAACTGGAGCCACTGGGTGCAGAGCAGACAAAACAGCCACAGACACCTGAGCCTTGATTCTTGATTTCATATCCCTCCAAGAGGTTGTCTTTTTTTTTTTTTTTTTTTTTTTTGAGACAAAGTTTTGCTTTTGTCACCCAGGCTGGAGTGCAATGGCATGATCTCGACTCACTGCAACCTCCGCCTCCCGGGTTCAAGCGATTCTCCTGCCTTAGCCTCTCAAGTAGCTGGGATTACAGGCACCCGCCACCACACCCAGCTAATTTTTTTTTTGTATTTTTAGTTGAGATGGGGTTTCACCATCTTGGCCAGGCTGGTCTTGAACTCCTGAACTCAGGTGATCCACCTGCCTCAGCCTCCCAAAGTGCTGGGATTAGACATGAGCCACCGTGCCTGTCCAGGTCATCTTTAAGGAGACGTTTGGGCTACTCTCAAATTACCCACCACAAAACTATTGTAAAAACTCACCCTTTATTCTTAAATACAAAACATTAACATCAGCAGTTATCCTTGAGGCCAAAGGTTTTCAAACTTTCCCTTATTGTCTTAGCTTTTTTTTTTTTTTTTCCCCCGCATGGTGCTTCTAGGCCAAATGAAATACCTAACAATTGCATTTATTACGTTGTTAAGTTTAAACACCTTAGCAGCAGTGGTCAACTCCATGTCCAACAGACATTGTTGTTTCCCTTGATGTCCAACAGATGTCTCTGTGTGTCTGTTTTGTCCCCACACATCCGCACTGGGGCACCACAGTGCAGTTTACACACTACACTGTGTGACTCTAGGTATGAAAACTCTCTTGGGACACACATGATAATCCTGTAGCCTAACTAATCACAATTGACTGGATAATGTTTAAACTGACAATTTCCATATCATGACAAAACGTTGCTTTCACGGGTGAAACAGGGCCAGGTGCGGTGACTTAATGCCTGTCATCACAGCACTTTGGGAGGCCATGGCAGGAGGACTGCTTGAGCCCAGGAGTTTGAGACCAGCCTGGGCAACATAGTGAAACTCCCATCTCTACAAAAAATTTTAAAAAATGAGCCAGGTGTGGTGATGTGCGCCTGTAGTCCCAGCTATTAGAGAGGCTGGGACTCAGCTATTAGAGAGGCTGAGTTGGGAGGATTGCCTGAGATGTAGGTGGCAGTGAGCTGTGATCATGGCACTGCACTCCAGCCTGGGCGACAGAGTGAGGCCATGTCTCAAAAAAAGAAAAGTGAAACAGCAACATTGCTTCCACCTCATTTTCTAAGAAGCCCCTTCACAGTACAGAAGCTCTTCCCCCATATTAGTCAGGTTTTCCAGAAAAAACAGGAGAGATAGATTAGATAGATAGATAGAGCTGATACAGAGATGAGATATAGATGATATAAATATAGATATAGGTACAGATATGAAGCTGTTTATTATAAGGAATTGGCTCACCTGATTACAGAGACTGGCAAGCTCAAACCTGGGGTGTGGACTGGCAGGCTCGAGATGCAGGAGAGCTGGTGGTGCTGCTCTGGTTTAGAGACTGGCAGGCAGAGCCCCAGAAGAGCTGACAATGCAGATGAAGTCTGAAGGTGGGCGGCTGAGGAATTCCCTCTTGTGTGGGGAGGCCAATCATTTTTGTCCTACTCAGGCCTTCAACGGATTGGATGAGGCTCACCCCATTATGGAGGGCAATCTGCTTCGTCACAGTTTACCAATTTAAACATCAATCTCATCCACAGATCCCCTCCAAGTTGACAGACAAAAGGAACCACCACACTCCCCAGCAGCCTTCACATGAGCAGTACCTTCAACATGCACCCTACCATGTTGGGAGTCCCAGGAGAGTCAGTCAGTCTTGTTCCTGATAACTCCAGCAGAAGTCTTGGTCTTGCTCTTGTGACCTATAAAGCCCACAGCCCATTGCTGCTCCCATCCCTGTGGCCAAAATCAATGTCCTTCTAGGCCAGGCTCGAGTTCTATGCCCACCCCAGCCCCCAGCAAAGGGCCAGCCATCCAGAACTATGCAAATTGGAGAGTGGGTGAAAAGGGAGGGCCCCCACACAGAAGTCAGAGGGCGGTGAGCAGGAAAGTGGAGTGGACAGTGGTGATGTCCTGAGATGGTGAACACTCCAGCTGGCCACCCTCCACTGGGCCTGCCTGAGTCCCAGGTTCTTAGGAGCTTCTGAAAAAATGGCTTCTAGACATTGTAGCTGTAGGACCTCTGGAGGAGTAGGGTTAGAGTGGGAAAAAGGATAACTAGGAAGCTTTTTTTCTTTTTTCTTTTTTTTTGGAGATAGAGTTCACTCTTGATGCCCAGGCCGGAGTGCAGTGGCGTGATCTCCGCTCATTGCAACCTCCACCTCCTGGGTTCAAGCCGTTATCCTGCCTCAGGATCCCGATTGGCTGGGATTACAGGTGCCCGCCACCACACCCGGCTAACTTTTGTATTTTTTAAAGTAGAGACGGGGTTTCACCGTGGTGGCCAGACTGGTCTTGAACTCCTGGCCTTAGGTGATCCACCCATCTCAGCCTCCCAAAGTGCTGGGATTACAGGCATGAGCCACCTCGCCCAACCAGGAAGCTTTTCTTCAGTCTCTTTCTGGAGAACACTCAGCCAGGCTGTAGGTCCCCAGGAAAAGCCCAAGCTTCCATTTAAGGATTTGCATTTCCTGAATTTGCCTTTGCATCTTCGGTGGTGGCCCAGGAAATTCGAATCCAGAGGAAAGAAGCACGCGGCAGCGCTGGGTCTACATGAGGGGAAGACAGGAACACGTTCTCGAGGGACTTCTTGTGAATTGTGGTCCGCCCCACACCAGCCCGTGCAGTTGCATGCTGCAGGGTGGGGGAGTCCTGCCTGGTGCGAGCGGCGGGGGCATCCCACACGCTGGTGGAACACAGCAAGCAACTCGGAGGGGCTGAGCCATGGAGGGAGGTCAGCTGAAAGCAGAGGCGAGAGCCTCTGAACATGAAGGAGAGAGCAAGAGAGGAGCGCCATCAGCTTGGCTCCAGGATGAGCCAGAAGGGAGAACTGGTGACAGCTTGAGAGGCGAGGGAAAGGGGAGCTCAGGCCTGCCTGCCTCAAAAGAGAGAAGGCCCAAGGTAGGGAATGGAAAAAAGGTGATTTTGAAAAGTGGGTGTGTTAGTCCGTTTCCACACAGCTGATAAAGACGTACCTGAGACTGGGTAATTTATAAAGAAAAAGAGGTTTATGGACTCACAGTTCCATGTAGCTGGAGAGGCCTCACAATCATGGTGGAAGGCAAAAGGCACATCTTACATGGCAGCAGGCAAGAGAGAACAAGGGCCAAGCGAAAAGGGAAACCTCTTATAAAACCATCAGATCTCGTGAGACTTACTCACTACCATGAGAACAGTATGGGGAAACCTCTGCATGACTCAATTATCTCCCAGTGGGTCCCTCCCACAACACGTGGGAATTATGGGAGCTATAATTCAAGATGAGATTTGAGTGGGGACATAGCCAAACCATATCAGTGGGGTCCTCAGGAAACATGCTCCATAGAAGGGTTACAGTAAGCTGTTGTCTTTAAGGTAGGGTGAGCATAAGCACATCGTTCGTTTTTATGGACAGGAGTAATGTAAAACACCATGTGAAGGCTGCCTGGGCAGCGTGGTGGTTCATCTCATATGTCAACTTGGAGGGTATCTTTGGATGAGATTGACATTTAAATTGATAACTTTTGAATCAACAGATTGCCCATCATAATGTGGGTGGGCCTTGTCCAATCCACTGAAGGCCTGCGTAGAACTAAGAGACTAACTTCCTAGAACAACAGGGAATTCTTTGTTCTCATCACCGCTGAGAAGCCCTCTTGAGGGTAATGGCCACAGACAACAGTCACTGCCTTCACCTTTCAGCCCCTGGACTCAGCCACGCCTGAAGTCATCATGCCAGCCCTGGATATTTGTTTGTTGGCTTTTTTTTTTTTTCTGTTATATGTATCCATAAATGCCTCATTTTGGCTGAATTCAGTCAGAATTAGGTGACTGTCACCTAGAATGGAAAAAGTCCTGACTAATCCACAGACCCAAAGTGCAGTCCCCAAACCAGGGACCCAGGGTGACTCTCTGGTCCTCCTGGTCCCAGCCTCAATTTCCATCCTTGAGCCCTGAGCTGCAGACAGAGCCTCTGCTGGAGACGCACTTGCATGCACCCTCCCTCGGTTGAAAGAATAGCCTCTATTTTATTATCAGTACAAAATAGCTCTGAACAACACATGGGACAGGGGACAGAGCAGGAGCCAGGATCTGGGGCTGCCTGGCTCTGGGACTCCCGAGACTGGGGAGCCCATAGGTTTCTGTTTGACAGAAGTCCTCCTTTTCTCTGCATTGAAGGGCCTGCCCTCTAGCTGGGTCACTTTCTCGATCCAGAGGTTGTAGTTCACCAACGAGGTGTATATCCCTGGGGTGTTCTTCTCTCCACAGCTCTTTCCCCAGCTTATGATGCCCACCTGGTACCACTTCTCACCAGGCTCTGGGGTGCAGACCAGAGGCCCCCCACTGTCACCCTGTGGGCAGAGAACACAGCTCAGCAGGGAGTCCGGTTCTAAGCTGCCCATCTGAGGCTGGGCACAGCTCATTCATGGAAGATTCCTCAGCCTCCCCAACTCTGGCTGCCAACCCACCCCATCCCTGCTCCACGGGAGAAGCATGTGGCTGCCAGGTTGGCTCTGGAGGTTGTAGGGGTGTAGAGCGTTGGGGGTGGGGTGCTGTGGATGAGACAGGACTGAAGATGGGGAAGGAAGGGGGAAGCCTTGGTAAGAAAAGACCACTCCATCTGCAGCACAGAGAGATGCAGGCCAAGGGATGAGTGGAGACTTGTTTTGAGGGTCTTATCAAATGAGAGGCTCTTATCAAATGAGAGGCTCTGGAAAGGGCAGGAAAGGGAATGGGACATGTGAAGTGTTGCAGGGCTAAGAACTGGGTCTCCTTTGTGTTCTTGCAGAAGCACAGAGAGAAGGACATTCCTTTTTAATTCAGCCACGCTTTTCAGAATGTGTGACCCTTCCAGGATGGAATCACATGGTCTGTGACTCGCATAGTTATCCATTTATGTTGAGCTTCTGAACCAAGTCCCTGCCATGCCCCACGTCTACATAAATCAAACAAATGCCCCACATCCTTCCGTCCACCTTCACACAAGGCAAATGAGCCTGCAGGAGGAGAAAGGGCTTGCTGAGGGTTCTATGGTAGACTGGCTGGGATTGGAACCCAGGATTTTCTTTTTATTAATTTTAAATTAATTATTATGGGTACATAATAGTTTTGTATGTTTATGAGGTACACGTTTTGATATAGGCATACAATGTGCAGTAATTAAATCAGGGTAATTGGGGTATCCATCCCCTCAAGCGTTTATCATTTCTTTGTATTAAGAACGTTTCAATTCCACTCTTCCAGTTAATTTTGAAATATACACTTGTTGTCTATAATCACTTTATTGTGCTACCAAATACCAGACTTTATTCATTCTAACTAACTGTGTTTTCGTGCTCCTTAACTGGAGTCCCCACCTGCTTTCCTCCCCAGCCTCTGGTAACCATCATTCTTTATCTCCATGAGTTTTTTTTTAAGCTTCCATTTATAAGTGAGAATATGAATTGTCTTTCTGTACCTGGCTTATTTTACTTAATGTAATGTCCTCCAGTTCTATACATGCTGTTGTAAAGGACAGGATTTCATTTTTTATGGCTGAATAATATTCCGTCGTGTATACTGCCTAATTTTCTTTATCAATTCATCCATTCGTGGAAACTTAGGTTGGTTCCAAATCTTGGCTATTGTGAATAGTGCTCCTATAAAAATGCAAGTGCAGATGTCTCTTCGATATACTGATTTCCTTTCTTTTGGACGTATACCCAGAAGTGGGGTTGCTGGATCATATGGTAGTTCTATTTTTAATTTTTTTAGTACCCTCCATCCTGTAACCCAAGATTTTCTTATTTTCTTTTTCAACTTTTATTTTACGTTCATAGGGTACATGAGCAGATTTGTTATGTGAGTAAATTGCATGCCACTGGGGTTTGGTGTACAAATGATTTAATCACCCAGGTAGTAAGCAGAGTATCTGATGGGTAGTAAAAAACTACCTTACTTACCCTCTTCATACCCTCTACCTTTAAGTAGGTCCTGGTGTCTATTGTTCCCCTCTTTGTGTCCATGTGTATTCAACATTTAGTTCCAACTTATAAGTGAGAACATGCGATATTTGGTTTTCTGTTCCTGCACTAATTCACTTAGAATAATGGCCTCTAGCTGCATCCAAGTTGCTGCAAAGGATATGATTTTGTTTTTTTTTATGGCTTCGTAGTATTCCACAGTGTACGTGTATCACAATTTCTTTATCCAGTTCACCATCGAAGGACATGTAGTTTGATCCCATGTCTTTGCTACTGTGAATAGCGCTGTGACGAACATATGCATGCATGTGTCTTCTTGGTAGAATAATTTATATTCCTTTCGGTCTGTACCAGTATTGAGATTGCTGGGTTTAATGGTAGTTGTGTTTTAAGTTCTCTGAGAAATCTACGAACTGCTTTTTACAGTGGCTGAACTAATAATTTACATTCCCACCAGAAGTGTAGAAGCATTCTCTTTTCTCTGCAACCTCACCAACATTTGTTATTTTCTGACTTTAATAACAGCCATTCTGACTGGTATGGGATGATATCTCATTGTGGCTTTGATTTGCATTTCTCTAATAATTAGTGATATTGAGCTTTATTTTTTTTTCATATGCTTGTTGGCTGCATGTATGTCTTCTTTTGAGAAGTGTCTGTTCATGTCCTCTGCCTTTTGAGACAGAGTCTCGCTCTGTCACCCAGGCTTGAGTGCAGTGGCAGCAGTCTGGGCTCACTGCAAGCTCCGCCTCCTGGGTTCACGCCGTTCTCCTGCCTCAGCCCCCCGAGTAGCTGGGACTACAGGTACCCACCACCACGCCCGGCTAATTTTTTGTATTTTCAGTAGAGACGGGGTTTCACCGTGTTAGCCAGGATGGTCTTGATCTCCTGACCTCGTGATCCGCCGGTCTTGGCGTCCCACAGTGCTGGGATTAGAGGCGTGAACCACCGCTCCCGGCCCCTCTGCCCATTTTTTAATGAGGTTGTTTAGTTTTTGCTTGTTGAGTTGTTTAAGTTCCTTATAAATTGTGAATATTAGACCTTTGTCAGATGCATAGTTTGCAAATATTTTCTCCCATTGTGTAGGTTGTCTGTTTACTCTGTTAATAGTTTCCTTAGCTGTGCAGATGCTCTTTAGTTTAATTGGGCCAACGTTTTATTTTGTTGCAATTGCTTTTGGAGACTTCCTCATGAAATCTTTGCTAAGGCCTATGTCAAGAATGGTGGTTTGTAGTGTGACTTTCTTTTAGTGTTTTCACAGTTTTGGGTTTTATATTTAAGTCTTTTATCCAACTCGCATTGATTTCAGTTGATGGTGAAAGGAAAGGGTCCAGTTTCAATCTTCTGCATATGGCTAGCCAGTTATCCCAACACCATTTATCGAAAAGGAAGTCCTTTCCCCATTGCTTGTTATTGTTGACTTTGATGAAGATCAGATGGTTGTAGGTGTACAGCTTTATTTCTGGGTTCTCTAACCTATTTCATTGGTCTATGTGTCAGTTTTTGTATCAGCACCATGCTGTTTTGGTTACCATAGCCCTGTAGTATAGTTTGAAGTTGGATAGCATGATGCCTCCAGCTTTGTTCTTTTTGCTTAGGATTGCCTTGGCTACTTGGGCTCTTTTCTGGTTTCATATGAATTTTAAAATAATTTTTTTCTAATTCTGTGAATAATGTCATTGGTAGTTTGATAGGGATAGTATTGAATCTGTAAATTGTTTTGGGTAGTATGGCCATTTTAATGATATTGATTCTTCCTATCCATGAGCATGGAATGTCTTTCATTTGTTTATCTTGTCTCAGATTTCTTTCAGTAATGTTTTGTAATTCTTATTGTAGAGATCTTTCACCTCCCTGATTGTCTGTATTCCTAGATATTTTATTCTTTTGGCGGATATTGTGAATGGGATTGCATTTTTGATTTGGCTCTCAGCTTGTGTGTTGTCTGGTGTATATAAATGTCACAAATTTTTGTACATTGATTTTGTATCCCGAAACTTTGCTGAAGTTGCTTATCAGCTCTAGGAGACTTTGGGCAGAGACTATGGGGTTTTCCAGGTATAGAACCATATCATTTGCAAAGAGGGATAGTTTGACATCTTCTCTTCTTATTTGGATGCCTTTCATTTCTTTTTCTTGCCTGATTGCTCTGGCTAAGACTTCTAGTACTATGTTGAATAGGAGTGATGAAAGAGGGCATCATTGTGTTGTTCTGGTCCTGAGAGGGAGGCTTCCAGCTTTTGCTCATTCAGTATAATGTTGGCTGTGGGTTTGTCATAGAGGGCTCTTATTATTTTGAGGTATGTGTAACCTAAGATTTGCTGATGCCAAAGTCCATGCCCTCCCTACCTTTGTTATATTACTCTCTTACCAAAGGAGCTGAGCAGCTACAACCTTGCAAGCAGTCTTCAGTGGAGAGATGATGTCTCATTCCATGATCCTTGAGAGGTGACTAGAGTAAATGGAGTATTATAACAAACTCTAATCAGGGAGGACAGTTAATGTTTTCTGGTCAAGATGTGTGTAGTGCGTTCTTGCATCACTATAAAGAAATACCTGAGGATCTCCAGCCAGGCCACTTTCTCTTCACCTTTCAGAGCCTTTTTGTTTTTATTTTACAAGATACTATCCCGTGCTTTTAGTTGTACTTAGTGGGAGGGGCTGGGAGAATTGTGTTTACTCCGTCTTGTCTGGAACCAGAAGTCTCAATTCTGTGTGCATGTTTTTTTGTTTTTTTTGTTTTGGTAATATTTTAAATTGCCCAGAAAGTGAAGAAAATACAAGGTTCATGTGTCTTTTTGGTCCCCACAGTATTCACCACATGGGGGGCTCCTAAACCTAGTGCTATGCTGCCAGGGTCTACTTCTTACCTCAGAATGCCTTCTCCTTTCTCTTTTCCCTTTCTGCCTCCAACCCCTGTTTCAGTACCCACCTCTCAAGGCTCTCATAGCCTATCAGGGAAAACTACCAATTTTCTCACATTAAACCATAACAGATAGATAAATATCTTTCTTTTCCATGGGGCAGCCTCTCCATCACTGTTCAGAATATTTATCATCTTCATTTGTGGTTTTATACCAACGACAAGGTCCACTGCCTGGCCAATGAGCAGGTCCCTAGTCTTCAGCTGAGACTAAGCAGGTTCATCAGGGTGGCCACTTTTAAGATGAAGGGAGCACCTCTGAGCATTAAAGACAAATGTCATCATTCATCCTTTGAGCCAGAGGAAATTTATGATTTTTTTTCTATTTTTCTGGCTATCAATAATTTTTTAGAAAGAACGTGTATTCATTTTATTAAAGAGAGGCAAAGAGACCAGTCTTTGGTTCAGTGAAACCCACATGCAACACCCAATATTTTATCATTGTTTGTTTATCCACTGCCTGTCCAGGAAACTGTAGGGTCCCTTAGGTAAGGAACCATATCTCATTTATGGGTCTCTAGGGCCTTGTATGCTCAACAAAGGTTTCTAAGTTAATGAACTAAAATGACTTCTTATATAGATACCAAATCCTCCTTGGATTTTTAAAAAGAATTCCCAGAAATGAGAAAAGCCTTGGCGTCCTTTTTACCTAGTGTACCTGAAGAAGATCAGAAATAGTTAAGCAGGGTTGCAGCATATTGACTCCCAGGGTGCTCACTCACAGCTCCAGAGGATCTGAAATCCACATACTCATTCTCATGGCTGCAGGCCCTAATTCCCATACATTTTCCAGACTCAGAATTGTCTATTTGCAGCAGAGAGAGAATACCCTTGCACTGGCAGTTCCCAGAGGGTGAGGACCTATAAGGTGAGGGAGGGTACCCCCTAGTTACCTTGCAGGCATCATAGCTCTCATTCTTGTATCCGGCACACAGCATATTTTTGGTAAGTTTTGGAAACATCTTTGAACACTCCTCCCAGTCCATGATGACCATTGGCGCTTTCATCAGATCCGTTTTCACAGAGTTTTTGTCAGCTGGCCCAGAGAGAAAGCGCATTAGAGAAGCCACTGGGCCTCATGTCCCCACGTTCGTGATGCAGCTGACTGTGCCCTCGGCCCTGTGTCCCCCAGCCCCCATCCCCTTCCTTCACAGGCTCTGCAGCCCCTCACTTCCTTCAGGTTACCCCATGCCTGCAACTTACCCACTCCCCCAACAACTCCCACAGCTACTGGAACTATTCTTCTCATTCAAAACCAAATTTCTACTCCCAAGAAGACTTCCAACTTGACCCCAGTCAGCCCCACAGACTCAGCTTCTTGGAACTGGCTACTGACTGTTTCTCAGCATAATCCTGCCATATCAATACATTTGCCTATTGTGACATTTTATTACATGAGGATGGCATTTCCTTCACACAGGGCCTTGGAAAGTGGGTTTGCACTCCCGGTGAAAAAACTTTAGGTCCTCAGCAAGGGCAGGTTGGCAGAGTGTTTTGAGATGGGATTAGAGGGGATTTGCAGAGGCCCTTTCTGGGCCGCCAGATGCCGGGAATTCACCTGAATTCCTCTCCATCTCATTAACTCTGACCACAAAGAGATTTCACATTTCTTCCCCTGATTGAAGATTTTTAAACTTGTGCATGCCCATGTGCCTCCTCTCCTTCTTCTACCTTTCCAGGAGTGCCTGGAGCCCAGAACTAAGGTCCCACCGCTTCCCCCTCTGGTTGCTAAACTCCTGAAACACCCACGGTTGTCCAGGCCCAGGCTCGCTGCAAATCATCCCTGTGGATCGAGAGCCTCCTTCAGGCTGACGCAATGCTTTGCTGTTCTCATCCCCTCCCCTCCCCTATCTATTTGCTTTTGGTTTTGTTGGGTTTTTTTGGGGGACAGTCCAGCGGGCCCTTCGTCATATTTTTCTGTCCCAGTAGACT
The DNA here is from genome assembly GCF_000001405.40 of Homo sapiens. Classification (NCBI taxonomy): domain Eukaryota; kingdom Metazoa; phylum Chordata; class Mammalia; order Primates; family Hominidae; genus Homo; species Homo sapiens. The sequence continues at coordinate 10,532,009 of NC_000008.11, read as the reverse complement.
TTCTTCTGTTTTGGCCAAGTAACAGCATAACAACAAGGAACAACAGATTCATTTCTAAGAAGAGCCAGGCAACGCTCCAGGACCGTCAGAGCCTAGCCCAGGGTGGGAATCTCCAATGCCTGGAGGAGCCAGGTAGGAAACATACCCGTGGGAATCAGGGAAGATGTTTATGAATACAGAGTAGAGGGGCCTCTGGCTAACTGCAGAGTTTAAATTCAGTTAAACACACAAACCACACTGCTCTGTGCTAGCTGGATCAGACTGCACTAGGGGACTGGCTCAGACCTGGTGTCTCACCTTGGGGTTTCGGCACCCAAAAGGAGCTAAACTTTGGGCACTGTGAGACTCCACTGAGCGGGAATCTGCTCCAATGCAAGTCTTGTCCTCACTCCTTCCTTAGCTTCCTCCCCTCTCCTTCACATTGCAGTGGCTTTTTCCCCAGGGGAAGCTGAGCAGTCACATACCAGCATTGGTCTGGCCCCAACCTGCCACCCAGCATTCGCGCCATGTGGCAGGGCCGGGCTGCGTGGGGAGGCAGATGGGCACCTTCAGGTCATCGAGCTTGATGGGCGAAGCCAGCAGCAGCAAGGCAATGTCATTGTCCATGTTGGCTCTCTTAAAGTCTTTGTGAAGAATGATGCTGGCGACCTCCTTTATTTCCATGGATGGGCTAGTTAAGTCGTTGGTCCCCAGCACGACACTCAGTTCTTCTGGACTGGTGGCAGAGAACCAGAGAGGGGCAAGTGGAAGGGGAAGGGAAGTCTCAAAAGCGGCAGAATTGGCTGTGCCCAGAAACCTAAATCCCATGTAGCTCTAGGACCTTTAAACCCTACTGGGGCTGTTGATCAGAAGGTGTGAGGATTGGAAAAAGGTAGGAAAAAACAAAACAAAACAAAACAAAACAGAATAGCTGGTGTGCAGACCACAGCCAGACCACTGCACCATCAGGGGCCCCAGGGATATGAATGAGGTGCTTCTGTCTAATACAGCAAAGGCCGAGCTGGGTTTAGAGCACTCTACACAGCCCACAAAAAGCCACTTGGCACGGATCAAACTGACCTTCAGATAGATAAGGCATTCATTATTATATCTGTTTTGTATCAACTGGTCTACCAGCACTTTAGAAACTCAGGACCAGAAGTTAGTCTAGACCTGCCACTGACCAAGCAGACAGGATCTTCAGTAATAAGCCCACATTCCGAACCCCAGAGGATATTTGATATCCCACGACAGCGGGTGCCACAAAGGTCTGTGGTTATGCCATGAAGAAACTGTCCCCGGGTTTTTGATTAACCTTCTAAAATCAGTGTGTGTGTCTTCAAACTTCCTTGAGCTGGTGTGGCAGAAAGCACAAGTGCTAGAGCCAGAATTTGAATTCTGTCTCTATATACTAGATGGGTACTGTGGGTGAGCAGCCTCAGTGTATTGGACATCAGTTTCCTTATCTATAAACGAGGGCTATTCATTCTACCTGCTTCAGGGGTCACTGTGTGATTAAATGAGTTAATAGAGGAAAGTTTATTTTTCTTTTTTTGAGATGGAGTTTCGCTCTGTCGCCCAGGCGGGAGTGCCAGTGGTGCGATCTTGGCTCACTGCAACATCTGCCTCCTGGGTTCAAGCAACTCTCCTGTCTCAGCCTCCTGAACAGCTGGGACTACAGGCGCACGCCACCGCGCCCAGCTAATTTTTGTATTTTTAGTATAGATGGGGTTTCACCATATTGGCCAGGCCAGTCTCGAACTCCTGACCACCGAACTCCTGATCCACCTGCCTCAGCCTCCCGAAGTGCTGGGATGACAGGCGTGAGCCACCGCACCCGGCCAATAGGGGAAAGTTTCTTAGCAGGGTCCCCAGCACATAGTTAGTCCTTGGTAATGCCAGGCATCCATCCACATGCTGTCACACAGAGAACGCTCTACAAGGAGCAGGAGAGTAGGGGGTCAGGTGGCCCAGGAAGTCAGGCTTCCAGAATTACAAGGATTTCCCCCTAGATGGACTTGAATGCCCTAGGAGAGGCATTTGGACCAAGCCGCTTGGCTCCATCAAGCCACAGGTGTTCCGGGAGAGGGTAGGTGTGACCTCAGGGAGGTTGTAGTCACTGGCTCTGGTGATGTGAGGAGGACACAGCCTCAGGCTGGCTACCTCCACGTCCCCACAGGCTGGGGGGTGGGTGGATGGGTGGGAGCCATTCATGCCGACTGGATACCGAGCAGTCGCAGGTTCCTCTCAGCCACCAGGTGTGGGTGAGGGGGAGGGTGCCCCAGGGGTGGGCGCCCTGAGAGGTGGCAGTGGGAGGCCCATGGTACTTACAACAGCTCCTCGGAATATAAGCAGTGAGCCGCAGTGAGAATCCACCACTTGTTGAGGATGGAGCCGCCACAGAAAGGTTCACTTCTTGCCTGAATACTCACCTGCCACGGAAACTCACCCACCTCCGCCTCCATCCCCCCTGTGATTCTGGAATACCGAGTTCTTCCCTCGAAAATAGATCTGTCACCACATTCTGGTGGAAAGAAAGAGAGTGGAAAGGAAAAGGGGAAACACTTAGTCAGCATCCAGTGTGAGCTGGGGACCGGGCTGGGAGGAGCAGGCTTCCAAGTGGATATCCTCATCCCCATTCTAGAGAGGAGCTCACTGAGGCTGCCGAGCGGGGCAGCCCTTGTGACATCAGCCGGCAGATGGTTTATTTTGTCTACACAGAGCTCAGCAACAGATAGAGTCAGAAGCATTGGCTCTGACTCTATCCAGCATTTGTGACCTCAGGAGAGTCACTTCACTGAGCTTGTTTCTGCTCTCGTCCAGGAGAAATCGGAAGAAAACAGTGTCCAAGGCTAACCCCCCGTGGTGGGCAGGACAATAGCCCCCAAAGAGGTCCAAGTTCCAATGGGCCATGTCCCCAGAACCTGCGAATATTTTAGCTTGCAAGGAAAGGGGGGCTTTGGAGATGGAATTTGGGTTGCTAAGCACTGCCCTCAGAGTGGGAACGTGATGCTGGCTTTTCTGAGGGGCCAGTGGAATCACTGAGGCCCTTGAGAGGGGTGGAGGGAAGCAGGAAGTCAGGCAGAGGGAGAAGTGACTGCAGAGGAAAGGCAAAGAGACGCAACATAGCTGGCTTTGAAGATGAAGGCAGGGGCCCAGAGAAGTTTCTAGAAGCTGGAAGTGGAAAGGCAAATAATTTTCCCCTAGAGCGTCCAGTAGGAACGCAGACCTGCTGCACCCTGAATTCAGCCCCAGAAGGCCTTTGCTGGAGCTCTGTCCCACAGTACTGTAGGATAAGACATTTGTGTTGTTTAAGCCGCCAGGTGTGTGGTCATTCATTTCAGCAGCCCTAAGAAACCACAAGGGGTGGGGCATAGAAAGTGCCAGAATCTACCGGAAAGCCCTGGCTGTTGTAGGCTAGTCAAGGCTGAGCAGCTCCTTTACTTAGGGGACTGAGAGCAAAGCTGTAGCGCCTGTGCTGAGGCAGGAAATGCCCCTTCCGGACAGAGGCCGGGTCCAGCTCCTCGCCCCAGGAAGAGGAGATGCTCCGTGAATATTTGCTGACTTGACTGTCTGCCTTGTGTTCTGGAACAAGGCATGAGTTTGACTCTAAAAAGCCCAAGACCCTAATCTTGTCTCTTTCTTGCTGCTTATTTTCCAACCATCAGCTCAACAGAAGCTGTGAGTGTTTTGTTGTTTGGGTGACCCTGTGGTGGTCATTTTTGGTTTAAAAAAATACGGGAGTGAGAACTTAGCAATGTGCATCCAGAGCCTTCTGCTCTCAGCAATGCATAAAGGCTCTCTTCGGGACTTTTTTTTTTTTTTTTTTTGAGAGACGAAGTCTTGCTCTATCGCCCAGGCTGGAGTGCAGTGGCACCATCTCGGCTCACTGCAACCTCTGCCTCCCAGGTTCAAGCAATCCTCCTGCCTCCTGCCTCAGCTTCCCAAGTAGCTGGGACTACAGTTTTTGTATTTTTTAGTAGAGACAGGGTTTCACTGTATGTTGGTCAGGCTGGTCTAGAGCTCCTAACCTCAGATGATCTGCCCGCCTCGGCCTCCCAAAGTGCTGGGATTACAGGCGTGAGCCACCATGCCCGGCCTATTCGGTACTTGTGGATCCACACTTCCTCTCTGATTTTATTTACATATGATGCTTACTGTGCGTCAGGCACTGTTGCAAGCACTTTGCAAGCACCGATTCACTTGGTTATCATAACTGCCCTATTGAGGTAGGCCCTCTTATTTTCATCCTCACTTTGTAATTGAGACAACTGACGTACAGAGAGGTTAAGTAGTTTGCCCAGCGTCACACAACTAGTCAGTGACTGAACTATGATATGAGCCCCAGGCCGGCTGGCAACAGAGCTGGTGCTCTCACCACTGCGCCATGTGGCTCTCTGCCTGAAATATTCTTCCCCAGGCAGCTACCTGGCTCACTTCCTCCCTACGCCCAAGAATCCCTTCTTCAGAGTGGCCTTCCCTGACCTGTGTCTATAACAGCCCCTCCCATCCTGGTGACTCCTTATTTCCTACCCTGCTTTATATTTCTTCATTGCATCCTCGTTACATCAACTCCTACATTATCAGTCCCTTTTGCCTGACTCTGGTACCAGAATGTAAGCTCCAGATGGAGAGGGCAACATGCTTGTGGGCTGATTCCCTGATTGAATGACTCCACTCCGGGTGTCTGGAAGGCAGCACATGTGTGCATCTGATGATGTTCACTGCAGCGATCTCTATCATCATGACAAATTGAAAACAAGCTAAACGCTAGGGGTGACTAAAGTAAGCCACATCCATATCATCAACTACTTCTCAGCCACAAAGTTAGGCTCATGGGGCATTTTTAACAACACAGGAAAATGTTTGTGACATAAAATTGAGTGAAAAAGTCAGGATGAAAATCATATTTAAAACTTGTGATTTTATTACGTTGAGAATGTGGGTTTATAAGTATGGAAGGAAGTACATGAACATGCCGAGTGTGTATGAGCTGGGTTGGATGGTGGGCAGCTATGATGGGTGCCCTCTGTCTCTCTGTCTGAGATGCAGAACATGGCACGTGCTCAGGGTAGGCTCTGGGCCAGACAGCCCAAGCTTGAATCCAGGCTCTGTTGCTTATTCACGAAACGATTTAGGGAAAGCTACTTATCGTTGGGTACCCACCCCCCTTTCTTCATTCCTAAAATAAGCATAAGATAATGCCAACTTTATAAGACTGATGTGTGGATGAAATGAGAGGATGGATGTTGAAGCGACCAACAAGTGCTTGCACCAAAGTCAACTCTCCAGAATGAACTGGCAGAAGTTCTCATATCCATTTTGCATCAATGGGATCCATCCCCCACATTCTTGGTCCTGAGATCAACCCACAACATCTGTATGGAATCGTGTTGACTTTCAGGTTCATGCCAGAGCTGAGAGCCTGGAAGCAGTGATGGAAGCAGAAACGGCTGCTTCTAAGTGATCTGAGCGATCACGCATTAGAGGAGCATATTCTGCTGATGCTCTCCCCTCATGCCTCCCACCCCTTGTTCACACAGAGTGCAGTGGACCCTAGGCTGGACTGAAGGAGGCCAGGTGAACCTGCTGTGTTCTGGGCAAGAAGTGGTGTGCACAGGGCATGCAGCCTGGCGCTGCGGTCACCCAGCGCAGGCCAGGCAGACAGCTCTATCATTTCCCCCTGGGGCAACTTTGGGCAAATCCTCTTCCTCAGGCTTTGAGTTCCTCATCCACACGTTGTCTGAGAGCAGATGCCCCACCGTGGTGGTGTGGGCGTTAAACATGGGGAAATGCTCGACCCCTAGCAGTTGCTAGGTACCCCAGCATCCCTGAAGTCTTGACCACCCCCTTGGAGAAGAAATGAGCCATCAGGGAGCTCTGGGGGGCCGGGCACAAGGACAGAAGCACCCTTGCACTTGGCCTGACTGAGCTAGGCATCCCTGGGTGTCTGTGGCTCCTGGAAGCCTGGTGCTGATGGGAGCCACAGAGGCCCAGGGTAGTGGTCCCCCTCCAAGTGGGAGGACTCAGTCTCAGCTAGTTCTAGGCAAGAGCTTCAGGGCAGCCTGCTATTCCTCTGAGGATAAAGTGTCAGGTTTCAAAACCAAAACTCAGGGTTAGACAAGTCAAACACTGGGCCAGGGGAGAGAGGAGAGAAAGGACAAGTGGTTTGGAGAAGGGGTATGTGGGGAGCCCTGGAGCTCTGGCCTTGTGCTCTGCGATCCACCCTCCTGGCAGCCAGTCAGCTGGACCATGAGCCCCCATCCATGCCCCTTCTGCCCCTGTACTCACCACTGACTGGGCTGGGGGGATGAGGGGGCTGAGGGCGGTGGGCTCCCCTAGCCCTGCCTAGGATAGCCACTCCAGCCTCTGGGAGAGGAGTCCGTGGACCGAGCTGAGTTCCCGTGACCAGGGACAGGAGCAGCAACACTGAGAACAGGAGCATGGCCCTGGGCTGTGCTGTGGGCCCGGGGGTGACAGAGGCCAGGGCTGAGGCAGTGAGGCTGAGAGCCTCCAGCTCAGATCCAGAGCCCCCAAGTGATGTCACAATGGGCTGTGGAGCCAAGAACTCAGACTGTAGCCACGAAGACTTCTTTTCTGGCTGCTTTGTTTCCGGGACGGCTGCACAGAGGCACCTCATCTCAGAGCCTTTCTTATCCCAGGTTCCCTTCTCTCTGACCTGGGCACCACCCAGCTTCCTGAGTGTTGCTGATAAAGCCATACCTGAGACTGGGTAACTTATAAAGAAAAAGAGGTTTAATGGACTCACAGTTCCAGGTTGCTGGGGAGGCCTCACAATCATGGTGGAGGGCAAAAGGCATGTCTTCCATGTCGGCAGATAAGAGAGAATGAGAGCCATGTGAAATGGGAAGCCCCTTATAAAACCATCAGATCTTGTGAGACTGATTCACTACCAAGAGAGCAGTATGCGGGAAACTGCCCCCAAAATTCAAGCATCTCCTACCGGGTCCTTCCCACAACGCGTGGGAATTATGGGAGCTACAATTCAAGATGAGATTAGGGTGGGGACACAGCCAAACCAAATCATTGAGCCCTTGGTGGGCACACTGATGCTTTCAGCCATTGTCACCCCCAAACATTTTTTGAGGCTTCTCTGTGAATGTGGGAGTAAGATATGGGGGAAGGGCTTCCAGCCTGGACCCTCGGGAATGGGGTGGGGCCCGGGGACGCCTGGAGGCCTCTGCCAGCACCAGCACCCTGTGGGGTACAGCTGCCCGCTTAGTTCTCTGCTCAGGACTCTGACCCAGGGCCTCAGGTGTGGCCGCACAGGTCAGGTTGAGAGGTTCTGGCTTCCCCTCGTGCCCAGCATGGCGGGTCCCAATCCTCCTCCGACCACCTTCTAGATGGATCCCACGTGGCCCCAAGTCTCCTGATGGGCCCCTGTGCATTCAAGATGAAATGACCAGCCTCGGATGGAGGTTGCTGGTGTGTGCCCTCCCTGGATGTCAGTGACTCAGTCACGGGCTTTGAACCTTGTGTATTTTTAAAACTTCCACACCCCTCAGCGCGCTGACCCAAGTGGACTTACCCAAGCAGCCTGGGCACTGCCTTCCTGGCCACAGGCTGAGCCTCGTGGTTGGAAGTGACTTATGGGCTCAATCGCCAAAGTGCCTGCGTGTCTACCTGCCCAGTCTTACCTCCTCGGTTTTCTCATCTGCAACAGAGAAACACGATGCTCACTGGCGTGCAGGTTACTGTGAGGCTTAAAGTGAGATCACATGACTGTCGAGGTGGCCTCTCATGGGTGTAGCTCGAGCTACTGCCCAGGGAGGAGATTCCAGGACTTCTCTGCTCTTTCTCCCAAGGCAGCTCCCTGGCGAAGGTTGCTCCTCACTGCTCAGGCATCCCCTCCGAGGCTGAGCCACAGCCTGTTGAGTGGCCCTGGGTGGTGCCCTCCCCACCTGCTCTAAACCATGCCTCACCCGTCTTTTCAACAGGGGATGCCTGGCCCTGATGGAGGCCAGGACTTCCTGACTGGCATGTGGGACAGGAGCCCACAGCACACCCAGGCACCTGGCCCTGGTCTCACCACTTAGTCTCACTCCTTGGCCCTCAGGGTGGCTAATAGGGAGCTCCCTGGCTTTCCTCTTCCCCTCCTTTGGGCTCAGGTCCCCACTGGACCTGCTACTCATGCATCTGCTATATGCCAGTGCTTTCTCCTTCGCTCAGTTTCTATTGGTTCTGGGGGTAGGGTGTGGAGGGGAGGAGGAGTCTGGGCTCCAGGTCTGATGAGGGAATGGAAGATGACAGCTAATCTCACAGATGGAGAGACAGGGGGCACGGGCATATCCACTGCAAACTGCTGCTCATTTTCAATAGAAGTATCTGAACAAAATCATCCATCACCTCCAGAAAGATTGATTTCCTGCTGAAGACCACACTGTAGAGTCTCCATCCCTCCCAAGAACATGACTTAGGTCTATTCTTGTGAAATACTCATTCACTGTCCAGCATTGCTTTGCAAATCTTCACAGCGATGCTGGGTTGCACCATGTCCCATCTTCTGGATGGAGACATCCCAGCCTCACATGCTGAGCTCTGCACAACTCCAGAGAGCGCCATCCCCCATAGACTACAATGGGAAAGTCTCTCCCTTGGACTGGGCAAACTAGGGGGTCCCGGGTGAGGAGAGCAATGCCAGTGCTCTAGAAGGAATTTGATGAAATTCAAAGAGGAAAGGAGGCACATGATGATATAGGTCGGATATGGGTGGTGTGGGGACTGTTGCCTGGCTGATGCCCGAGAGGCCCCTGGGTAGCATTGCCTTGGGGACTTTACCAAAGTCTTGGCCAGTGGTTCTCTGACTGTCTTAGACTGTTTGTGTTGCTATGACAGAATACCACAGATTGGGTAATTGTTTTTTTTTTTTTTTTCTTTGAGATGGAGTCTCACTCTGTCACTCAGGCTGGAGTGCAGTGGTATGATCCTGGCTTACTGCTACCTCCACCTCCCGGTTCAAGCGATTCTCGTGCCTCAGCCTCCTGAGTACCTGGGATTATAGGTGCACACCACCATGCCCGGTTAATTTTTGTATTTTTAGTAGAGACAGGGTTTCACCATGTTGGCCAGGCTGGTCCTGAATTCCTGACCTCAGGTGGTCTGCCCTCCTTGACCTCCCAAAGTGCTGGAATTACAGGCGTGAGCCACCACTCCTGGCCAGATTGGGTAATTTATAAAGAATGCAAATTTATTCTTTCACAGTTCTGGAGGCTAGGAAGTCCAAGATCAAGGTGCCAGCAGGTTTGGTCTCTGGTTCCAAAATGGTGCCATATTTCTATGTCTTGTGGGGAAGAGGAATGTTGTGTCTTCAAGTTCTTCAGAGGAACAGAAGAGAGTGAACCCACTCCAGCAAGCCCTTTGTATAGTGGTGTTAATCTATTCATGAGGACAGACCTTTCATCACCCAAACGCTTCCCAAAGGCCTCACCCCTCGACGCTGTTGCATTGGGGATTAAGTTTCCAATGCGTAACTTTTGGAGGAGACACATTCAAACTGTGGTCCTGACTTCGATGTGCAGCCTAGGGAGCTTGTTCAGTGCAGATAAGGGTTGCCAGATTCAGCAAATAAAAATACAGGATGCCTTGTCAAATTTGAATTTGAGATAAACAAATATTTTTAGTATAAATATACTCCATACTGTTTTTAGGACATATTCATCCTAAAATAATTTGCTGTTTATTTGAAATTCAAACATAACTCATGTCCTATATTTTATCTGTCAACTCTAGTACGTGTTTACAGGCTTAGTCCTTCAGATCCTGATCCAGTGGGATGGGGCGGGCCGGGGGTGGGGGAGAGGTCTGAGCATTTGTAACAGCACAGCTTCTTCCAGATGAATCCAATGCAGATCATCTCTGGACATCTTTGAGAAGCATCAGTTAGGCCTCCTGTAGAGAGCTTTGCTGGGATCCCTGGGGTCTAACTCACACTTGGGAAATCTGGAGGTGAGAGAATGGTTCTGGGAGGGATGCTGCTGGGTAGGGACTGTCCTGAACCCACAGTTTTTCCTTGGAATCAGTGTGTGCTGCACAGAGAGAGAAATGCCTGAATTTCCCATGAGGCTTCCTGGAGGGGGCAAGGAAATCTGTTAGAAAGAGTCTGGGGTGTATCACCAGGTGCACACGGGATGACAAAGAGCAGAAAGCAGCACGCTACAGAGAGAGCCCCACCCTGGCCTGGGGACCTCAGGAGAAAGCCACCCAGCAGGGAACCATGGAAGAGCCCGTGAAGATACCACCGAAGAGCCAGTCTTCAATGTCTGCCAGGCCCAAGGAACAGTGAGCTGATGTGTGGGCTCACCTGGACCTGTGCCTTCCCCTAAACTTTCACCTGCTGGGGGCAGGTGAGCAGAGTGGGAGGTGAGAAAGGAACCTTGTTCCTAACTGGGCCCAGGTCTGGAGGAGGCTGAGCACTGAGTCAGATTCTGTGTCGAGAATGTGACAAGGACGAGGGTATTCTAGTACATAAATCACCCTGAATTTGGACCCAGGTGACCGCAGGACTATTACCTAAGAATAATCAGAAAAGCTCCAAGTCTAAGTTTTATCTGGACAGAACATATCATGCCCTCTGAATGGCTTTTTTATTTTTTATTTTTATTTTTTTGAGACAGAATCTCGCTTTGTCCCCCTAGGCTGGAGTGCAGTGGCGTGATCTCAGCTCACTGCAACCTTCATCTCCTGGGTCCAAGCGATTCTCCTGCCTCAGCCTCCCAAGTAGCTGGCACTACAGGTGCCCACCACCATGTCTGGCTAATTTTTGTATTTTTAGTAGAGACCGGGTTTTACCATGTTGGCCAGGCTGGTCTGAAACTCCTGACCTCAGATGATCCACCCGCCTCATCCTCCCAAAGTGCTGGGATTACAGGGTGTGAGCCACGGCGCCCAGCCTCTGAATGGCTTTTAACAGGACCGTGGGAGACAACGAGCTGTGTTTTGATCACAAGCTACGTCGCAGTGCCCATTCCACTCCTCAGTGCCTTTGCTGCAGTGTTTTCCTTCCAGGCTGGTGGGAAAGGTCTGGCTGAAGCCTCACGATTCCTCCATGTACAGCAGTTTGCTGAACAGCATGTGTGGAAACCTACAAAATCACACAAGCATGGGCAAGTCCCCTGACACAGGCAGGCAGATGTCTGGAACAATGGCCACACTCTACCTCCTCCCCCTCCCCAGCTCTCATGTCGGTCTTGGCCGATGGGTCACAACTGAGCCAAAAACTGGCCTTGGAATCTCTTCCAATGTAGCAGTTTGGGCATCTATCACCCGGTGAGCAGATGAAACCCGCTGCCATTGTTGGACTAGGACCTTACAGACATATAAGGACCTCACAGGGATGAGGGATCTCCAGCAGAGATGAAGGTCAGAGGCTTTGGGAGGATGCTTCTTGTGTCCTCTCTGATATTTACACGGGCACTTGGTGTTCCTAGAAGCTGTTCTTCTATTTAGATTGCGTGCATTGTTTAGGAGGTGGTCTGACTGTTGCTTTAGAGAGTGGGTTCTGGAATCAGTCGTACCTTGCTTCTAATCCTGCTTCTGCCATCTCCACAAGGGGCTGTGGACAGGTTATCTAGCCTCGCAGAGCTTCACTTTCCTTATCACTACATGGGGGATAAGAATAGGCTGACCTCCGCAGTCACAGTGACGACAGCATAGTAAGGCATCCATAACTAGTTTGCTGTGATGATGGCGTTGATGTTCTGCAGCCCAGGTTACAACTTTAACCACCAAGTTGGCATTTTCAGCCAGTGATAGATCACAGCCATAGACTTGGCTCAGGCACATGAGATCTCAGAGGCCATTCCCATCTAACCCTGTCTGATTCCAAGTGAGTCAATGGGGTGTCGGAGGGGCCGGGTGTTGATTGGTTCTGATGCTTTCCTGAGTGCTGATGGGTTTGCATTTCAGAACAATCCCAAGAACCAGACGAAGTCAGCCCCTGCCTCATTTCATGGAGAAGGATACAGCCAGCACCACAGGTCACTGAGCGTCACACCTGGATTCCAGTGCAGGTTGCCAGTCTCAGAGGCCATGCTGCCGTCGCGTGTGCTTTTATACACAATCCTGTTGAATGCTCACATGATTTTCCTTAATCCTCTCAAAAAACCCACGAGGGGGAAGGAGACTCAGACTTTAAATGACTTGGTCAAGAGAATGCAACTCATCAGGGTGAAGCCAGGACCACAACACCTCAGGGTCAACCCCTAGCTTGAGTGGGAGGTAAGGCCTTCTCTTCTCAGGGCCAGCCATGCATGCATGCATTCATTCATTCCGACTATTTATAAGTGCCTAATATGTTCCAAGCATCATTCTGAAAACTGGAGATAAGGGAGTACATATAAAGGAAAAAGCTCTCACCCTCATCCAGGTTATAGTCTAGTGAGACAGACAGAAAGTAAATACTGAAGGCATAGATGATGTCAGAGGGTGATAACTGCTAGGGAAAAAAATGAAGCAGAGAAGGGCATGGGGAGGGCAGGCTGGGAGGCGCGCGTGCTGTTTTCTGCAGGATGATCGGGCAGGTCTCACTGACAGGGCGACTGGGAAGACACCTGAAGGAAGGCGGGAGTGAGCCTTGGAGATAACTGGGGGGACTTCTGGATAACTTGTGAGCCTTGTAGATAGCTGCTGTTCCAGGCAGCAGGCACTTTATTCATTTCTTCTTTGAATGACAAAGACTGTGGTTGTAAATGAGAAGAGATGGGGAGGAGGCTGTAGGTAAGTCACTGACAGGGAGGGGATTGGGGAGCTGTTTATTTTGAAGGATTTAAGGTGGCATGACTAAAGCACCTTCAAAGGCTGATGAGAAGGATGTGGAAGAGTAGGAGAAGGGGACGATGAGGGAGGGTGCACATAACCAATGGTATCAGATCCCTGAGGCTGTGGGAGGAGCAGAGGGGAGGGATTATCTGTAATCAGAGGCACCTGTCCTTGGAGCGTTCTTGGCCCATTTTCCGTTTTCCACAGCAACTCCCTCTCCTGGGTTTCCTCCAGCTCTTCTGGCAATTGCCAGCTTCCTTTTCCAGCTCTGCCTCCTCTGTGTGGATGCTGAGGGTCCTTCAGGGTCCAGCCTGGGCTCTCTGTGCTCCTCTGTGCAGATGCTCTCCCTGGGCGACCTCACCCATCTCCGGACTTCAATAGGTTGACGACTCCCCAGCTTATCCTTCCACCCTAGACTTTCAGATTGGGCTTGTGGCTGCCTGGTCATCCTGCCGAGCCCATCAACCATGGTGCCTCTCCGCTCCGCCTTGTTGCCTGTGTTTCTCTCCAGGTCCACCATGTCTTTCCTACTTTAGGCCCCTGTCATGTCCCATCTGTATGACTGGAGCCACTTCCTATGTGATACTCTCTTCTAGTTTCATCCACTCCAAAGTATTTTTTTTTTTGACAGGATTTTGTTCTGTTGGCCAGGCTGGAGCAGTGGAGCAATGACAGCTCACTGCTGCTTCGACCTCCTGGGCTCAAGCATCCTCTTGCCTCGGCCTCCGGAGTAGCTGGAACCACACGCACGCACCACCATGCCTGGCTATTTTTTATTTTTATTTTTTTTAGTAGAGATCGGTCATCTTTTAATGCAAATGTTACCACATGACCCTCTTTAATTCTATCGCTTCCTCCCCAGCTGACCTCATGGGTAAGATCCAAATGTCTTAACAAGGCGTTTCAGGCTTTCTGTAACGTGGTTCCAGAGAACATAAAAAATCACCCAAAGACCTAGAGCTATTTAACACCAAGGCAGACAAGGAGTAAAAGCATAGCGTCAAAGGTGGGAGGGGAGCAGGCCGACAGCCGCTCACCCAGCCTGGCCCTTCCAGGGTGCCCCGTTAGCGCCTGCTGCAGAGGGGACGCGAGACAGGGAAGGACTGGACATGCGGACTCTGCTCACCCAGGCTGACCTGCATCCCCTGCCCCTCCCTGAGCCCAGGGCTCAATGTGAAGTCACTAGTCCCACTCTGCCCTGCATTGTGATGCCCCTGCCAGAAACCACTGTGGCTGGCATGTTGTCAGCTCTGGCTGGAGGCAAAGGTTTGGCAATTTTGGACTGGAATTGACAAGAAGATGTTCCAGCTTCTAATTCCCCTGCTTTTGGCACTCAAGGGACATGCCCAGGACAATCCAGGTCTGTGCCAGGCCCGCTAGGAGCAGAGGTTGGGGGAAGGGATGCCACCTCTTACCTGGCTCCTGGAGAGTTGACTTAGAGGCCCCAGGGATGCTGAGTTAGGGCCAGTGACTCAGGAAATGAAGAGATTATAGTTGACCAATCCAAGTCCATGTATTGGTTCTGCAAAGATGCTGTCTAAAATGATTCCCCAGGGTCTGGACCCAGAGTTCTGGAAGCTCAGGGGAATTGGAGGAATGATTTAGCAACTGACTTTGCTTCTCATCTCCACCTTCCTCTTTGTAAAATCATTAACAATCTTTCCAGGCCCAACACCCTGGGGGAGGCAGCAAAGTAGTGGTGGAGTAAGACCTTATTTAATTTAGAATGCCGGTATTAGATTATATAATCTCATAACATGGAGAACATGATAGGGCTATTATGTGGAGTAAATGAGTTAATGCAGAATTTGTTCTGCAAAGCCTCAGTCCTGGGAAAAGCTCCGGAGGGAAAAGTTCTATGTTAGACATGATTTGGAAATGTTCCATTTGATAATTTTTCTGTAGTATCACTGTGGATAACCATATATAAAAGGCTCTGATATATTTTACAGTAAAGAAAGTGGCCTAAGTTTAATTTTATTGAATCTCGCATTTTTGAGATGTATCCATCCATAAGATCACTCTTGCCCCAACTCCCAGCCTGATTCAGAACATTTTATATTTATTCTTCTGAGAATTACCTGTTCCTAGAGTTTTCCCATTTTTCTTATCTGGGTGAGCTTTTAAAGTTGATTTGTAGGACCGTTTTGAATTTTAATGACATCAGAGCTTTGTCTCTTATAATTGCTGCAAAATCTTCCTAATTCTTCAGTTCTCTTGCAATTTTATTTTGGACGAAACAAATTTAAAACGTGTGTAAAAAACTTGTCGGTATTTTCACTTATGATTCTTGGCTTTTATTTCATGTTTTTGGAAGGGCTTTTTCATCCCAAGAATATAAATCCAGCATATTGGACAGCATAGAGTGAGCTCTGAAGTAAGATTGTGTTCTAATTATATTTCCTCCATGTACCTGCTATGTGACCTTAGGATGAGTTACTTAACGTTTCTGCATTTCAGTTTCCTCATCTGCAAAATGGCTGTATTAAGGTTGTTGTGAAAATGAGTTTTGCACAAAGCTCTGAGAACTGTGCTTGAAACTTTGTACATACTCAAAATTCGTTAGCTTTTATTATTCTAGAGCTTTCGTGACTTCACTTCTTAAATTAATTTTTCTGCATTCTGGATTAGTAAAGATATTTTCCTATGTTATTCTCTAGACGTTTCATACTTTCATCTTTTACATTTAGATTTTGAATCCATTTGGTATCAATTTTCATATACAATAAAAGGATCAGGATGAATTTTTTTCCACCTGGATATCCTACTGACCCAGCTCATCTGGGAACATTTGTTTCCCAGCTGCCACTTTTGTCAAAAATCAGGTCTAATTATATCTATCAGGCTGTTTGTAGACGCTGCTTATTTCATTGGCATATTTATTGATCTCTGTGTCGCACCACACAGTCTGAATTCACACAGTTTTATAAAAGTCATTAACGGCCTATGCGCGGTGGTTCATGCCTGTAATCCCAGCATTTTGGGAGGCCGAGGTGGGTGGATCATGAGGTCAGGAGTTCGAGACCAGCCTGGCCAACTTGGTGAAACCCTGTCTCTAATAAAAATACCAAAAAAAAAAAAAGAAAAAAAAAGCCAGGCGTGGTGGCAGGTGACTGTAATCCCAGCTACTCAGAAGGCTGAGACGGGAGAATTGCTTGAAGCCAGGAGGTGGAGGTTGCAGTGAGCCGTGATCATGCCACTGCACTCCATCTGGGCGACAGAGTAAGACTCTATCACAAAAAACAAAAACAAAAAATCAACAACACTGCACCAGTGCTTGCTGCTTCACCTGTGCCCCCCTCTGCCCATCACATCCAAGGTGCTCAAGCTGTTATGTGCCATGTCGGTGAAGCTTCTGGGCCGTGTGTTGTTATTGCCTGGTATATTGCAGCAGCTCTTGAGGAGATGAAATATTATTCCATGTGTACACTTGTAGCCCAGTTTACTTGTGAAGTGCCCATACTCCTAGGGTGCAGACCATGAAGCTCCTAAACAAAGCCACAGGAACTTAGGCCCCTCCCCATCGACTGGTCCTAGAGTTACAAACTGCCAAGTTGCCCCCAGGGCATTCCTATTGCCTGGCTCACCTCTTTGGATTTCCTTCTTTTGCTATAAACTGGCCCAGTAACTCTTCATTAACTTAACTCTCTAGTGCTTTCGAGCAAGGGATGTTACATATTTTACACTTTGTAGTTATTCTCAGCAACAAGGTTGTCCAAATTTCATATTCCATCTATTTTGGTTTTAATTTTTCTTTTCTTTTTCTTTTTTTTTTTTTGAGATGGAGTCTCGCTCTGTCTCCCAGGCTGCAGTGCCGTGGCATGATCTTGGCTCACTGCAACCTCCGCCTCCTGGTTCAAGCGATTCTCCTGCCTCAACCTCCTGAGTATCTGGGATTACAGGAGCCTGCCACCATGCCCAGCTAATTTTCCTATTTTCAGTAGAGTTGGGGTTTCACCATGTTGGCCAGGCTGGTCTCGAATTCCTGACCTCAAGTGATCTGCCCACTTCCGCCTCCCAAAGTCCTGGGAATACAGGGTTGAGCCACTGTGCCCGGTCTAATTTTTCAATTCTGTTATTACCCCTTATTTTTTCTCTGTTCCTGCCAGCTCCTTTTTATTTTATTCTTTCCGCTTATGAGCTCCTGTTTTATAGTGTTTCATCTTTTCTTCAACATCCTTGCATAAAACAGCTCTAAGCTATTTTTTCCCCTGATACTAGCCAAACAAATGTATTATTCATGTGTATGTTGTACATTTTGTTTCTTTTTTTGTAATAGTTTTGCAAGATTTTCCTATTTTTCAGCTTGTTTGTTTTTAACTCGGGGCCAGTTCTAGGAGATCTGCCTTTTGGTCCACATGATCTAGATAGAAACCCACTGCTGTCTTTCCCTTCTGACATGAGCCTAGTCATGATCTTCTCTCTGTACCGGGAGGGCTGTATGCTGGCAATTTATCATCCTGTTCAGCCTGCCTGGGGACAGTGGCGAGGGAGTTGGGGTCAGGATCAGTCACAGTCCAGGAATACATTATTGGAATACTTTCTCTCAAAAGGGGGCCAGGAAAGGAGTGAAGTTCTATCAGCTTGGATGGAATCTTTTCATGTGTAGGGGTATCCTTGGATTTTAGGAGGTTCTTCCCTCCTTGTGATGATTTTCTTGAAACTCAAAGCCTTTTTAATTTCCTGAGCCAGATACATATTTTTCTCTGCAAACATGGCTCTAGTACCGCCTGGGAAACTTAGTTGCCTCCTCATGATGCCCCCAGCCTTGTAGAAGCCGTGTCAAGGTTGGGAGGGGAGGCATCATACAGGCAGAGTGTTCACTCCAGCCTGTCCCAACAGAGGTCAAGTGGCTTCCAAGGAGAGCTCCCTGTCCTTTCACTGTCTGCCTAGCCACAGGCTTTTGTCCTCTGAGCTGTAGGTAGTGGTGGGACTCTGTGGACTTTTCTTCATGTTGTTCCCAGGCCTCTGCATTTCAAGGAACTCTAGAATAGCAATGCTACATGTCTATGTGTATTTTCTGGGTCTCCTTTCATCCTGGTAAAATTATAATGAAAACATACAAAGTTTGCAGCAAGAGTTTGGTTCTTCTAATTTCAACACAGATACTTTTTTTTTTCTTTCATAAAAATGCATTTTGGCCTGGCGCGGTGACTCACGCCTGTAATCCCAGCACTTTGGGAGGCCGAGGCAGGTGGATCACCTAAGGTCAGGAGATTGAGACCAGCCTGACCAACGTGGTGAAACCCTGTCTCTACTAAAAATATAAAAAGTTAGCTGGGCGCAGTGGTGGGCACCTGTAATCCCAGCTACTTGGGAGGCTGAGGCAGGAGAATTGCTTGGACCTGGGAGGTGGAGGTTGCAGTGAGCCGAGATCGCACCATTTGCACCCCAGCCTGGGCAACAAGAGCTGAACTCAGTCTCAAAAAAAAAAAAATTAAAATATATTTGGTTAATTTCAGTATACACCTAGGATAGATGTATATGTATATTGTGTGCATGATGTATTTATAAGCCATCTTTCCTCAAATGTCACTGTAAAGTTATTTTACAATTCAAAGAAAAGATTATATATTAAAACTCAAACTACAGACCCGATTTTATTTTAAAACAACTGAGGCATATTGAAAATATCTAAATATATTAATAAAGGGTCCAAATCATCAAAAAGAATGGTGGTGGAACTATGGCCAAATATGGCCAATATCTTTTCATAAGGGCCATAGTGTAGAGAATGTATGTCAGGGCCTGGAAACTATTTTCCTGGTTCATCCATGGAAAACGTCCAGATGGTGGAAATCCTTGGTGGAAAAATCTCCAAGGTTTTGCTATGCATAAGGCAAAAAAGTGATGATTTCCCATGGGGGCTAGCGAAAATAAAGCATATAAAATGTAAGTTAGAATGGGGAGCTTGCTTCTTTCAGCTGTGTCCAGAGAGGCAACCCTAAAACGTGAGTCTAGCGTTACAGTGGCCAGAAGGAGCAACGGCACGTGAGTAGGCAGAACTGTGCACTAAAGGCAGTATAGTGTTGTATTAGTCCATTCTCACATTGCTATGAAGAAGTCCCTGAGGCTGGACTGAGACTGGGTGATTTATAGGAAAGGAGGTTTCATGATTCAGTACACTGCACAGGAAGCAACGTGGCATCTGTTTCTGGGGAGGCCTCAAGAAGCTTCCAATTATGGCAGAAAGCAAAAGGGAAACAGGCACTTCACATGGCCAGAGCAGGAGCAAGAGGGAGAGAAGGGGAAGGTGCTACACACTTTTAAACAACAAGATCTCGCGAGAACTCACTATCGCGAGAACACAACCAAGGGGATGATGGTAAACCACTCGCGAGAAATCCACCCCATGATCAAATCCGCTCCCTTCAGGCCCCACCTCCAACTCTGGTACTACAGTTCAACACGAGATTTGAGTGGGGACACAGATCCAAACTACAAGTGTCGTGCTCAATTCCAGTGACTCTAGAACCAGACTGCCTGGCTTCTGTTCTGGGTTCCAGCACTTACTAACAGTATGCTCCCGAGGAAATTGCCTGCCTCTCTGGGCCTCCGTTACTTCTGTGAAATAGATTTAATAATAGAATCCATCTTATAAGTGAAGATTAAAGGAGTTAATATGTATAAGATCAAGAACATAGCACAGTGCCTGGTCTACAATAGGTATTAGCTGTTACTATTGTAATGTCCTGCCCTGTAGGATCCTTGAGGAAGGGGCTGGGCCTCATTGACAGATGGTCTTTGTGGAAGGAATAGCATTGAACTAGGATTGAGAAGACCTGGGTTTGAAGCTCACATTTGCCACTAAGATAATATACAACCTTATGCCTGGTTGATTTTCAGTAAATATTTCTGAGATGAATAGATGAGTGAGTGAATAATGAATAATTAATAGCTCTTTGTTGCTACCCAGATTCAACCAGTTCCTGAGAGAGAATCAAGGTTTCCAAGGTTTTGTGCCAGCAGAAGTAAGACTTTCTGATTCAATCCTCTAAACGAGTTGTTCTGAGCACAGTTTGAAGATCTAAAAAGCTTAAAATTGGGATAAATAGAAAGTGAAAATTATGGGTGGTAAACCTCTGTGAGTAATGACTCCAAAAGGCTGCATAAGCTGAAATTATAAAGTGCTCAAAACATTCAGGAAATGTATAGCTTTTTTGTTCACTCATTTATTCAATAAACATTTACTGAAACTTAACATATTCAAAGACTGTTAAATGTTAGCAACACAAAGAGGGCACAGTGTGATTTACAGCCTCAAGACATTTATAGTCTAGTCACGGAGACAGACATGTCAACAGATAATTAATACAACATGGTGCGTGCCCTGTTGACATGTTTTCGAGATGCTTTGGGGTCTCAGAGGGGCTGAATGTTGAGTTGACCACAAGTGGCCAATGATTTAATCAATCATGACTATGTCAAAAAGTCTCCACAAAACCCCCAAAGGCAAGAATTTGGAGCCATTCCAGGTTGTTGAACACGGGGAAGGTGGTGTGCCCAGAGAGGGCATGGAAGCACCACGTCCCTTCCCCCATACCTTGCCCTGGGCATGTCTTCGTTTGGCTGTTCATCTGCACTATTTAAAATATCCTTTGTAATAAATGAGCAACAGTAAGTAAATGGTTTTTCCTGTGTTCTGTGAGCTGCTCTAGTGAATCATGAAACCTGAGGATGGGGTTGTGGGAATCCCCAGTTTGTAGTCAAGTCAGAAGTTGTGACCTGGGAACCTACTATTTGTGATTGTCATCTGAAGTGGGGGGTTTGAAGCGTGAGACTGAGCCCGTACCTTGTGGGGTCTGCGCTAACTCTGGTTTCTATCAGATTGAGTTGAATTGTAGGAGGCCCAGCTGGGGCCCCATGGAAAATTGCTTAGTGTGGGGAAAACACCCAACCATCTGGCATCAGAAACGAACTATTGAGAGTGGGGGCGTATAGAGTAGGAGGAAACAGTTTGTTTTTTCCTACCCTCTGAGCAATGTGACTTTGTCTTGTTTGTGGATGTGGGAAGGGACTGTGGAAGGGTTTAAGGAGAAAATCAGCAAGATCACTCCCACATGCTAGCCAGGGAACTGAGTTGGCCGTGTAGGAGGTGGGAGGAGGGGGTCGAGGGATCAGGGCTAACATGAGGGTGAGGAGACTGCCCCACAGTCCCAAGGAGAGATGCCGAGGGGGCTGACGGAGGGAGGGGCACAGGAAGAGGAAGGACAGGGCCCTCCTCTGCGTGTTGGAATGTGGGGGATTATTGGAGATGCAGGGGCTTGAGGAAGAAGTGGCAGCTTCAATGGGGAAGAGAACAGCTCCAGGCCACATAGGCCAAAGCAATCTCTGATTCACGTGGGGTCAACCTGGGGAAACAGGAGGACTGACAACAACCAACTCAGAGTAAATTGCAATATCCTCACAGGGTGGCAAGAGTAAAAAAAGACAGTGCCAGTTTCTGCAAAGTGACATCTTCTAACATAAATATTACTAATTTATTGCCATAAACTTGGTGTCCTGGGCAGTCTGTGTTTACTGAATTTTAAGCATTGTCAGCATTAAACATAAAGTGAATGTTTACTCTCTGTTTAAATGCTGCTAGCCGTTGGGTTTTCCTTAGTGCTGCGACCAAGACTGTTAAAAATTCTACCGCTGCAACCACGCGTTCTTAAACTTGGTGGCTGTGAGTTCTGAGAATTGAACAAACTCTTTGATGAAGAATTTGGGCACTGAATTCAGATTTGGTTTAAATCTTCAATATAAAAACAAACATTTGTCTATTTTTGTATTGGTGGAGCATGATTACCACTCAGTTTCAGTGTAACAACCAAAACTGAAACCAACCAGGCATCTGTAACAGCAGCTATTGCTACACATTCATGCTAAGCTGGGTTTGGAGCTCACCGTGGGCTTGCATCCTCCGTATATATGTGTTCACTTGGGAATATGAGAAACTCTACAGAGATGGGGAGGGAGCAATGCAGAGAGAATGGGGAGAAAATGAGGAGATCAAGAGTGGAACTGTGAGAAGTATGGAAGACCTTTCCTACTCTGATTTAAATTTCAAGTCTGGAATTGCAAAACGTGAAATAAAAATCTGGGGCAAGAGATGGGATGAGAAATATCCACCCTGAATTAACAAGAGATGAGCCCTAAATAAATTCTCCCAATGATGTTAAAGCATTCTAATGCTGCAGAGTGACATCTTCTAGCATAAATATCTACTAATTTATTGTCATAAACTTGGTGTCCTTGGCAACCTATGTTTATTGAATTTACATTCTAATGCTGTAACATCACTAATGCTGCTTCTCTTAAAGAGAAGATTATTAGAGCAAACGATGGCAATCATGACAGATGGACATGGACAGATTCATTCAAAAGAAGTTTCTTCAATAATTTCTTATAAAAGAGAATGACTTTCTGAGCATTTAAACCATAAGAAGAAATGAAAAGGAAAAGATTTAATCAAGCAACAAATTTTAACTTCCAAACATCAAAACAGAAGAAATTGATACATTGGGTGAGCCGAGTGTTATTCACTGAAAAACAGTTTTTTGTTTTTTGTTTTGTTTTGTTTTTTTTTTTTTTTTTTTTTTCAGAAAAAGGACTTTCAAATTTCCTTAAAATTTAAATAACTTTTTTACAAAAACAATTGGTAAATATTATACTTAAAATGAACTTTAAACAAGTTCATAGGTAAAGTCCTAGGAGCACAGAGGTAGAGAAATGACCTTTCAGAGCAGATTCTTGCGGGGAAAAACCAGGTGGGACCGCAAATAAGTATCCTGAAGGAGCCAGGGCAAGATCACATCCCTCAACTTTAAATACAGTCAGGGGGCCAGGCGCGGTGGTTCACGCCTATAATCCCAGCACTTTGGGAGGCCGAGGTGGGCAGATCACGAGGTCAGGAGATTGAGACCATCCTGCCTAACACAGTGAAACCCCTTCTCCATTAAAAGTACAAAAAATTAGCCGGGCGTGGTGGCGGGCGCCTGTAGTCCCAGCTACTCAGGAGGCTGAGGCAGGAGAATGGCGTGAATCCGGGAGGCAGAGCTTGCAGTGAGCCGAGATCACACTACTGCACTCCAGCCTGGGTGACAGAGCGAGACTCTGTCTCAAAAAAAAAGAAAAAAAAAAGAAAAAAAACAGTCAGGGTATGCATAACAACGTTTGGGGCAATGACAAACTGCATATATGACAGTGGTCGCACAAGACTACAATGGAGCTGAGAAATTCCTGTCCCCTGGTGACGTGGTAGCTGTCACCAGAGCACAACTCATCACTGATGTGTCGTGGTGCTGCTGGTTTTAGCAAACCTCCCATACTGTCAGTTGTATAAAAGTCCAGCATATACAATTATGCACATCAAATAATACTTGATAAAGATAAGCGATTATGGTACTGATTTATGTATTTATTACACTATATATATTTCATAATTTTAGAGTATACTCCTTCTTATTAAAAAATAATTAACTATAAAACAGCCTGAGACAGGTCCTTCGGGAGGTATCCAGAAGGTATTGTTATCATAGGAGATGACAGCTCCATGCATGTTCTTGGCCCTGAAGACCTCCCAGTGGGACAAGAGGTAGAGGTAGAAGACCGTGATATTGATGATCTTGACCCCTGTGTAGGTCTATGAAGGGCTAATGTGTGTGTGTGTCTTAATTTCTTTAAAAATGTTTAAAAAGTAAAAATTAATTTTTTAAATCTTTTTTTATTATAGTTTAAGTTTTAGGGTACATGTGCACAACATGCAGGTTAGTTACATGTGTATATATGTGCCATGTTGGTGTGCTGCACCCATTAACTCGTCATTTAACATTAGGTATATCTCCTAATGCTATCCCTCCCCCATCCCCCCACCCCACAACAGGCCCCAGAGTGTGATGTTCCCCTTCCTGTGTCCATGTGTTCTCATTGTTCAATTCCCACCTATGAGTGAGAACATGTGGTGTTTGGTTTTTTGTCCTTGTGATAGTTTGCTCAGAATGATAGTTTCCAGCTTCATCCATGTCCCTACAAAGGACATGAACTCATCATTTTTTATGGCTGCATAGTATTCCATGGTGTATATGTGCCACATTTTCTTAATCCTGTCTATCGTTGTTGGACATTTGGGTTGGTTCCAAGTCTTTGCTATTGTGAATAGTGCCGCAATAAACATAGGTGTGCATGTGTCTTTATAGCAGTATGATTTATAGTCCTTTGGGTATATACCCAGTAATGGGATGGCTGGGTCAAATGGTATTTCTAGTTATATAGATCCCTGAGGAATCGCCACACTGACTTCTACAATGGTTGAACTAGTTTACAGTGCCACCAAGAGTGTAAAAGTGTTCCTGTTTCTCCACATCCTCTCCAGCACCTGTTGTTTCCTGACTTTTTAATGATCACCATTCTAACTGGTGTAAGATTGTATCTCATTGTGGTTTTGATTTGCATTTCTCTGATGGCCAGTGATGATGAGCATTTTTTCATGTGTCTTTTGGCTGCATAAATGTCTTCTTTTGAGAAAGGTCTGTTCATATGCTTTACCCACTTTTTGATGGGGTTGTTTGTATTTTATTTCATAAAAATAAGGATATAAAGAAAGAATTTTTTTGTGTGTGTGTGACGGAGTCTCACTGTGGCTGGAGTGCAGTGGTGCAATCTTGGTTCACTGCAACCTCTGCCTCCGGGTTCAAGTAATCTCCTGCCTCAGCCCCCCAAGTAGCTGGGACTATAGGCACGCATCACCATACCCAGCTAATTTTTGTATTTTTAGTAGAGATGGGGTTTCACCATATTGGCCAGGCTGGTCTCGAACTACTGACCTCATGATCTGCCCGCCTCGGCCTCCCAAAGTGCTGGGGTTACAGGCGTGAGCCACCGTGTCCAGCCAGAAAGAAAATATTTTTACAGTGTACAATGTGTATTTTAAGCTATGTTATGACCAAAGAATTTTAAGATATTAAAAACATAAAAGTTTATAGGTAAAAAAAGTTACAGAAGCTAAGATTAATTTATTAATGAAGAAAGAAAAACTATTCTTTATAAATATAATGTAGCCTAAGTGTACAGTGTTTACAAAGTCTACCACCGTGCAGACTCCTGTCCTAGGCCTTCACATTCACTCACTGCTAACTCACTGACTCACCCAGAGCAACTCCAGTCCTGCGAGCTCCATTCATGGTAAAATGCCCTGGACGAGGGCACTGTAATATCTTTTATGTCATATTTTTACTGTACCTTCTCTATGTTTAGATACACAAATACCATCGTGTTACAGTTGCCTACAATATTCAGTACAGTAACTTGCTGTATGGTTTTGTAGCCTAGGAGCGATCGGCTATGCCATACAGCCTAGGTGTGAGCAGGCTACACCATCTAGCTGTATGTAAGTTCACTCTATGATGCTTGCCTTTAACCCCACATTTCTCAGAATGTATCCCATTTTTTTTCTCTGCCATATTTGTGTTTATTGTGCAGTATCATTACGTTCAATGCGTAGGAGATACGAAAATATCACCTAGGTTATATTATCCTATAATTTTCTATATATGACTTCATAGATTTCTTCTGACAGAAGCATTTGTTGATGTGGTATTGTACAGAGGGGATAATGTTTGGAAGAAGATAAATTTGTGTTTAAACCCTGATACGTCTTCCAGTTAGCAGTGTAATTTTTCCTGTTCCTTGAAATCTTCAAACCAAAGTTTTCATATTTGTAAGATGGGCTAATAATACTTGTCTCAGTGAATGTTAGTTATCTCTTTTTTGTCCCAAACTCCTCCCTGCCCTCCCTGCCAACCTGGATCAATAGACCTGGTTACTGTTTGAGGATTATTAAGTTTTGAAAACCTCTGTGACAATCACAGATGATCTGCTCCAAGAAAATATCACTTTTTGTTTAACTACATCAACCCTACAAAGGATCATGTATCTCCATACCCACTTTTCAGTGTCAGGAGCCACCATCAGATTTTCATCCTCCTCTGGCTAATAATAGGAATCACCTGACCTTAAAAACTTCCTTCCTGTGAATGCCTCTTATTTTTCTGTGTTAATGGAATTTGGTTTCAAACTTGAAAGACTTGCCTTTCCCTATGATTACTGTTTACTTGTCAACCAGCTGTTCTTATTAAAAAGATATAATATGCCTAAACATATTTAAGAGTCTTATATATTAAATTCATAATCAAGAGATTGCCTTACCTATTGAGAATATGAAAGTTGGAAGGTCTTTTTTTTCATAGGGAGAGGAAGAGGAGAGAGATGGTAACAATATTGACTTTGGACTAAAAAATATGAAATACGTTTATTTGATAGGGATTTCACTGATTAGATGTTATTTGAAATGAAGAATGTTTTCCTGATAAATTCATATTTTGAGGCTGTATTAGTCCATTCTTGCACTGCTATGAAGAAACACCCAGGACTGGTTAATTCATAAAGAAAAGAGGTTTAACTGATTCACAGTTCTGTGTGGCTGGGGAAACCTCAGGAAACTTATAATCATGGTGAAAGGCACCTCTTCACAGGGCAGCAGGAGAGAGAATGAGTGCCACCAGGGGAAATGCCAGATGCTTATGAAACCATCAGATCTTGGGAGAACTCACTCTGATTCAGTTACCTCTTACGGGGTTCCTCCCATGACACGTGGGGATTACGGTATTACAATTCAAGATAAGATTTGGGTGGGTTCACAAAGCCAAACCATATCAGAGGCCAATATAAAATAGCATCTCATCTTTTCACTGTTCAGCTTAATGAAAATTATACATGTTCTCTAAATAATGCCTTACTGAATTTAACATATTTCTACTGAAAATTTCCTCAGGCCATCGATTCACAAATTTTAATGAACAAAGTTGAAATTAAGATTCCTTTGAAAACACTGAATGTAGTCATAATGTCTTGGAGTTTGAAACTTAGGGTCACCAATTTTCATTTATGAATGAAACATTCTCATGTCATAATAGAGATGAGAGTTTTTCAATGAAGAACTAAGTATGTGTTAGTTAATGAAGAATGAGAATTAAAGTATATTTTGTCAGTGTGATTTTTGTCATTACTGAAAGTGTAAACTAACCTTAACTATAAGGGGAGTTACTTGAAAATCAGTAATATTTACATAGTAATTGGTAAGAAGAGAGTTTATGAAATCTGTACTTTTTAGTTGTGTGTTTCTTGTAAAATTCTCCTGTTACCACTTAACTTTTCTCATTACTTGGAAGAACCTTCCACCTTCTTGTGTTTAAAACGTCTTTCTTCTCATGGGGCTTTCTGTCAGCCTTGCCATAATTTAGTTCATTTTAGTAAATGCTTTTTGAGCTTAGTGTTAGACACTGTGCTAACCATGTGGGATATGCATTATATTTAAATCTCAGAGCAGGTAAAGCAATTGAGAATTTTGTTATTAGAAAGTAATCAAGTGCCTAGCAGTTTGTTCCATCATATTGGTGCAACACAGAGTGTTAACAGGCAAATTCTCTTGTCAGTTATTCTTAATCTGATATAGACATTGCCCTTACGATAGATAAAATGTGATTATATATAATAATATAAAGCTATTTTCAAGGAGACAATTCAGATTTGTGAGGAGGGAGATAATCTTTGATAAATGGTGTTTGGAATTTTTCTTTTTATTATTTTATTATTATTATAGTTTAAGTTTTAGGGTACATGTGCACTATGTGCAGGTTTGCTACATACGTATACATGTGCCATGCTGGTGTGCTGCACCCATTAACTCGTCATTTAGCATTAGGTATATCTCCTAATGCTATCCCTCCCCCCTCCCCCCACCCCACAACAGGCCCCAGAGTGTGATGTTCCCCTTCCTGTGTCCATGTGTTCTCATTGTTCAATTCCCACCTGTGAGTGAGAACATGTGGTGTTTGGTTTTTTGTCCTGGCGATAGTTTGCTGAGAATGATGGTTTCCATTTTCATCCATGTCCCTACAAAGGACATGAACTCATCATTTTTTATGGCTGCATAGTATTCCATGGTGTATATGTGCCACATTTTCTTAATCCAGTCTATCGTTGTTGGACATTTGGGTTGGTTCCAAGTCTTTGCTATCGTGAATAGTGCCGCAATAAACATACGTGTGCATGTGTCTTTATAGCAGCATGATTTATAATCCTTTGGGTATATACCCAGTAATGGGATGGCTGGGTCAAATGGTATTTCTAGTTCTAGATCCCTGAGGAATCGCCACACTGACTTCCACAATGGTTGAACTAGTGTACAGTCCCACCAACAGTGTAAAAGTGTTCCTATTTCTCCACATCCTCTCCAGCACCTGTTGTTTCCTGACTTTTTAGTGATCGGCATTCTAACTGGTGTGAGATGGTATCTCACTGTGGTTTTGATTTGCATTTCTCTGATGGCCAGTGATGATGAGCATTTTTTCATGTGTGTTTTGGCTGCATAAATGTCTTCTTTTGAGAAGTGTCTGTTCATATCCTTCGCCCACTTTGTGATGGGTTTGTTTGTTTTTTTCTTGTAAATCTGTTTGAGTTCATTGTAGATTCTGGATATTAGCCCTTTGTCAGATGAGTAGGTTGCGAAAATTTTCTCCCATTTTGTAGGTTGCCTGTTCACTCTGATGATAGTTTCTTTTGCTGTGCAGAAGCTCTTGAGTTTAATTAGATCCCATTTGTCAATTTTGGCTTTTGTTGCCATTGCTTATGGTATTTTAGACATGAAGTCCTTGCCCATGCCTATGTCCTGAATGGTATTGCCTAGGTTTTCTTCTAGGGTTTTTATGGTTTTAGGTCTAACATGTAAGTTTTTAATCCATCTTAATTTTTGTATAAGGTGTAAGGAAGGGATCCAGTTTCAGCTTTCTACATATGGCTAGCCAGTTTTCCCAGCACCATTTATTAAATAGGGAATCCTTTCCCCATTGCTTGTTTTTATCAGGTTTGTCAAAGATCAGATGGTTGTAGATAAGCGGCATTATTTCTGAGGGCTCTGTTCTGTTCCATTGATCTACATCTCTGTTTTGGTACCAGTACGATGCTGTTTTGGTGACTGTAGCCTTGTAGTATAGTTTGAAGTTAGGTAGCGTGATGCCTCCGGCTTTGTTCTTTTGGCTTAGGATTGACTTGGCAATGTGGGCTCTTTTTTGGTTCCATATGAACTTTAAAGTAGTTTTTTCCAATTCTGTGAAGAAAGTCATTGGTAGCTTGATGGGGATGGCATTGAATCTATAAATTACCTTGGGCAGTATGGACATTTTCACGATATTGATTCTTCCTACCCATGAGCATGGAATGTTCTTCCATTTGTTTGTATCCTCTTTTATTTCATTAAGCAGTGGTTTCTAGTTCTCCTTGAAGAGGTCCTTCACGTCCCTTGTAAGTTGGATTCCTAGGTGTTTTATTCTCTTTGAAGCAATTGTGAATGGGAGTTCATTCATGATTTGGCTCTCTGTTTGTCTGTTATTGGTGTATAAGAATGCTTGTGATTTTTGTACATTGATTTTGTATCCTGAGACTTTGCTGAAGTTGCTTATCAGCTTAAGGAGATTTTGGGCTGAGACAATGGGGTTTTCTAGATATACAATCATGTCATCTGCAAACAGGGACAATTTGACTTCCTCTTTTCCTTATTGAATACCCTTTATTTCCTTCTCCTGCCTAATTGCCCTGGCCAGAACTTCCAACACTATTTTTAAGCGACCCATGACTATACCTCCAACTATCCCTGGCCCAGTCAGAGACTCTTTTTTTTTTTTTTTTTAAACAGAATCTTGCTGTGTCACCCAGGCTAGAGTGCAGTGGCGCGATCTCTGCTCACTGCAACCTCTTCCTCCCGGGTTCAAGCAATTCTCCTGCTTCAGTCTCTCAAGTAGCTGGGACTACAGGTGCCCACCACCATGACTGGCTAATTTTTGTATTTTCAGTAGAGATGGGGTTTCACCATGTTGGCCAGGCTGGTCTTGAACTCCTGGCCTCATATGATCTGCCTGCCGGGCATCTCAAAAATGCTGGGATGACAGGCGTAAGCCACCGCGCCTGGCCCCTCATAGACTCTTCTAGATGGAAGCCCTGTCTCACTCCCCTCCTGTGTGCGGAGGGATCCTCTGGGCTCCCTCTGCTCAAAATCTATCACCATCTCCTCCTAGCTGCCCGTACAATGGTAACAAGTAGCAGAGGTAGTGGACATCTGTGCTGTTCTTGACTCCGTGGGGAGGCTTCCAGCTTTTCCCCAGTCAGCATGCTACTCACTTGCGGGCCAAGGTAGATACACTTTATCATGTTAGGGAAATGCTCATCTATTCCTATTTTTATGTGTCATTTAAAATTCAAGAACAATCATTGCCCATATTCTCTAGCTATCATTTTTCTAATTATTTTTACAAAGATTCATGTTAACCTCACTTTTAGACAAGATATTGAAATTTTTAGTACTCCCAAGAATCCCCTCTATCTGCTCCTTTGTACTCACCCCTCCCCGACCCCCAACTCCTGGCAGCCACTGACCTGTTATCCACACCCAGAGTTTTGCCTTGTCCAGAATGCCATATAAATATAACCCTACACAGTATGTGACCTTCTCAGCCTGGGTTCTCTGACTTAGCATAATGCACTTGAGACTTCTCTGTTGTTGCATGCGCCAATAGTTCCTTTTTATTCCTGGGTGGTATTCCACCATGTGGATAGATTACAGTTCTCTTATCCATTCACCCATTGAGGGATATTTGGGTATTTGCAGTTTGGAGGATTGTGAACAATCCCACAATAAATATTCCTGTGTGTCTGCTACAGTGGGTAAAATAAAAACTTCTGATAGTACCGAGTGTTGGCAAGGATGTAAAGATGTAAAGTGATAGGAACTCTTATCCACTGTTTTTTTTTTTTTTTTTTTTTTTTTTTTTTTTTTTTTTTGAGACAGAGTCTTAGAGTCTTGCTCTGTCTCCCAGGCTGGAGTGCAGTGGTGTGATCTTGGCTCACTGCAACCTTTGCCTCCTGGGTTCAAGTGATTCTCCTGCCTCCTGCCTCAGCATCCCAAGCAGCTGGGACTACAGGCCCATGCTACCATGCCCAGCTAATTTTTGTATTTTTAGTAGAGACAGGGTTTCACCATGTTAGTCCGCCTTGTCTCAAACTCCTGACCTCAGTTGATCCAACTGCCTCGGCCTCCCAAAGTGCTGGGATTATAGGCGTGAGCCACTGCACCCAGCCGGAGTTCTTATCCATTGTTGATGGGAATGCAAAATGGTGCAGCCATGTGGAAAGCAACTGGGCAGTTTTGTAAAAGGTTGAGCGTGCACTGACCACATGACCTAGCAGTCCCTATCTATCTAGGTATTTATCCCCCCAAAATTAAAAATTACATTCACACAAAAATCTCTCTTTTAAACTCTGCTTTGATTTGCATTGCTTCTCTAATTTACATACTCCTTATCCCTTACTATGCTGTCCAAAGAATTTTCTGTATTTTATTCTTCTGTTTCTAGCCCGACTTCTGCCAGCTCATGCCCCATCTCCTCCTTTTTCTCACTTTCTCCTCGTGTTTTCTTACAAAGTCTTCCTTGAGTTTCTAATTTATAATCTTCTTTCACATAGGTGATTGCTTTATAAGGTTTTATTTTTTATGATTTATGGCAAAATATACTACTCAGATTTTTTTATTTGTTCTGGGTAACATTTTCCTATTTAGAGTTTCATCTAGTAAATGTTGCTGTTTTTTTCCCATCCCTGTTCCTTTAAAAAAGAATACACATTTATTATGCCTGTGCCAAGTCTCTATTTGCTTCTCATTTTCCTGGGCTATTTCCAGGAGTCCTTCCGGGCATGGATACTTGCTGGAGACTGGTGGCCACAGTGACCATGTCCTTTACTCTGCATGTCTTTTTTGCGCCCCAACCCCCTACAGGCCTTCTTTGGATCCCTGTAAACTGGGTTGGCAGTAATGCAGCTGGACCCTGTAAGAAATTTTTCTTCGTAGCAAGCACAACATTAAGCATTCTCAGCAGTAGGTGCTGGAAGGATACTGCAGGTGGAAGGGGCCTTTCTTCCTGGTCCTCTCCAGCATGCTTCTGTTTGCTGCTTCTTGCTCCTATGGCGTGGTTGCCACCAGCATGTGGGGAACACCTGGTGTTGCTCGGCTCTGCCATGCCTCTCTCAGTGAGCTCGAGCCCTGTCTTCTGTTCAGTGACCTGTTCCACAAATGAGCCAAGGATGGCCCTTAGCTTGTCAATTTCTTCACAGCAGGCTTCTCATTAGCTCAAAAGCCTGCTGGTCCCAAACTCAATGTTTTACACATCCAGCTGTTTTTGAACATAGTCTAAATAAACAGATATTTAGCCATCTAAAGCTTGTCTGCTTTGCATACCCTGTGAAACTGCACCCAACATCTGCTAGCCACAGGTAATATGAAGCCTGTGGCTATAAAAGACCCCAAGCCATTGCTGCCCTTGAGAGCTCTCTGACCCAGAGACTCCCCACTGTGCCAGTGAACCACATCACCTAGACGAGTAACCCCTGTCAGAGTCCTCTTTCCTCAGAAGTCCCCTTGTCCTCTTCCTCTTCTGGATGGTGTCTCCTTAACCTCCAGATAGTCTCAGGCTGTAAAGGGCTTCTTCCCCCACATGCAACCTCCCAAAGCATTTCTCAAATGAAACCTGTGTATGCTGCCACCACCTCGTGATCATATCTTTTTCTTGGATCAGCCTCGAAATCCCCCGAGCCCTCTACACCTTTTCAGTGCAGCTGTCCCAAGACAGACAGACACACACACCCAGGTCTTGCACCCTCCCTAGCCAGTGGGCAGGCACCTGTGTGGTGCACCAGTCCACCTGCGCTCCAGAGGGGTGTTCCTTGTTGCCAGTCATGGCCACCGTTTCCTGGCCACCTGAACTCCCGAGAGGTGTATTCTGCTTCTCTAGCAAAGGGGATCAGCTCTGGCCCCGGGCAACCCGGCAAATGTCTCTGCCTTCTGCTGGGCTGCAGACACCTTCTTCAATGTGTTGTGAGTCCCACTCCTGGGGAGGGGGAGAGGCTCCCCTGCCAAGTTCGGCTCCTCCTCAGATACTCTCCTCCTGCCCTGCTGTATCTTAGAGTGCTCCTGATGCTTCGTAGTCGCTCCCCAGTTACAGTGTGTGATTCTTCCTGTTAAACTTTCCTTGTTCAAATCACTGCACAGCTTCCATCTCGTAAGTGGACCCTGTGTACCTTTGGTGCATCTCCATGGCCACTCTAACCCTATATGCCTCTGAAAGAGCCCTGCTCAAAGTTTACCAGGTCTCTCAGCTCTCTGCGGCTGTGAAGAATGAACACGGAAAAAGGTGCAGGTTGCTGGTGTTTTCTGAGCTCTCCCTCTCCTCGGCCTGTTTGCTGTTGGTGCTACCTTGCTCAGCTTTCAACACTGGTCTTACTTGGGAAGATTCTGGGATTAAGGGATAGGGATCTCTCCATGCTTCTCATGTACAAATGGCTCTTTCCTTTCTCTTTCAGAAAACGTACAATGTGGCCACAGGCCTGCTTTTCCAAACTCGTCATGGTTACCATTTCATGAACGGCTTCAAGTCCAGAATGGTGAGTGCCCGTGGCAAGTGAGTATCCAGATGTCACGGAAACACCTCTGTGGAGGCTCAATCTTACATTGGTGGTGGGTTCTGACAGCCGCACACTGCTTCCGAAGAACCCTGTAAGTGTCTTCATCTACATCCCGTCTTGTCAATGTATTGTCTGGGCTAGGCAGCTCAGTAGGCCAGTGCACAGGCCTATGAAGCCCTAGGTTCTATGTGCAAAATGTTGCATGGGCTTTGTACCCCAGGGTCTCTGCTGTACACCCACTCCCTCCCCTTTATTTAGCCAATCATATCCAAATGTGGGCTGTAGTCAGAGCTATGCACCCAGTACATCCAATACACTCTGTCCTGCCTGTCATCTGTGTATGAAGACAACACACTGGAATCATTGATTGAACACCTTCCCGCTGAGCACCTACTATGTACTGTTCCAAGTGCTGTGGACATAGGAGTTGACAACACTGCCAAGGTCCCTGTCATCAAGGAGCTTACAATCTCATCTCTCAGAGGGATTCATTCCTCTTCTTTTGGTCAGGAGAGTTTCCCTGGACTGTCAACCCATTGGTTCAGAGATTTGTCAGAGCTTGGGCCCCTGATTCCTACCTATCTGATCCTAGCCATGCTCCAGACCACTGTAGCTCACCCACTGCACTGGACTTCTCCTTAGTTGTCAACTCACTGTTTACAGATGTGTCTACAAATGTGAATTGCACTATCAGTCACCCTTGTTAGCACTGGTGTTTTTATATTCGTTCTTTAGATTAGACATGGCCGTGGTAAATGTCACTGTGGTCATGGGAACGAGAACATTCAGCAACATCCACTCGGAGAGAAAGCAAGTGCAGAAGGTCATTATTCACAAAGATTACAAACCGCCCCAGCTCGACAGTGACCTCTCTCTGCTTCTACTTGCCACACCAGTGCAATTCAGCAATTTCAAAATGCCTGTCTGCCTGCAGGAGGAGGAGAGGACCTGGGACTGGTGTTGGATGGCACAGTGGGTAACGACCAATGGGTATGGTACGTGCCCTCTTTTCAGAACTCATAGAAAGCCCCAATGTAGGGTACCCTAGGCTAGAGAGCATGATGCTTTGGGTGCGGTAATGCTTGGGTCTGAACTGTGGTTTTAACTCTCTTGAGCTCCTTCACCTTCCTCACCTTCAGTTTTCTCATCTGCAGAATGCCAGGAACACCTCCTCAAAAAGGTATGGGGATTAAATTAAATGAGGTCCCCAGTAAAAGCCTAGGACATAGAAGAATCTCAAAATATGAGAGCGATGATAATTTTTGTGGTGCCAAAAGCATGATAAGCCAGTTTGCATCTTCCCGCCTGTGGCTCTTTCACGATGGCCATCTCCCCATCTATTGGCCACCCCATGTAAAACACCATCCCAAGATAGCTCTGAGCCAGTGATTCTCCAACCAAGCTCCATCCTTTTCCCTGCAAGGCACCAGGCTGCCTGGCCAGGGAAGATCTCTGGGAGGGTGGGAGTGTTGGGGGGAGAAGGCCAAGAGTGCCCCTGGCATTGTGGTCAGTTCCTTCCTACAAGGTGGCATGACCAGATGTGTCTTCTTTTTGGGTTCTCCATTTGGGTTGGTGAAGACACTGGACAACACCAATTCAAAGGTTGGGCTGCTCTGATCCTCTGCATGGGGCAAAGCCTGGCTGTGAAGAGATGGTGGGGCCAGGGAGGACCTTCATTCCAGGCTGGGGCTTTTGTGGGCTGTTTCTGGAGAGAGTGAGCTTCCCACAGGAAGCACATTTAGTGGAGGAACTTCTTGTTGGGGCTGTTGGAGTGGAGACTGAAGTCATCCCAGGCCTCTATGCCCTGTGAATTTGTCATCTGCTGGACGTTGGTGGCCTCCCAGGCTTCCACGCTGATCGCGTGTGGGCTGTTCACTGTTGCCGGCTGATGCAGTGCTCACTCTCACACCAGCTTTCTCCCTTTGTCAGACCAATATGATGACTTAAACATGCACCTGGAAAAGCTGAGAGTGGTGCAGATTAGCCGGAAAGAATGTGCCAAGAGGATAAACCAGCTGTCCAGGAACATGATTTGTGCTTGGAACGAACCAGGCACCAATGGTATCTTCAAGGTACTCACCCCTGCCCAGCCTCCTCCTCCCTCCAGGTACCCCCTCACTTTCTAGGTTCCCAAATGGGGGGGCCCTAGCCTACACCACTAGGACCCTCCCATTTTCCCCTCCCTGTTCCTGCTGGAGGTGCCATTGACTGCAGACTGTTCTTCCTTTCCTCATTCCCAGGGAGACAGTGGGGCACCTCTGGTTTGTGCTATTTATGGAACCCAGAGACTCTTCCAAGTGGGTGTCTTCAGTGGGGGCATAAGATCTGGCTCCAGGGGGAGACCTGGTATGTTTGTGTCTGTGGCTCAATTTATTCCATGAAGCCAGGAGGAGACAGAAAAGGAGGGGAAAGCCTACACCATAATCTCAGGATCCACGAGAAGCCGAGAAGCTCACTGGTGTGTGTTCCTCAGTACCCCTTCTTGCTAGGATTGGGGTCTCAAATGCTGCTGGCCACCATGTTTACCGTTGATAAACCTAACTGCTAAGCTTTGGACCCACCCTTTTTCCTTCTCTTTCTTCTCTCTCCTCTCTTCCTTTCCATTCTCCCACAAGCATCTGTGGAGCATGTGCTGTGGGGTAGCATCTACACCAGCCCCCAGAAGTTAGACATGGACTCACTTCTCCCAAATCTCACAGTCTAATGAAGGAATGTTAAACACAGTGCTAAAAAGAGGCACGAGCAGTGCATGGGGCCTCCCGGAGGAAAACAATAACCTCCAACAAAGAAGGACGGTTTCAGGAAAGCATTGGAAACTCAACGTTGGGAAATGACTTACGTTTCTTGATCTCAGTTTCCTTGTCCATGAAAAAGCAGATTCCATTAGATGAACTGTAAGGTCTTTCATCACACCAACATTCTGTGACGCTTAATAACTTATTTCTGTCATGGAAGGCAATATTACCTCATCATCATTGCCCCACTCTAATTCCGTCAGTTCAGTGCATGATACGGACGCACACACAGGGAACCCCCATCTGAGGTGCAAATTCTTTCATCTCCTGGGCCATCCATGAAAGAAAGTCTCCGGTAGAGTTAGGATCAGGGGTCTTTTGTCCAGTTTGAACTTGAACATGGGGAGATTATGGCTTGCTACTTATAGACCACACCATCCTTTCTCTATCCTTAATTATTCAAATAAAAAGTATAATGAGGTGGATTGGAGGAAGTGGCAACATCTGCCCTCTCCACATATGTGGGTCACTGAGTGAGGCCCACTGCCAGTCGCCAAAGTCATCATCCAGCCAGTGAGAAAGGATAAAAATTCCAGATGAGAAAGCAGCACATCTTTTCACTGAGTGGCAACAAAATAGCTTGTGTGGCCAGACTGAAATATAAGTGATAAGAATTTGTTTTTAGAAAACTAAGAGACCATGTTTATTTAAAGATTGGTGCCATGAAGGACAGTCAGGGACTGGTGGTAGTTTTCTGGGAGGTCCTTTCTTGGTTATGTCTACCTGGCATAGCTACAAAGGAGACAATCATATGTGGCCCCATAAAAAAGAAAGACATTCAGCTGCTCATTCATTCATTCATTCATTCAGATACTTTGTGAAACAGGCACTGGAAAGATACAGGAATGTAGATGGTATGGGTGGTTCATGACATCTAATGTATATGTCACAGCCAAATTTGTGCCTCTTCTCATAGGGTCCCCTCGCAATTAGTAATTAGTTTCATTATATAAATGCAGTTGTCCCTTGGTATCTGTGGGAAATTGGTTCCAGGACCCTTCTTGGATACGAAAATCCATGGATGCTCAAGTTCCTCATATAAAACAGTATTTGTATATACCCTATGCAATCCTTCCATACACTTTAAATCTTCTCTAGATTACTTATAGTGCCGAATACAATGTCAATGCTATGTAAACAGTTGTTACACTGTATTGTTCAAGGATAATAATTTTTAAAAAGTTCGTGCATATTCAGTACAGATACAGCCATCCATATTTTTTCCAAATATTTTCTATCTGAGGTTGGTTGAATCCACAGATGCAGAAACCATGGATATGGAGGGCCAACTGAACTTGTATACATACATGTATACATATACTTATGTATGTATATGCGTCTGTATACTTACCTATGTATGTATGCACGTGTCTGTATACATACATAATTTTATATATACGTAAGTATATAAAAATATATATTGTTTTATTTCTAAATACATATCATTTATTTATGGATAGTTTCCTTTCATTACATATATGTCAAGAGACAGGGATTTATTTCAAACAACTGGCCCATGTGATTGTGGGGGCTAGCAAGTCTAAATCTGTGGGGAAGGCAGGTAAACTGGAGACCCAAGGAAGAGGTGATGGTGCAGTATCAAGTCCGAAGGCCATCTAGGGGAAAAATTTCTTCTTTGGGGGACTTAAATCCTTTCTCCTAAGACCTTCATCTGATTGGATGAGGCCAACTCACACATGGAGGGCACTCTGCTTTCCTCAAGGTCTACTGATTCAAATGTTAATCACGTCTAAAAATAGCCTTCAGAGCAACATCTACACTGCTGCTCAAACAAACAACTGGGCACCAGAGCATGGCCAAGTTGGACACATTAAATTAACCATCAACAGTGTCATGGTCCCATCTCTTGGACTACTGGGAACAACATGAAATACAGGACTTCCCTCTTTGAAGTTTAACGGCTTACCCACCAAAAAAAGTCCAGAACCACATGGATTCACAGCTGAATTCTACCAGAGGTACAAGGAGGAGCTGGTACCATTCCTTCTGAAACTATTCCAATCAATAGAAAAAGAGGGAATCCTCCCTAACTCATTTTATGAGGCCAGCATTATCCTGATACCAAAGCCTGGCAGACACACAACAAAAAAAGATAATTTTAGACCAATATCCTTGATGAACATTGATGCAAAAATCCTCAATAAAATAATGGCAAACCAAACCCAGCAACACATCAAAAAGCTTATCCACCATGATCAGGTGGGCTTCATCCCTGGGATGCAAGGCTGGTTTAACATATGCAAATCAATAAACAATCCAGCATATAAACCGAACCAAAGACAAAAACCACATGATTATCTCAGTAGATGCAGAAAAGGCCTTTGACAAAATTCAACAACCCTTCATGCTACAAACTCTCAATAAATTAGGTATTGATGGGACGTATCTCAAAATAATAAGAGCTACCTGTGACAAACCCACAGGCAATATCATACTGAATGGGCAAAAACTGGAAGCATTCCCTTTGAAAACTGGCACAAGACAGGGATGCCCTCTCTCACCACTCCTATTCAACATAGTGTTGGAAGTTCTGGCCGGGGTAATCAGGCAAGGCAATCGGGGCAATCAGGAAGGAAATAAAGGGTATTCAATTAGGAAAAGAGGAAGTCAAATTGTTCCTGTTTGCAGATGACATGATTGTATATCTAGAAAACCCCATTGTCTCAGCCCAAAATCTCCTTAAGCTGATTAGCAACTCAGCAAAGTCTCAGGATACAAAATCAATGTACAAAAATCACAAGCATTCTTATACACCAATAACAGACAAACAGAGAGCCAAATCATGAGTGAACTCCCATTCACAATTGCTTCAAAGAGAATAAAATACTTTTAGGAATCCAACTTACAAGGGATGTGAAGGACCTCTTCAAGGAGAACTACAAACCACTGCTTAATGAAATAAGAGAGGATACAAACAAATGGAAGAACATTCCATGCTCATGGGAAGGAAGAATCAATATCATGAAAGTGTCCATACTGCCCAAGGTAATTTATGGATTCAATGCCATCCCCATCAAGCTACCAATGACTTTCTTCACAGAATTGGAAAAAACTACTTTAAAGTTCATATGGAACCAAAAAAGAGCCTGCATTGCCAAGTCAATCGTAAGCCAAAAGAACAAAACCGGAGGCATCACGCTACCTGACTTCAAACTATACTACAAGGCTACAGTCACCAAAACAGCATTGTACTGGTACCAAAACAGAGATATAGATCAATGGAACAGAACAGAGCCGTCAGAAATAATGCCGCTTATCTACAACCATCTGATCTTTGACAAACCTGATAAAAACAAGCAATGGGGAAAGGATTCCCTATTTAATAAATGGTGCTGGGAAAACTGGCTAGCCATATGTAGAAAGCAGAAACTGGATCCCTTCCTTACACCTTATACAAAAATTCATTCAAGATGGATAAACCATAAAAACCCTAGAAGAAAACCTAGGCAATACCATTCAGGACATAGGCATGGGCAAGGACTTCATGTCTAAAACACCAAAAGCAATGGCAACAAAAGCCAAAATTGACAAATGGGATCCGAGTAAACTAAAGAGCTTCTGCACAGCAACACAAACTACCATCAGAGTGAACAGGCAACCTACAGAATGGGAGAAAATTTTTGCAGCCTACTCATCTGACAAAGGGCTAATATCCAGAATCTATAATGAACTCAGACAAATTTACAATAAAAAATCAAACAACCCATCAAAAAGTGGGTGAAGGATATGAACAGTCCCTTCTCAAAAGAAGACATTTATGGAGCCAAAAGACACATGAAAAAATGCTCATCATCACTGGCCATCAGAGAAATGCAAATCAAAACCACAATGAGATACCATCTCACACCAGTTAGAATGCCGATCATTAAAAAGTCAGGCAACAACAGGTGTTGGAGAGGATGTGGAGAAACAGGAACACTTTTACACTCTTGGTGGGACTGTAAACTAGTTCGACCATTGTGGAAGTCAGTGTGGCGATTCCTCAGGGATCTAGAACTAGAAATACCATTTGACCCAGCCATCCCTTTACTGGGTATATACCCAAAGGACTATAAATCATGCTGCTATAAAGACACATGCACACGTATGTTTATTGCGGCACTATTCACAATAGCAAAGTCTTGGAACCAACCTAAATGTCCAACAATGATAGACTGGATTAAGAAAATGTGGCACATATACGCCATGGAATACTATGCAGCCATAAAAAATGATGAGTTCATGTCCTTTGTAGGCACATGGATGAAACTGGAAACCATCATTCTCAGCAAACTGTCACCAGGACAAAAAACCAAACACCACATGTTCTCACTCATAGGTGGGAATTGAACAATGAGAACACATGGACACAGGAAGGGGAACATCACACACTGGGGACTGTTGTGGGGTAGGGGGAGAGGGAAGGGATACCATTAGGAGATATACCTAATGCTAAATGACGAGTTAATGGGTGCAGCACACCAACATGGCACATGTATACATATGTAACCTGAACATTGTGCACATGTACCCTAAAACTTGAAGTACAATAATAATAAAATTAAAAAAAAGAAAATGTGGTACATATACACCATGGAATACGATGCAGCCATAAAAAATGATGAGTTCATGTCCTTTGTAGGGACATGGATGAAGCTGGACACCATCACTCTCAGCAAACTATTGCAAGGACAAAAAACCAAACACCACTTGTTCTCACTCATAGGTGGGAATTGAGCAATGAGATCACATGGACACAGGAAGGGGAACATCACACACTGGGGCCTGTTGTGGGGTGGGGGGAGGGGGGAGGGATAGCATTAGGAGATAAACCTAATGTTAAATGAAGAGTTAATGGGTGCAGCACACCAACATGGCACATGTATACATATGTAACAAACCTGCACATGTACCCTGAAACTTTAGATGGCAAAAGAAAGTGACTTCCCCTATGCCACTAAAACGCCACTCTTCTTGATGCCCTTCAGTTCACAGAAGGAGACACTTGGTTCTTTTCTCTCATGACCCTGAGATAGGGTTCCCTGTTTAAGTCCAAATCACAAAGGTTAACTTTTTTTTGTTTTTTTTTTTATCTCTACATTTAAAAAAATGAATAGGCTTTTGACAGTTACAGGTTTATAAAAAAACTGAGCATAAAGTAAAGTATTATACAATGGATTCCCATATGCCCCACCTCCTCCCAATTTCTATTTTAATATCTTGCATTAGTGTGGCACATTACAATTAATAAGCCAATAGTGATGCATTATGATTAACTAGAATCTAGAGTTTATGTTAGGATTCACTGTTTGCATTGCACATGCTATGGGTTTTCATGGGTGTATGATGACATGTGGCCACCATTGTAGTAATCACACAGAGTGGCTTCCCTGCCTAAAAATCCTCAGTGCT
Source organism: Homo sapiens (assembly GCF_000001405.40). NCBI lineage: Eukaryota > Metazoa > Chordata > Mammalia > Primates > Hominidae > Homo > Homo sapiens. Next base: position 10,490,499 of record NC_000008.11, on the reverse strand, counting down.
TCACTTGTTCATCTATACCCTGGCAACCACTGATATTTTTACAGTCTCCCACAGATTTCCACGAATTAAGTTTGGCCAAACGTGAGTACAAAACATTCAACTGCTAAATTCATAAACGGAAAACAAACCATCATGAAAAAGAGCAGGAGAGAAGATTACACACCCAGAGTTCAGACATTTAAATTATTAGATAGTAAATATAAATAATTATGTATAAAATATTCTTTAAAAGGAAGAAACTTAAAATGAGACTGAAAACAAAATACCATCAAAAAATGGCCAGGCAGAATTGAAAAAGAATCCAGTGAAATTTATGGAAATAAAAATAGTAAACCAGGAGATGGATCTGAATATTGCTCAGGATGCTAAAAAGCAGTATGGGAAAACATGAGAGAGAAGTTACGAAACAAGGCAGATGGAGTTAAAAGGACTAACATATGACTACTGAAGTTTCAGAAGAAAAGAATAGAAATAATGGAGAAAAGGAAACATTCATTCAATGAGTCCATGACCAAGAATGTTCCATAATTAATGAAAGACATTGATCTTCCAATTCTGGAAGCACAATAGAGTCCAAGCAGAATTTATATATCTCTAAACATATTTTAGTGAAATGGCAAAACAATAAAGGCAGAGAAGATCTCAAAATTAGCATATGCGAGGAAAAAATGGATTACTTACAGCGGAGTATGAAATCAACAGACTTCTCAACGGCAGCAAGGGAAGCTAAAAGATGTTGGAATAATACCACCAATGTGCTGAGAAAAAATAACTGCCATATTTAAATTGTTGACACTAAAAACTATCATTCATGTAAAACAGATTTTAAAAACTGGTTTTCCACTAAAAAATTTTAATACAGACGTGCCGGAGAATGCCATTTTGGTCAATGACGAACTACATATATGATGGTGGTCAGAGCAACACACCACGCCATGTGGTCTAGGTGTGTAGTAGGCTATGCCATCTAGATTTGCATACATTGATGTGTGCCTAGCAATGAAATTGCCCAATGATACATTTCTCAGAATGTATCCTGACATGACTGTATTTTAAAACAGTTGAAATTTTACAATTTTGAAGGTGGCATATACAGGAATATTCGTAGCACCATAGTTTATAATAACAAAAAATTAGAAACACATAATTGCTAAATTCATAAATGGAAAACAAACCAATCTAAATGCTCATTATCAGAGACCTGAATAAATTTTGGTATAGTCAAACGGCAGAATAATCATCAGGGATCATTACATACATCAGCTGGAGTTAAACAGATCAACATAGCTGAATCTCACAATGCAGTGCAAAGGCAAGTTACAGAAAAATGTATTCAGTGGGATATTTCTATAAATTTTGAAAACGTGTAAGGATATATTCAGATGTAGAAAAATTAAGCAACCGCAAAGGGAAAAGAAACGTAAAGTTCAGGGTATTCGTTATGGCTGGAAGAAATGGAGAGATCCTCAGAGGGCTTCAACTATGTAGTGTTTTATTTTATGGTATTGTTGTTTTGTATAAATACAACAATATTTTGTATAGTTAATATTTTACTGTAATTTTAGAAAGAAATGGAAAGGAGTGAAACAGACGGAGAAAATTTGAAGTATTTATAAGCTCTTCTCATTTTGCAAAACAAAATGCGTATTTAATGGCAAAATTAGTACTTGCGCGAGACAGCTGAAAGGGGAACAAGGGTGAAAGAATAGAGCAGCTCCAGGTTAGTAAACAGAAAGCCTTTTCTTAGAGCAGGCTTGGTTGCAGGGCTGCTCCTCCAGCTTGCCAGGGATTGTAGGAGGTCACGTCACTGTGGCTGCGACCTAAGGCCAGGAGGCTGGTGCACCAGCCAGTGGTTGGGAGGTAGTGGGAAACATGGCTATCCTGTCTCCCCCAGGCTGTCTCACAGCCTGTAGCTGATGACCGTGAGGAAATATCACACTGAAGAGGTAGGTCACTGTAAACATCCAATCCAACTCTACCAGAGCTCAGCTTTAGCTGGCGCTGCTGCTGCCTGCATTGTACACTGCAGATATTAGTCAGTGCATCTCACTGGACCCCAAATCACATCCAGAATACTAGAGTGAGGCAGCTGCAACATGACACAGAAAAATGGAATTAGGATTTAGGGGAATTGGATTTCAGTGCCTATTGAGACACGATCTAGGAAGCCTACCACTTTGGCTGCTCACTGTATGCACACAACCTTATTAAAATTTCTAGAAAACAAGAATAGTAACAGCATGCTCCTAACACAATGTGACTATTCTCTATGCAAACAGAACACTCTGTTCCTCTCTGAAAAGTCTCATAAAATCATCATATCCATCTTTGAGTGAGATTGTTTAATCACAATCTCAGCTTCACATCCCCGTCAGTTTGGGTCCTCCAAGAGCCGATGCCAAGACTGACTTATACATGAAAGAGATTTATTGGTGGAAATGCCTGGCAAGGATAAAGGATCTTGGGAACAGGAGGAGGCAGAGCATCTTCAGACCCCATTGCAAGTCTGAGTAAGTCTGGACCAGGTTGATGAGAATTCCTGAGCAAAGGGTGCCAGGTTGAGCAGTAATGGTTCAAGAAAAGTTGAACCCTGCCACTCTCAGCCATTGGCTGGGTATACTCCGTAGAAATGCAGTGTTAGTGTGACAGCTATGATGGATCTGGAGGAGCAGTAGCTGAAGGCCGTCATCAACTATGCTTCCCACAGCAGGTTCTTTTGAAGTAGATCTGGGTGGTACACCTCCATGGCCACCACAATCTTATATCCTAAAGATCAGTAATAAATGTAACCAATGTGAACACTTGGGGAAAAGAAGGAAAAAACAGAAATTGGTATATACAAATACATAAAACATCATGAAAATCCAGGCCGCTGCGATTGTTCTCAAGTCTGCAACTGATCCTGAGGCCACAGTTGGCCTTCTTCCAATTTGAACCTCAGCTGATCGTTGTTCTTTATTTGTTGGGGTGACCATTCATTTCTGAGCACTTGATGGTTTTTCCTGTATGGCGTTGCTGTAGTTTTCCACTGATTTCTCCCTTTGGACAATGAAATAGAAAGAGCATCTTCAAAGGATGTAATGGATTTCAGACATATTCCTCCTTGTCCCCATGTGTGGAGCAAATCTCTGTTCTTTGATATTAGGGGTCAGTCTTCTCAGCCAGGACACTAACCTTCCCCTTTGCCTATTGGCTTAGTGGTGTAATGAACTCCAAATGTCCAGGTGGCAGTCTCAACTCTCCATGCAATAAACCATCGTATTCCCTGGTAGAGACATTCTTCCCTTGGGAACTAAGGTCTCTAAACTTCCAGAGCTCAAAGTTGCAGTGGTAAGAAGCAGAACTTTATTGGGTGTGGATCACTACGTGCAATAGTAAATGAAGCCAGTCCCACTCTTATCCCTTGGTTCCCAAACCCAAGTATTCTGGCCATACAAGAATCAGCTCCTATTGAATGTGCTTCATAATAGACACAGTACTTTGTAAAAGAGCACTCCATCCTCACATGTCATGAGATCTCAACAGGCTCAGTTGCATAACCTTCATTGGGCCATTCCACTGTTCTATCAATCAGGCATGCTGCTTCTGGCTGGTAGGACCTATGGGAAGATCCGTGAATCCCATGGGCACCGAGTGCATTGCTTCAGGTCTGTTGCATTTTAATCTGTCGCGTTTTAATCAGTTTGTAAGAAGTAATGCCAAATGCAAAACCATTGTGATGAATAATCAGGCATTTGGGGAAGTTTTGTGTGATGAGGCAGCAAAGGCCTTGTGGGCCTCGGAGACACATCCATAGACAGAATAAATAAATATCTACTACTGTGATGGAAAATTGCTGACTACTCCATGAGGGAATGGGTCAACTGTGATCAGTTTTCCACCAGATGGGTATGTGCTACATCACCCCCAGCCTACAGACGATGGCCACAGCAGGGCCTTCCAAGGATGCTGGTGCTCTCCTTGGAAATGTATTTTTCGATGCCTGATATAACAAAGCATCCTCAGGAATCTCATAAACTAGAGTTAGAGGATGGGGGAGCAGGTCACAATAAATCCATTCTGGCATTCTTATCTAAGACTTTGGATTCCTTCTTTTATATTCTGGAAAGCAATTCTGTTTAACGGAGGCCATTTTTTTGGTCCAAGGTTTTAGTTCTTCAACCAAATAGAGCCACTTCCAGCTGCTCTAGGTAAACCACTGAATTCAAAGTTTCTCTTAAGTGCACCTAGACTGATAAATTTGGCCCAGTCAAATCAAATTCTAAGTCCCTTAGAATCCATTCTTGGACATAATCATCAGATTTCTACAAATATATGTTAGAAGAATGTTGCAGTTATTTTAATGTTTTCTATCTTCTCCTGGGTCAGATTTGAACTGATTTCTATGAATTCTACTGGGATGACTGTAATGACTGCTGTGAGAGGTGATGGGGGGTAGTGGGCTATGGGAGAATCAGCATTCCCTGGGTAAGTATTTTCTTCAGGTGAGTCTTTACAAAGTCTTCAAGCAAGAAGGGACTAGGTTCCCAGAAAGGAAAGGAAGGGAAACTCAGTGGACTTTAAGGTTGTGAAGTACGTTGATTCATCTTAACATACCCAAGTTTCTCAGTGCAATACTCCTGGTCGCAGTCCTTCCCCATTAATCACCTTTCATGGAAGCACCTAAAGAGGCTGTGAATTCAAGTTAGGTTGTAATTCTGCCAACTTGTAGGAACAACCCTGGGTTCAATTTCTGCTACGATAAGAGATTCTTTCAGGGGCAGTTGTAGAAGCTTCTTTGATGCTTCTCCAATGCTTTTGAATTATGCCTCTGAGTTGAAATTTTAAAGCCCTGAGATTGTTGGGGTATTTTGTGCTGTATTTTTTCTGTAAATTTTCCATTGCATTCAGTAACTTTAACCCTTGTACTTATCTCTTCCACCAGAGTATTCTATCAAAAAGGTGCTTGGTGTCTTTTAACAGGCAATTGATTCCATGAATGACAGGCCATAACTTAAGACATTGCATGTCATGGACTACCAGAAACCCATTTTCCACTAGCCAGGAGGTCATTATTGGCTTCAAGCTAATCCAAGCCTAACAACACATCTTAGACTTCCCTCCATCTTTGCAGCTGTATTTCCTGGAACCACTCTCAGTACCAAATACTGTATCAGTCAGGATTCTTTCAGGAAAATAGAAAACAATCATGTATCTCAAACAGAAAGGTATTTAATACCTGAAAATGGGTACTTCTAGAACCATCAAAAATGCTTGAGTGTCAAGGTCAGGAAAAACGGTTGCTTCTTTACAAGAGCTCAGTGAACTACAGGAATCATTGGAACCCCCTGCAAATGATATAATTATCTTCAGTATCAGGATGATTTGCAGAAGACCCAAAGTTAATGGCAAAACCTCATGACTGCCATCTGCTGAAATCTGCATGCCTGCACACAGCTGCCATGGGAAAATGATTGCTCCCTTTCCTCTGCCTCCTAAAACTTGGCTGAGAATCTAAATTGGAAGCCTGCTGGGATCCTGAGAAACACAGCTCTTAGGCTTTCAGCCTCTACAATACCTGAGAGATTTAGAAAGGCAGCGATGGTGCTAAAAATCAGTATATAATATCTGGCATATTGACCTGCTAAATGTGGAAAACAAGAAGAGTAATTCCCTCATGTGGTTGCTATGAGGATTAAGCAAGATAACACTTGCAAATCCTGGGCATAGTATAGTGTACATGATAAGGCTTAATAATGGGTAGTGTGGTGTCTTTATCAGCCCTAAAATCAGAATAGCTCACAGCTGTCAACTCTGTCCTCTGTGAGAATGTGCTAGATGATGCTAAGCCATTATTTTCCATTTGTCTCCCATTTCCCCAATACAGATCCATGTGCTGTACTTCCCTGGGTCCTGGGAGGCTGGCTCCTAGGGACTGAGTTACCTGGGATCCTAAACGCCACTTAGCTTGACCTCAGCAAGTACCAACAGAAAGTACCAGGGCAGGAAGGGAGAGGGTTGGGGTATTTCTTCCCTGTCACTTTCCTATGTGGGCCACTGTTCTGCCGCTGGCTGGGTCCCTTCTATACTCAGTCCCCACAGGGTAGTCCCTCCTTCACGCTTGCGGCCCTCACTGGATTCCAATGACAGTAGCTTGCCCTACGGCTTACTGCTACTGTTCAACTCTGGACATCTTGTTCTCCTTCGCTGAATCCCTTTACAACGCCCACAACTTTCAGTGCCTTCATTAAAATGCCTTCATTTGCACTTTCAGAGTAGAATCCTGTTTCCTTCTGAAGCCCTTCCTAATTGATATACTTAGGGCCATCTTCCTTAACACCCCAGACCTGCTGGTTTCGGAGCCATCGACCTCCTCATTTCCACCGCAGAGGGCTGGAGGAGATTCAGAAAATCAGGGCAGGGCCCAGGAGAAGGTGAGGAGTGATGGCGAGTGGAGAAGTGGAGTGATGCTGAACTCTAAGTCGGCATTGCGTACCCCTCTTGGCTGGCATGGGGATTTCACCTCCAGGAGGCCGGTGGACTGTGGCACACAGACAATGCCCTCCTGGACACAAGTCTGGGGCCCCCACCTGGCACCTCTGTCCAAAGTGGAATCACTACATCTGGAGTTGCAGCTCTGTTGCACTGCCTGCAAAGATCCAGCTGTCCCCGTACAGGGAAGAATTAGGGCACAGCTGAAACCCAAAAGGGCTGAAATCCACGGGGAGCAATGTCTATTTCTTAGTCTGTCTCCTGCTCCAAATAGCTCCCCTCTCCTCCCGCAGCTTGTGTTGACGAGTGGCTTTCCCTGGCACCAGATGCCACCAGAACGTAAACTAGGACGCAGAGGGTGGTGATGAGCCACAGGCCCTCAGGCCATGTCCTTTCCTGCCCTGACTCCCCAGGCTCCCTTGCCTGGAGTTCAGAGCACAGACCCTGAGTGACCCCCTGCTCGCCAGGACGTCCCAGCAGGGCCCCTGCTTCCTAGAGCCACAGCAAATTAGGGGGACCCTCTGTTCAGCCTGGGAGGGGGCCGGGGTCACATTTGTGAACTGGTGGGCAGAGGGAGTAGTGCTGGGTGCAGCTGCAGACCTCCCTCCTATCCCTGCCCCATCCCTGCCCCATCCCTACCCTGTCCGCCCCTTTCATTCCCTCCCACTGCGGCCCTTATGAGGCCTCTCAGGGAAGCCCATTCTCCCCCGGGACCTTCAGGGAGCCAGGCTTACCTGTTCTTTCCCCTGCGAGAGCTTTCAGGTCGGTCTCAAACAGGTCTTTCTCTCCCTGCACAGGTTCTTTCAGAGCATGGCTTCAGCCTGGTTACTTCTGACACCAGCCAGGAGGAACAGACTTCTTCCCCATACAGCAGGTACCACCAGAAGTACCTGAGCAAGATCACCCTCAGCTCCTGCAGCCTCAGGGCACCGGAGTGTCCTGTCCACGGGGCATTTGTTACGGACAAAGATTTGTGTGGCCTTTCACTTTGCACGCTGAAGCTTAACCCTGGCTGCAACGGGACGGGGGGCCACCAAGGAAGTCATTAAGGTTAACTAAGGTATAGGGTGGTGCCCTGGTTGACAGGATGGTGGCCTTATGAGGACACTTACAAGATGGACGCCCACTTGTCCCCCGACCCCTCTGGCACAGGAACTGAGGAAGAGTCACAAGAGGACACAGCAGATGTTGGTCACCTGCAGGCTAGGAAGAAAGCCCTCCCCAGGAACCTGGGTCTTGGGGACTTCCAGCCTCCACTGTGGGAAAGAAATGCGTGTTGATCAGTCCACCCAGTCTATGGTGTTTTGTAACGGTGGCCAGAGCAGACAAAGACAGTATGAAAACATAACTTCTCCCCACACGCTGAAGTTATAACAGCAATGCTTTCAACAAATTGGGCAACGCTTTTGTGGTTCCCACTGGGCGAGTGTTGAAGCTTACAAAACACAAAGGCATTTTTGAACGTCTGGTCTTTGAGGTATAATTTCTATTCAGCAAATTCACCACTTCAGGATGGATGGTTCTGTGAATTCTGATGAATGTAAATGGCTGTGACCAGACATAGAACTTTGGCCGAATGTGGTGCCTCATGCCTGTAATCCCAGCACTTTGGGAGGCTGAGGTGGGCGGATCACCTGAGGTCAGGAGTTCAAGACCAGCCTGACCAACATGGTGAAAACCCGTCTCTACTAAAAATACAAAAATTAGCTGGGCGGGGAGGCATGTGCCTGTAATCTCAGTTATTCAAGAGGCTGAGGCTGGAGAATTGCTTGAACCTGGGAGGTGCAGGTTGCAGTGAGCTGAGATCACACCATTGCTCTCCAGCCTGGACGACAAGAGTGAAACTCTGTTTCACAAAAAGAAAAGAAAAAGACAAGACATACAACATTTTCATCACCCCAAAACATTCCCCTGTGCTTCTTAGTAATCCATCCTCTTCCTGGAACCCCAAACCTGGGCAACAACTCATGCGTTCTCTGTGCTTGGAGTTTTGCCTTTCCCAGAATGCCATGGAATCATACGGTGTGCAGCGGCTCGTGTCTGGCTTCTCCAGCTCGGTGCGATGCTCCTGAGATCCGAGTTGTTGTGCGTGTCAGTCGGCTGCTCCTCTTCGCTGCTGTGTAGCACCGCTGTTGTGTGAATGCACCGCAGTTTGTTCATCGCTTCCTCTGACGATGGACATTTAGGTTGTTACCAGTTTTTAGCAATTAAAAAGAAAGCCACCATAAACACTGGGTACTGGTTTTCACGTGGACGTATGTTTCTGTGCAGTCCTGTTTTGATTAAAATGTGAACTCGTCTACTGCCGTGGTAGGCAATTTTTGGATGACTTGGGGCCTAAATGAAGAGAATGCAGGCGCTTGCTGTGTTCTCCCTTTCTGTAGTCTGGGACTGCCATGGAAGTCGTGTGGTTTCTTTGGGCAGGATGGTGGGTAATGCGGGAATTCTTTTATCTATGCCCTGTTCCATCTCATATGCATGTCCCCTCCAGTGCCCAAAAGTTTGCAAACACTTAGAGCAGCGATCAGATGTTTTGCTCTACTGACCCCAAATAAATACATGCTGTTTGCAAAGAACAGAGGCAAGGAGGCTTTCTCTCCCATTTCACGACCCCGCTTGGCAGAGAAAAGAAAAGCATTAGGTTGCTGAATTCTAATGCTTTGCTTACAGCTATGAGAAGTACAGTAAATGCTGGTTCTGACAAAACTCCACGTCCAATAAAATGAATGAACTGCCTAATGTTTTATCTGGCTTCCAGTTATTCTGATGGGATAGTTCCAAGAGGTTCTAAGATAAATTTTAAAGCCTCAAAACAGCTGGGGAAAGAAAGTCCCATAGTCATTTTTCCTAAAATAGAATATGGATAGAATTTTGGAAAATGTTTGCAAACTTCCCTTATGTATGGAATTTTGGAAAACGTTCACAACCAGAGCTCCTTGCCATTAATTAGTAATACTAGCCATTCTTCATACACCTGTCACATCCATGGTGATTTCTTATCAGAACGATTCACTGGCCGCATAGGAGGGAACACAGTTTATTCCAACTGGAGCTTTATTCAGTAAACTGATCCCCCCCATCTACCACTCAACCTGGTACATTATTCCAACTTGATAGCTTAACTTGAACCATGCAAATTTGTCAATGTTCTCCTATTTTTGAACCACCAAAACAACAATTCTGACTTAACTCAGAAGTTCCCGCAGTTCCCGTACACCTCTGTACCTTTGCACATATTTTTTGCCCAGATAGAATGCGGCTTGAGTTTCAGAGTTGCTGTAACAAAGTTCCACAAACTGTGTGGCTTAGAACAACAGAAATATTGTCAGGAGCTCTGGAGGCCAGAAATCCAAAATCCCAATGTTAGGAGGACCGGGCTCCCTCTGAAAGTGCTAGGAAGGATCTGTTCCACTTCTCCCTCCTGGCTTCTGGTACATTCTTGGCTTGTGGCAGCACAACTCCAGTCTTCACATGGGGCTCTCCCTGTGTGGGTGAGTGTGTCCAAATGGCCCCTTTCTATAAGATCACTAGTCATATTGGATTGGGGGCCTGTCCTACTCTAGCATGGCCTCCTCTTCATCAATTACATCTGCAAGCACCCACTTCCAAATAAAGTCACATCCTGAGGTCTGGGGGTTAGAACATCAACACAGGAATTTGGGGGACCATCACTTAAACCGTAACAAATGCATTCCTTCCCTCCCTCTAGGGCTTTCGCTTTGGGAATTGGCTTAGCCCAGACAATCCTTACTTCCTCTAGACAATTTTCCCCCTCGCCTCTTCTCCCACCGACCACACACCCGTGCCCCTCCCCTGGCTGCCAGTGATACTCTTACCCCATTGTATTAAGGTAGTCTCTCTGCCAATGTGTCTCTCCAGATGATTATGACCTTCAAAGAGACAGAGAACATCTATTGTTCATCTTTGCATTGTCCTCCAAGCCCAGCAAGTAGAAAATGCTCCAAAGAGCTCTGGATGACCTCATGAACAAAGAAATGAAAGAATGGCACCACCAAAAGCCACCCTGCAGCTGATCCAGGCATGGATCTGTACTTTGGACGTGTCTTGTTCATAGAAACTGCTGGCCAAAGTGCCTTCCTTTGCAGGAAGACATTAGTAGAGATGAAATGGGAGAATTAGAATCGTGGGCTTGGTATTTGCCATGGCCTGTGCTTGGATACACGGATTAGCTCATTACTCCTCTCAACCACATAGTGCTGTGCTATCATCATCCACATTTTACAGGGGAGTCATCAGAGGCACAAAGCTAAGGGACTCTGCTAAGTTCCCACAGCCAGTGCCCTGTCTGCTGTTTCACTTGAGCGGTTTGGAACAGCAGCCTGAGTCCTTCTCATTCCCCAAGGCTATTTCTAGAGTGCGCTTCCAGCTATTTTGTCCTGACAGGTTCAGGAAGCTGAAACGCTGCCTCTTATAGGAGCACAGCTGGCTGGGGAGTCCTCCCACTCCGAGCCTCTCGCCCCCAGCTCCATCCTGACCTCCGCACCCCACAGGGTTCAGGGTGACCCCGGCTTTGTCTGGACTGTGGCAGCGCCACCCATTCCCTATTGTGACCCAGGCAGTCAGGCTGGGCTGTGAGCTAGCGGGCGTGGAGAGTGAAGCCCCGCCTGGCCCCCCTTCCACACTGGAAGCCTCTCTGTGGCTGATGGGAGGACCAGGGCTGATGAAAGGATGGAGCCATGAAGGGCAGCCCTCCTGCTGCGGGTCGCCCTGCTGCTGCCCTGGGCCTGCAGCTCCTGGCACGTGGGTCTCTGGGACTCCTTGTGGATGTGCCTCTCCAGGGCCCTCCATCCTCGGTGGGCAGGAGACTCCCCTAGGGAGCTTGCTCTCAAGGTCAGTTCCCAGGCTTGCTGACTCAGTAGTCACGGGGTGGGATCCACAGGGCAGCACCTACCAGGTCTAACGCAAAACCATGACATCATGCAGCTAGAGCAAGGGCGGCGCATTAACATCTACTATGGATCCATCTTCTGGAGCCTGAGAATTTCTGTAGCCTTGTTCCATGTCCATGGTCAATGACTATCAAACCTCTGCCACAGGCTGGGAGCTGTTTTATTTATTTATTATTTATTTTTTATTTTTTTTGAGACGGAGTCTTGCTCTGTTGACCAGGCTGGAGTGCAGATCTCGGCTCATTGCAACCTCCGCCTCCCAGGTTCAAGTGATCCTCCTGCCTCAGTCCCCCTAGTATCTGGGATTACAGGCACACGCCACCATGCCTGGCTAAATTTTTTTTATTTTTATTTTTAGTACAGACAGGGTTTCACCATGTTGGCCAGGCTGGTCTTGAACTCTTGACCTCAGCTGATCCACCCACGTCGGCCTCCCAAAGTGCGGAGATTACAGGTGTGAGCCACCACGCCTGGCCTGGGAGCTGTTTTAAAAGCTTTTAAGCTTTTTAAGCTTAACATGGCTTTTATCATGCTTGAAGTTAACGCACGTTCTATTTTTACAGTAAATTCATGGCCATCGGACGATATTAATTAGACATACACGGCATCAGGACCTTCACAGCCACCACAGGTTTTCCCCTCTCCATCCATTATGTTCTTAGGAAATTCTACTTGCTTCCCCCAAACTTTAGTAGTTTCCCATCAGCCCCACAACCACTGCAGCCACAACCACTGCAGCCTGACAACCACTGCAGCCAGGCGTACCACCACAGCCCCTATTCCAGGGCCGCCCCCACACCCCCAGCTGTCGGCCCCGATGGGTTCTGGGGCAGTCGGAGGAATTACTTCTGCTAGGTCACTGGATTAGGGTCTATTTCAATCCACTATGACCTCATCTTAATTTAACTAATTATATCTGTAAAGGATCTATTTCCAAATGAGGTCACATTCTGAGGTTCTGGGTCGACATGAATTTTGGGACGATACTATTCAACCCAGTGCAGATCGTCTGTAAGATCTTAAAAGAACAGGTCCTCTGTAACAAAAGGGAGGCAATGAGGGGCAGTGGTTAGGGGTGCAGGCTCTGAAGTCAGATGACCCAGTCTCCCTCCTGGCTCCCCTACTTGAACTGCCTGTGTGACCTCGGCAAGAGGTATCCCCCGTGCCTGTGCCTTTTCCGATGTCCTCATGTGTAACATGGGAATAGTAAGAGTTCCTACCTTTTTGGGCTGTTGCGAGAATTCAGTGAGGTAATGCACATGAAGCACTGAGCTAACAGGTAATAGGAGATGCTGTATAGACTGTTGTCTTCATCACTCTCTTTCACTCCCGTCCAGTTCTCAATAGCATACACACGGCTGCCACAAATACACAGAAGTTTTGGGAATTAGCTCTGTGAGACAGGCCTATTTCAGATAAGAAAAATGAGGATCAGAGAAGCTGAAAGTCTTGCGGAGGACACCCCAGCAAGGCGAATTACAGGCCCAGAATTCTAACGAGGGCATCCGGACTCTGGGATTACAACCGCCTTCTGCGTCCCAGGAAAAACCTCCTCTAGTCATGCCCAGATCTGCCTGGTCTAAAAACCACAAAAATCGCAGGACTTTCCACTGAGTCAATGCTTGTCACGTCTAGAGACCTGGATCGAGCTGTTTCCTTCCATTCACAGAGCCGTCCTGCAGGAGAGATGTTACTTTTACCATCAATGTAAAAACTGAGCCTTAAACTGCTTCAGAAACTGTTTAGATTCATTCAACTGAATATTCACACTGGAGTTTGAATCAAGGCCTACGTGGCTTTAGAAATTTAAGATCCAAACCGTACCACTGTTGTACCTGACATCCTTCATGCACCTCCCTCATCTTCAGAGAAACAATTCTAATTCTTCACTTTAAAGCAAGGTAGTGTGACTTTCCAATGACTTCAGGGCATTCGGTAAAGAACAGCTTGGTTCAAAGTAAGTTGATGAGCACAGCAATTTCTTCATAATGGCAACCTGGTTAAAAAAAAATAAAATAAACCCATACCTGGCTTTGGGAAGGAAGTTGTTTGTTTTAATGTTTTGTATTTGGACTTGCATCACATAGAGTGGTGATTTTTTTCAACATTTTGTGTGTCACTTAACATTTTTAAAAATAAAGTCTTACAAGCTGTGAAACAATGTGAACATCCTGATCCTATCTCTGTAAAATATGATGGGTGCACATTGATAGACGAGGGTGTGGAAAGTTACATCTGAAGGTGGCAACAGGAGTTGCCTCTGCATGTGTGGAATTAGAAGGATTGTTGATTTCATTTATTTATCTGAATATACGATAGAGAAAGTTCAAGTAGCACAGATGGCTGCACAATGAAGAGGAATTTCACCTCTTACACTCATTCTCAGTCCACTCGCCAAAGGCAATTACATGGATATGTATTCTTCCTGAAATATTCTTTTCATACACAATCGTGTATAAAATCGTGTATGAAAAAAAGTCTGCTCATCATGTAGTGTGTGTTTATATATAAATGTACTTATTTATATAGTTATGGGTATTCTTCATGGTCTTTTTCCATATCTGAGTTTTCCAACTTTTTATCATTATACATTTCTTTTTTTTCTTTAAGTTCTGGGATACATGTGCAGAATGTGCAGGTTTGTTACATAGGTATACATGTGTCATGGTGGTTTGCTGCACCCATCAGCCCGTCATCTAGGTTTTAAGCCCAGCATGCATTAGGTATTTGTCCTAACGTTCTCCTTCCCCTTGGCCCCCACCCCGCCGAGAGGCCCTGGTGTGTGATGTAAACATATGGAACGCTTCACGAATGTGCGTGCCATCCTTGCGCAGGAGCCATGCTAATCTTCTCTGTGTTGTTCCGGTTTTAGGATATGTGCTGGCGAAGTGAGCACTATACATTACTTTTTAATAGAAGTTTTTGAAAGGTCCAAAGGATTTGGGGAAACCTTGAAAACCATGAGAGTTACCATATTCCTCAATTTTCACATTAATTACGTCTGCTCCATTTATTTGTGCTATTTGGTCATCTTTTTCAGCATGTTTTAGAATCTGTAAGTTTTTTGTAATTCAATGTTTTGTGCCACAAGATAACATTTTGATACAATATTTGTAATTTTTGCATTGGCATATGTCAGTTTGTGTATCTACTGTATTCGTCCAGAGACCTATTATGAGGTGCAACGGGTTTTTGTTGGTGTTTTTTCCTTTTTGTTATTGTGAACAACACAGGAAGAGAAAAATGGGTTGGCTGAAAATGGATTTGGGGTGAAAAGGCAGGGGGAAAATGTGAAGAATTTTGAAAAAAACATACAAAAGTGCTTAGAGGTAAAATAGATTATAAAACCAGCCCTTGTTGTATTAAAACTAATGCACGAGCTGGGCGCGGTGGCTCACGCCTGTAATCCCAGCACTTTGGGAGGCCGAGGTGGGTAGATTACCTGCAGTCAGGAGTTCGAGACCAGCCTGGCCAATATGGTGAAACTCCATCTCTACTAAAAATACAAAAATTAGCCAGGCATGGTGGCATTTGCATGTAGTCCCAGCTAGTCGGGAGGGTGAGGCAGGAGAATCGCTTGAACCCAGGAGGTGGAGGTTGCAGTGAGCTGAGATTGCACCACTGCACTCCAGCCTGGGTGACAGAGTGAGACTCTGTCTCAAAAATAATAATAAAACTAATGCATGAGACTAGATGGTGATGATTGAGAGTCCTTGTTGACCAAATTGTTTGTTTTCTTCTCCAGAAGTCCCAGAGCATAGCTATGTGGTTGGAGAGCCTAATCAAAACTACTGTCCCAAAGGCTGTAGTCCCAGCCCTTTCAGAGGCCAAGTCAGGAAAATTGCTTGAGCCCAGAAGTTCAAAATTGCAGTGAGCTATGATTGCACCACTGCACTTCAGCCTGGGCAACAGAGCAAGACCCTGACTCTTAAAAAAAAGAAGTCTGTTCATCAAAAGGTGCCATAAGTGCTTTTTGCCTAGTGCCAGCGGGCTGCACCTCAGTAGGCTATAGGAGTAACTTGTTCCTGCCCCTTCCCCTCCCAAACAACCTTTCTTTCCTAGGGTGACAGTAGGGGGGCCTCTGGTTTGCCAGAAAAAGAACAAAAGCACATGGTACCAGCTGGGTATTATCAGCTGGGGTGTGGGCTGTGGCCAGAAGAACATGCCTGGAGTGTACACCGAGTTGTCCAATTATCTGCTTTGGATCGAGAGGAAGACTGTGCTGGCAGGGAAGCCGTATAAGTATGAGCCAGACTCTGTGTACGCTTTGCTTCTCTCACCCTGGGCCATCCTGTTACTGTATTTTGTGATGCTTCTATTATCCTGGTGATTAAACACCACGTTGTCTCAAAAGCCAAGCGTCCTTCTCAGTTTGTGCACTAAGGTAGAGAGCAACTCCACGTTGCAATGAGTGGCTCTCAGATGATGAGTTGTGCCTGAACTAATCATAGAACTATAGTACTACTTAAAAGATAGCTAAGACTCACATCACAGCCTATGGGTCACCTGGAACTTGGAAGTAGCTTGCCACTTTTAGCCTGAGTCCTCTCCAAGAGTTTGGAGGGAGTGCCTTTCCACCAGGGGGAGCATGCCAGGGACCTGGGAAGCAGGAAGCTCGCTCTTTCCTCCTTGCAAACAGGCATCCTTCCACAGCAGCTTTTATCCTACAAAAGGGCAGACAGTTCACGAGATAGGAAACATGTTGAACTCCCTCCCCCTTCATTGGTAGTTCATCCCGGACACCTGCAGATTTGGTTTCCAGAAAGATCCTTGTCCTTCACCCTGCTTGCTCCCTCAGCCACCACCTGGTCCTGAGTCCCCAGTAAAAGTTGCTTTTGGCTCTCAGAGATGAGCAACAACGCTAAGATTCAGGATGAGAAGTCATTGAAGCAGAAATGTCCTAGTGTTGGGGTGGGAAAAAAACACACAGCTAATGAGATGTAGCAGTCAACGTACCTTTGCTCGCACGCATCAGGAGCTCCAATCGAAGCTGAAAAGGATGTCGGTGGTGCAGACTCAAAAGAAGAGCAGAGACCCTGGGAGCTGCCCCAGTAAACAGCAGTCTGACAGTCTGATGGACACCAAGGGCACCATTCGGGCCATCTGGATGAGAGGGTGGACTGTCCATTCTTCATGCAATCATCGTTGAGCAGAATTTTTTCAATCAGGCATGATACACAAAACAGCATTCTTTACTGAGGCAACTTGGCATGTTTTTAAAGAGAGAGAATGAAAAAACTGCAGAATATTTTTTTAAAATGAGAGCATTTTATATGAGTTTACCTGAAGTGGCATTCGATGAGCTGTGAACAACAACAACAACAACAACAACAACAACAACAAAGGAAAAGCATCAACCTTTGTGCATATACATTTGAGAAGAAAGAAAAAATGATGTAAAGACAGTTCCTTTAGCCTGCCCTTCATTAGCTTTCTCAGAACAGGATAGCTTGTCCACCATCTGAGTCTAGAAAGCATTTAGGTGAGGAAGCACCTAAACGCTTTAGCAGGAAGAATCAGTATATACCTGCAGTCTGTTTTTATCTAAAGCTGTAGTGGCCATAAGAATTTTGGCAACTGGGAAGCAAAGAATGGTGGCTACACACAGATGGGGTAGTGTCCCCAAGAAAGCTGGGTTTAAAAAAGATTTCCTCTTGTCTATGAAGTAAGAGCAGTGACAATTCCCTGGGCTTAAAGTTCAGAAGGCTGAGGCTAGGAGAGGTTGCAGTCTTGTGCCTTCACCTCAGGCCAGTAGGCAGATAGAGAAGCTGAAATGAGCAGACCACTCCACCAAGCTCCTGTGAGAGGGTGTGTGTGTACATGTATGTGTATGTGTGTGCATGTACATGTGTATGTGTGCAGATGTAGTATGTGCATGTACATGTGTGCACATGCACTGTTTGCATGTATGTGTGCACCTGTGTGTGTACTGTGTGGTTGGGTGTGTACTTGTGTGTGCGTGTATGTGTGTGTGTACGTGTGTGTGATGTGTGTTTAGTGGGGGTGCTTCTCTGCCTCCATCACAAAGTAGTTGTCAGACTTTCAGATTTTTGCTAATTCTATAAGAAAGAAATGATAACTCAAAGTCGGTTTTTTAAAAAATTGAAATTTGCGCAAAGAGAAATACTCTGATCTTAAGTATACAATGTGAGGAGTTCTTAAAAATGGTTTTAATTTTTATTAAACCCATTTTATCAATTATTTCATCGTTAGTACATGCTGAATCCTAAAAAATTTTCACCTATTCCAATATTGAGAAGATATTGTATTATTTTCTTTTAAAAGCTTTATCATTTTAGCTCTAACATTTAGGTCCATCATCTATCTTGAAATTACTTCTGTGTATGGTGTGATATGGGTCAGGATTCATTTGTTTCATATACACAGCCAATTGAATTGAAAAGGCCTTACTTTTTCCATTGGATTGCCTTGGCATCTTGGTCTAAATAAGTTGGTCTGAATTAGTATAAGTACAGGTCTATTTCTGGAGTTATGTCATTTTTTTGCTGACCTGGGTATTCTAGGACTGGGTATCTGGTTTGGTTTTTATTTGATATCTGACCTGGATGTCTTTGTTTCCACTTGAAAGTGGCATACAGAGAGTCGGTAAAAATAGCTATTTAAGGCAATCTTTTGGTAGCCCAAGTGGTTGCTGCTATTGGCCATTATGATGGGAACGAGGAACACAAGTGGTAGAACAGGTAGGGAGGCAGACACGAGCAGAGCAGGAGAGATCCCCATCCCCCAATGAGGAGTGGCAGGTGACCCTCAGGTAATGCTCAGCAGTTGTTAAGCTGTCTCTTTAAAACAATAATTGGTCACAGCTGGCACCAGGGAACGGCAGTCTCACAGTAGATAGAAAACACCTAAAGCTGGTGACCAGCAGCTTCCCAGTAAGATCTCAGGAGCTGGGTTAGTGGGCCCAAGCATGTGCACGAAGAGGCAAAATGGCAGAGTTTAACTGGTATATGACCTTCCTCCAGAAATGTTCGACTGATAAGGGAAAAATGCCTCAAGTGAACACGCACACAACTTTAGTCAACACACTGCGCATCCTCACCTCCCAAGTGCTGGCAGGCCACTGGGCGTGTGGAGAGCCCACCCCAAGGGAAGAATCAGGGAAAAAGAGATGCAGACCCCTCAAGCCTGCCAACGTATAAAACCCCAAGTCAAAGGCCAAACAGCGCACTTGAATCTCTCAAGTTGCCTGCTTGGCCCTCTTCCAAGTATACTTTACTTCCTTTCTTTCCTGCTCTAAAACTTTTTGATAAACTTTCACTACTGCTCAAAAACTTGCCTTAGTTTCTCCCTCTTCCTTATGCCCCTCAGTCAAACTCTTTCTTCTGAGGAGGCAAGAACTGAGGTTGCTGCAGACCCACATGGATTTGCTGCTGTTAACACAAGAACTGTGGGGGCAAGCTAATTGTTTAGAGTAGAGCTGAATTTAAGAAAATAGCAGCTCAGGTTTTTATTTTATTTTATTTTTGGCTTAAGTCTCTCTCTTTTTTTTTTTTTTTTATTTTTTCTGAGACAGAGTCTTGCTCTTTCACCCAGGCCGGAGTGCAGTGGCGCTATCTCGGCTCACTGCAAGCTCCGCCTCCTGGGTTCACGCCATTCTCCTGCCTCAGCCTCCCGGGTAGCTGGGACTACAGGTGCCTGCCACCGCACCCAGCTAATTTTTTGTATTTTTAGTAGAGACGGGGTTTCACCGTGTTAGCCAGGATGGTCTTGATCTCCTGGCCTTGTGATCCACCCACCTCGGCCTCCCAAAGTACTGGGATTACAGGCGTGAGCCACCGTGCCCGGCCAAGCCTCTTCTCTCTTGTAGCTGTAGAACCAGTGTAGCAAATACTTGGGCTCCAAATTTAATCCTATTGATTGCATGAATACAATATAAATACAATTCACAGCCTTTCTAGGTCTCTCATGTGAAAGGTAGGGTTGGGGGAAAGATTAGACATCTGAGACTCAAAATAGGAGGATTTGGGTAGATTTTCATATATCTGTTATAAAATGGAAGCATTATTATTATTTATGTGTGGTAAAGCCAACAGATCAGAAGACAACTGCCATTGAAAAGAGAGTTTGTTACTCACAGTTTCCTGGAGGAGGAGCATGCAGAACCACATGGGGAAGCACCAGAGGCAGAAGGAGCAGGCAAGAGCATGCAGGCAGAGTCTTTACTGTGGGCTTTGCAGGAAGGAATGGGTGAGGCAGGCTCCACAGGCTGAGGATTGGCTAGTGTGGATAATTCAGCAGGCTCTGGAGGATAGAGATGGCTGCCAGTTGCCTGGCACCTGGCTCTGGTGATTAGGGGAGAGAGAGCACAATAAAGGAGGTATTTGGTGGGTAGTCGCTTTGCATTGGTTGGGTTGCATATGAAAAGTGCACTTGCAGACGAGTCTTTTACTCTGTCTAGGAACTGTCCAGCCCTGGGATGGGCAGACACTCTAGGATCAACAAGGTCCCAGATATCAAACACCATAAATACAAAACACTGAAAATACAAAAACTTCAAAAACAAAAAAAGGCACGATTAATACAGTATTCAAGTACCTTGAAAACACAAATCCCACTGAGTCTCACTTACCAGCAAAAAAAACCTTTCCTCTCTTCTGAAAACTCTGGCCATTTCCTGCTTGAGAGTCCTGGAATGATCTCATATGAAGCAGTTACTTTATAGAAGGATGCTAATTATCTTCAAAACCCAACCCACCAACTCTCCTGGCCTCCAGGATTATAAATACAACTCAATTTCACAGTATCCCACAGGAAAAAAAAGTACAAAAATTGGATCTGGAGGACATTAAACAACAAAAGGATGCTAAAATTTTGCTAAGACATCAGAATGCACCTGCAAAATATGGTTGAGATAAAATCTAAAAGTACTAAAACAAGGGGGAAAAACATAGCACTGGAGTGGACTGGATTAATCCATATAATTAGTTTATGGCATATTCTGAATTCAATAAACTAATGAACAGATGGGAGTGGCTCTAATAGTTTGCTTGGTTAATTAAACCTTGCATTTAAAAGTGTTCTACATTAAATGATGCAGTCATGTCAGATATTTCTAGTTACACTGAAGAGAAAAGGATACAAATTCTTAGGGAGATGAGAAGTTGGGGCAGATTCATTATGCTAATGAATCCCTCTCCATCCCTCTTTATGTCCCATAAGAAGGTCTAAAGATGCTTCTTTCACCAAAGCAGTAGGAATGCATCAATGAAGGGTAAGGGGCAATATGCTGGAAGTGGTTAACGGTCTACAGAAATCATGCTTCCTTTCCATGTTGTAGAAGGACATTAGAAAGTGTCTCTGCCCAGCTGGGCGCAGTGGCTCACGCCTGTAATCCCAGCACTTTGGGAGACCGAGGCGGGCGGATCACAAGGTCAAGAGATTGAGACCATCCTGGCCAACACGGTGAAACCCTGTGTCTACTAAAAATACAAAAATTAGCTGGACATGGTGGCATGCGCCTGTAATCCCAGCTACTTGGGAGACTGAGGCAGGAGAATTGCCTGAACCTGGGAGGTGGAGGTTGCACTGAGCGGAGATTGCGCCACTGCACTCCAGCCTGGTGATGGAGCGAGACTACGTCAAGGAAGGAAGGAAGGAAGGAAGGAAGGAAGGAAGGGAGGGAGGGAGGGAGGGAGGGAGGGAGGAAGGGAGGGAGGGGGCGAGGGAGGGAGGGAAGGAGGGGGCGAGGGAGGGAGGGAAGGAGGGGGCGAGGGAGGGAGGGAAGGAGGGGGCGAGGGAGGGAGGGAGGGGAGGGGAAGGGAGGGGAAGGAAGAAAGGAAGGGAGTCTCTGCTCATCCAGACATTGCATTTCATAATGTCCCCTTTGCATCTAGGCAAGACCACGGGACTAATTTTCAACACTGGAATTTAAGCATAAGTTAAAAAGTCTGCCGACTTCACTGTTATTCCTCTGATGATAGTATGCATTGTTTTGCTGTTTTTGAGATTTTTTTTCCCTTATACTTAGTTTTCAGCAGTTTGAACATGGTATTCCTAGGTGTGGTTCTCTTGTATTTACCTTGCTGGTGACACACAAAATTATTTCAGTTGATGAGTTGATGTCTTTCATCAATTCTTGGAAGTTCTTGCCTGTCGTATCTCCAAATACTGACTCGGCCTCAATTTCTGCTTTCTTCTTCTTTTAAAATTCCTAGGCTTGCTTTAGCAGGTCTTTATGCCCTTAAACATAAGGTTTCTGCATTTTATCTGAGTTTTCTAGTTATTTTTGGCAAGTGCTTTAATTTCCTGCAAAGTTTTCCATCCTGCCTGGAAGAGTAAGTTCTTATATAAAATTCTTTTTCTCTGTAGTTTAAATCTTTGTTTCAAGAAAATTGTTTTTATTCCTTCTGTTATGGATTTCAAAGGCTTTTCAGTTCCAATTTTTTCCCTTTTCTTTACTTCAGGTATACTGGTTACTCACATGCCGGGTCTAAGTTGTCCGTCCCCTGTGTCTTTCATCTTATTCCTGCAATTCCGCATTGAATCGTGCATGAATGTCTGCTGCGTTCTTCTTCTTTTTTGTTGGTTTGTTTGTTTGAGATGGAGTCTTACTCTGTGTCCCAGGCTGGAGTGCAGTGGCATGATCTCAGCTCACTGAAACCTCCATGTCCTGGGTTCAGAATTGCTTGAACCTCCACTTCCGGGGTTCAAGCAATTCTGGTGCTTGAACTAGAGTAGCTGAGACTACAGGTGTGCACCACCACGCTCGGCTAATTTTTGTATTTGTAGTAGAGACGGGGTTTCACCATGTTGGCCAGGCTGGTCTTGAACCCCCGAGCTCAGGTTATCTGCCCGCCTCAGCCTCCCAAAGTGCTGGGATTAAAGGCATGAGTCACCATTCCTGGCCCATGTCTTCTGCATTCTGCATGAATAGCTTACATCAGCCCACCTTGTCACTTACAAGGGATTGGGTTCTTGTTTTGCTGCTGCTTGTTTGGTTTTAACTTCACCAATTCTATTTTCTTACTTTTTATGTCTCTATCCATTTCATTTCTTTTTTTTTCTTTTATAAACTTATGTATTACAGGGGCAACTTTAATTTATTTGGGTAAAGATGATAAAGCAGCTAAAATTTTCTATTTCCTGGAGTACATCCAACAAAATTTTATTTATTTTTATATCTATATATGTGTATTTTATCTATCTATATCTGTATCTACCTACTCATATGTAGAGAGATTTATAAATATTAATATATATAACCTAATGCTAAAGTGTATTCATGCTTTTTTGTTGTTTTCATACATTTTTGTTTTTGCGGTTGATTTATGACCTCAGGTTAGATCTAACCAGCTCAGCCTTTAACTCCAAAATACAAAAGATAGAATATCTTTTCCTATTTTTATTAGTTTTTATTTTTGAGGCAGGGTCTTGTTCTGTTGCCCAGGATTCAAGTGCAGTCATGTGATCATAGCTCACTGCAGCCTTGACCTCCTGGGCCCAAGTCATCCTCCTACCTCAGCCTCCTGAGTAGCTGGGAGCACAGGCATGCACCACCACGCCTGGCTAATTTATTGTATTTATTGTAGAGATGGAGTCTTGCCATGTTGCCCAGGCTGGTCTTGAACTCCTGGGCTCAAGTGATCTGCCTGCCTCAGCCTTGAGAAGTGCTGGGATTACAGAAGTAAGCCACCGCGCCTGGCCTTTTCCTATTTTTCTTGAGAATTAGCACGAGATCATCCTCTTTACCTACAGGGCTGGGTATTCATGATTTATGTTCTCGATTTCTCTATGAAGTCATTCTTCTGTTTGAGGAGAGGAAAGAGGAACTGGAGCTGGGGCTGGAGCCCAAAACAGTCACCATGTGGGGATGCTGTTGCTTTCTTTCTGAAGAGGGCCTGAGTCTGGGATTGAACTCCATCAGTTTGGGAACTCTCCTATTCTGGAAAAGCATCCAAGATTTTCAGCACCCCCGCTCTTTGTGATTATCTCCCCAGAACTCAAAGTCTTCTTTTCATTCCTGAGCCAACGCATAATTTTCCACAAACAGCGCTAACATCATCCACAAAATCTCTGTGCCCTACGTTATACCGATGCTAGTTAAGCAGCTGTATAGCAGAAAGGCACCGTATTGCTATACTGTCCCCCACAGCCTGCTGCCTGGAAGTATGGGACTGTGAAGGGGGTGCTCCCTGTCCTTCCCATAGTTTCCCAGGTTACCAGCCCTTGACTACCTGAGCTGTGAGTGCAGGTGGAGCTTCATAGAAGTTCCTCACTTTGTTTCGCTGAACATCCCTGATAACGCCCCAGAACCGGGGAGCCACGTGTGGATTTCCAGCACTAACTAAACATGAAAATGAAGAATGTCTGAATCAGAAGGCACAGGTGCGACAATAGGAAAAGATATTTGCGACACCTGTAACTGAAAACCACATTGATCTGAGAACGTATTTAACACATCCACACATCAATAACGAAAAGGAGAGACAATCAACCAAGAAATGAGCACAAGGGCTGAACAAACACCTCAAAGAAAGAGGATGTTCAGTGGCCAATAAAAATGTAAAAATGTGCTAGACTTGTTAATTATCTAGAAAATGCAAATTAAGACCACATTGAGATAACTCTGTAACCTTCCAGAAAAGATAACATTACAAATATTGATACATGGAGCATTGGCAGCATGTGAGCAAACAAGAACTTTCAAAGTCTGCTATTAAGAGGGCAAATAATTGGAAACCACATTCTCCGCATCTACTACAGATGGGAATCTATTAGCCTGTGACAGGAGCTCTACTTGTAATTATCTACCTGTATGAGTCTCCCATGGCTGCTATAACAAATCGCCACAAATTTAGTGACATAAAACAACATAAATGTATTACTCTACGGTTGTGGTCAGAAGTCCAAAACACCTCTGACCGGGCTCAAATCAAAGTGCTGGCAGGAGTCAGTAAGGGATGTTCCATTTTCTTGTCTTTTCCAGATTTCAGAGATGTTCCACATTCCTTGGTCCATGATCCCTTCCTCCATCTTCAAAGTCAACATCAGGCCAAGTTCTTCTCATGCTGACCTCTCCCTGGTCCTCTTTTCTGCCTCCATTTTTGACTTATAAGGAATTTTTGTAATTACATTGGTCCCGTTTAAATAATGCAGACACCCTCCCCATCTCAAAATCAACTGACGAGAAACCTAAATTTCATCTGCAAACTTAACTCCCCTTTGCCATGTAAGCTAACATATTCGTAGGTTCTAGGAATTAGACTGTGACCATCTTTGGGTCAGGCAACACTCTGCCTACCACAATACCCAAGAGAAACTCTTACACATGTAAACATATACATGTTTACAACATACACAAGGCAACATGTGCAAGAAAGCTTATAGCAGCGCTGTTCAGAGCAAGACTAAACAAAACAAATACCTAATAATTGAGTGCTAGAGGACTAAAGTGATGTCTATTCATATAATAACAAAAGAATCAGCCATATGCAACAATATGGATGAATTTTAGCAATGGAAGGTTAATTATAATTAAGACAAAAGATTACATATAGAATGATACCCATCTTATAATATTAAAAACATCTAAAATAGATTGCTATTTGTTCTAGAAATACAGTCCCAGAAATATATGTATATTATATATAATTACTACATATAGATATCTATAGATATATGTTTCTATAAGCCTGTAGGTATCTATAGTAATTAAATCACATAAAAGGATATCAAGGGCAAGCAAGTCATGAATATAAGACTCAAGATGATGTTTAATATGGGATAAAGATCGAGGATAGTTGTTGATGGTGATAATATAGTTAGATATTACATTTCAGCTATTGTTTAGGTAATTGGTTCATGGTTGCCTACTGAATTATTAAACATAAGGCTAGGTGGTGCAGTGGCTCATGCCTGTAATCCCAGAACTTTGGAAGGCCCAGACAGGCGAATCCCTTGAGCCCAGGAGTTTGAGACTAGGCTGGGCAACATGGCGAAAACCCATCTCTACAAAAAATACAAAAAATTAGCCAGACATGGTGGTGTGTGCCTGTAATCCCAGCTACTCAGGAGGCTGAGGTGGAAGGATCACTTTAGCCCGAGAAGCAGAGGTTGCAGTGAGCCGAGATCGAGCCACAGCACTCCAGCCTGGGAGAAGAGTGAGACCCCGTCTCAAAAAAAAAATTAGAATAAAATAAAAAACACCTAATTTCTTTTTAAAACCATGTATGAACCAGTGTCAAATGTTTATGAACAAAAGATGAGGATTAATATCATTCTGTGCAGCTGCATGCCAATACAAGACAGTCTCTGTTTTTGAGAATTTGATAGTTTAATGAGGGAGATAGTCACATAAACAAGTATTTTCTTTTCACTGTGATTAGTGCTTTACAGGTGTGTGGTTTCAGGTGCTTGGACAGCACAGAGGACACACCAGTTGCCTGGTATGGTCCAGGAGGGATTTACAAAAGACATGAAGGCTACACTTCATGAAGGGATGTGTCAAGGGCAGAGAACCAGAACTGCAAAGACATGGAGGCAAAGAAGGGTCCTGTGTTTTCATATCTGAAAAATAACCATGACTCATATTCTTTTGCTAGGGGTGCCATAACAAAATACCACAGGTGGGCAGGCTTCAACAGCAGAAATTTACATTCTCACAGTGCTGGAGAGTGAAAGTCTGAGGTCAAGGTGTCAGCAGGGCTGGTTTCTACCCAGGCTTCTCCCCTTGGCTTGCAGATGGCCACCTTCTCTGCATCCTCACGTGGTTTTGTGATGTGTACTTGTATTCCTGGTGTTTCTCTGTTTGTCCAACAGGTATCTGTTGTATCTAAGTGTTGTTATAATGTTGGGACAAGCCTGCTTGCCTGAAAGAAGAAACTTACATGGGGCTTGGTGAGGGCAGTGCGTAGGGTCTCAGCTCTACATAGAGTCCTTATTCTTTAGAAAATGTGCTTCTCCTCTGGTTTTGTATCAATCCCTTGTCTGGAACTCCCTGGGGTGCCACCTGCCTCTCTGCTTTTTCTTGTTAAAGCATGAAGCTAACGCTGCCTCTTGTGCTGCAGGAAAGGACTTTGCCACCCCTTCCATTCCAAAGGATGCTTGTACATCTGCCTCCAGCCAAGTTTAAAATATGAGCATCAGAATGTTCTTCTGATGGATTCTTCTTGACCCCTTCCAAGCTAACCTACAAAGCATGGCATATTCGGGGCTAACACGCCCTTTCTAACTAAACGCTGGCCTTGGCTTCTGACTTTTCCAAAGGGAGCAAAGCCATCTGCTCAGCAAGCTTCCAAAATGCAGGCAGAGATCTCCTTAACTGATATTTTTAAAATCTGAGTTGCTATGGTGGGATGATCACAAAGAGAATTGAAGGACAGATATTATTGCACACGATCAAGGTCATGAGCCTGACCAATGACAGAGAAGAAAGGAGGCAGAGCCCTGACCCCTGCACGCCTCATGCTCTATATACTTGACTGATCCATGGACATAGCTGAGGCCAATGCTGGTGCCAGGGTAGGAACTACTGGCTCTTATGTGAATCATTGCCCATGTCCCCAACACACATGATGAGAAAGACATTTGGTCTTGAGACAACAGACAATGTAATCACTGGTGTCACTGAAGCAAGACAGAACGCTAAAGTAATAGAAGCAGACGGTGCTGGTGCCTGGCTGCAATTCATTCAGCCGGGATTAGTGCCTCACATGACACGCTGTCATTCTGGAGCAGAGATGGGTTTGCTATCTACCCATCCTGGCTGATTCGTTTTAGCTCACTACTGACATTTCAAAGACATTCTGCAATTTGGATCTGTATTTTCACTCTGATCCAGTGGTGGTTTAATAAGATCCTTGTAAATTCACAGATTATTTTAAAAGTGTTTTATTTTTGTATTGTTATTGATTTCTAGCTTTATCCTATTGTGGTTGGAGAATGCTGTGGGTATTATTGCTAATTTTTTTAATTTAGTGAGATTTTCATTGTGGCCCAAAATATATTCATTTCATAATTGATATGCTTTGGCTGTGTCTCCACCCAAATCTCATCTTGAATTGTAGTTCCCATAATCTTCCCCATGCATCATGGAAGGGACCTGGTGGGAGGTAGCTGAATCATGGGGGAGGATCCCCCCATGCTGTTCTCATAATAGTGAGTGAATTCTCACAAGATCTGATGGTTTTATAAGGGGCTTTTTCCCCACTTCACTCTGCACTTCTCTCTCCTGCTGCCATGTGAAGAAGGACCTGTTTGCTTCCCCTTCTGCCATGATTGCAAGTTTCCTGAGGCCTCCCCAGCAATGCAGAACTGTGAACCATTTAAGCGTCTTTCTTTATAAATTACCCAGTCTTGAGCAGCTCTTTATAGCAGTGTGAGAATGCACTAAAACAATAATGGTCAATGTGCACTTGGAAAGAAGGCAAATTTTTCATTATTGGATTTTGCAACTTCAATATATATTTATGTGTTCTAGCTTACTGACAATGCTGGTTTTTCCACATCCTTACTCAATTTTTTGGTCCACTTGATTTGTATAGGTATGGGAGAGATGTTTTAAAATTTCCAAAAATATTAATAACTTATATCTTCATTGCACATTGTAGCAGTAAACATGAACTCTCCTTTGTTCTTTCAATGACTTCCCATCTTCATTTAATTATGTTAAGATGTTGAATATCAATATATCATAAAACTTATCTCTTATGCATTTGCCTTGTATGTCTTTTTTCTCAATCTGAAAGTTTGTTCTATTTTTTATATACTAGTCTTAGGGTTGTCCAGAGAAACAGAACCAGTAGGAGGACAGATGTAGATATAGATATAGACAGATAGATTTATTATAAGAATTGGTTCATGTGATTATAGGTGCCAAGAAATCTCACAATCTGCCATGTGCAAGGTGGAGAACCAGGAAAGCCAGTGGTGTAATTCAATCCAAGTCCAAAGGCCTAAGAAACCGGAGGGCAGGGAAAGGAAGGAAGGCAATAATAGTTTAAGTCCTAGTCTGAAGGCCTGAGAACCAGGAGTACTGATGTCTGAGGATGGATGTTCCAGTTCAAACAGGAAGCAAAGGTGTCCTTCCTCAACCTTTTTGTTCTATCTGTGCCCCCAACAGACTGGATGATGCCCACCCACATTGATGAGGGCTGGTCTTCTTTATTCAGTCTACAGATTCAAATGCTCATCTCCTCTGGAAACACCTTCTCAGACGTGCACCCAAATAATGTCTTAACAGCTATCTGGGCATCCTTTAGCCCAATCAAGTTGAGGCATAAAATTAAGCATCACAGTACTGTTCCTATTTCCTCCGAATTTTTTATCATTGTTCTATAGCTATATTGTCAAAACATAACACTATTATATACTATATTGCGTTCTTCACTCTATCTTATGGTCTCAGTTCTACTGCAAGTATATTATATGCTCACTATGCACCCTTATATAATACCTCTCAAATTATTTTGGCAGGCTCAAGTTTGTTCTGTAGTAGATTCCTTAGAAAAGGCTTATGGCAACAAAATTTTCTGAGCTCTGGTATGTTCATAAAGTTGAATGTGGCCTTTATAATTTGAGGTCAGTTTGGCTGGATATAAAATGCTTGGCATAAATTTTCTTTTTATAAATATTAAGTATAGGATTCTGTTTTCTTCTAGCCTAAAGCACTTCCGTCAAAAAGTCTAAGGTCAAACTCATTTTCTTTTTCTTAGGAATGATATGACCTTTTAGCCTGGATGTTCAAAGGATTTTTTTCTTTTTCTTTAAGCCAAGTAGCTATATTGAAACAGTGGCTCTCAGAGTGTGAACCATGAACAACACACGGGGGTTCCTGAACCTTCCAGTGGACTCATGAGATTAAAAACTATCTTCCTAATCATACATTTGCCCTTTTTAATTTTGTTGATATTTGCAATGACACTCCAAAAGAAATAGTGTCTGATCATGAATCAAGGCTCTAGTAACCAATTATAGTGTTAGTTACTGAATTCCTCACTACCAATCACTCACAGTACTAAAAAAATGCGTTTTACTTAAGAATATCCTTGATGAAGTACTAAAAATGATTAATTGTATTAAATGTCAATGCTTGAATATACATTTTTTGAATACTCTGTGAAGAAATGAAAATTACACATCATGGATTTCTGCTCCACACCTGAAGTGTGATGATTAATTAGCTCAAGGAAAAGTGTGTGTGAAATTGTTTGAGGTGCAAGTTGAACTTGGCACGTTTTTCAAAAAACACCATTTTTTCTTCAAAGAACAACTTATAGACAAACTATCATTATTTGAATGTGGCTATTTGGCAAGCATTTCTTGAAAATTAATAAAAGTAATCCTGTCATTTAAAAATATTTACTGCCAATGATAACACTGAACTTTCAGGCACATTTTACTATTTCAGAAAACTTGGTATTCATAGCCAGCACCATGAGCTTGACAGCTTCCCAAACTTAAAGGTTTGTGTTTAAAAATTTTTCAATAGCTTTTGGGAAACAAGTGGTTTTTTTGTTCCATAAATTAATTGCATATTCTGAGACTTTGGTGCATCCTCCATACTCTACACTGTACCTAATGTCCAGTTTTGTATCCCTGGTCCCCCTCCCACCACCCGCCTAAGTCTCTAAAGTTCATAATACTAATATCACTCCGTATGCCTTTGCGTACTCATAGCATAGTCCTCACTTATAAGTGAGAACATACGGTTTTTGGTTTTCCACTCCTGTGTTACTTCATTTAGAATAGTGGCCTCCAGCTCCATCCAAGTTGCTGCAAAATATATTGTTTCATTCCTTTTAATGGCTGATTAGTATTCCATGGTGTATACATACCACATTTTCTTTATCCACGCATTAGTTCATGGGCACTTAGGGTTGGTTCCATATCTCTGCAATTGTGAATTGTGCTGTTATAAACATGCGTGTACAAGTGTCTTTCATATAATGACTTCTTTTACTCTGGGTAGATACCCAGTAATGGGATTGCTGGATCAAATGGTAGAATCTACTTTTAGCTTTTTAAGGAATCTCCATGCTGTTTTCCATAGCGGTTGTGCTAATTTACCCTCTCATCAGCAGTGTAGAACACTCCCTTTTCCTCACATCCACACCAACATCCACAAAACAATGCATGTTTTTAATAATGGCCATTTTTGGAGGAGTAAGGTGGCATCTTATTGCAGTTTTAATTTGCATTTCCTTGATGATTAGTGATGTTGAGCATTTTTTCATACATTTGTTGGCCATTTGTATATCGTCTTTTGAGAAATGTCTATTCATGTCCTCTGCCCGCTTTTAAATTGGATTGTTTTTTTCTTGGTGATTTGTTTGAGTTCTTTGTAAATTCTGGATACTAGTCCTTTGTCAGACGTGTAGTTTGCAAATATTTTCTCCCATTCTGTGGGTTGTCTGTTTATTCTGCTGATTATTTCTTTTGCTGTGCAGAAGCTTTTTAGTTTAATTAGGTCCATTTATTTATTTTTGTTTCGTTGCATTTGCTGTTGGGGTCTTAATCATGAATTCTTTGCCTAGGCTGATTCTAGAAGATATTTTCCAATGTTGTCTTCTAAAATGTTTTTTAGTTTCAGAGCTTATATTTACGTCTTTGATCTATCTTGAGTTGATTTTTGACTTAAAGGTTTTTATAATAAGATTGGTGATGATGCTGATGAATCTGATTTTTTAATATTGTATCACAAACTGTGTGAACATTTGGTAAATCTGCATAGCAGTGAACCAACATTTTCCAAATAATGCCTGTTTGATGCTATAAAATAATGCATAAGTAAAAGATCCACAAAAAGCCTGATAAATATTAATATAACAGAGTATGGAAAGCTCACTGATTTGGCTATAGATTCCATACTGCAACTGACCTTTAAAAATGACCACTTTTCAAATTTTGGAATAGTATCAAGAAATATCCACAACTATCTAAAAAGGCTGTGAAAATAGTCTTCTCTTTCCGAACTACATATATGTGAAAGGCCAGATTTCCTTCATATACTTCAACCAAATGATATAATGCCACAGATTGAGTGCAGAAGCACACTGAAGAATCCAGCTGTCTTCTATTAAGCCAGTCTTTAAAATAATTCGAAAAAAGGTAAAACATGCCACAGTTCTTTTTTTGTGTGTTTTGGAAAATACAATTATTTTTATAAAGTATTTTATTTATATTATGAAAAATGGTTTATTATTTTAAAATCAATAAATACATTTTTAACTTTCTCAGTGTTAGTTTTCTAATATGATAAATATTAATATATGTAACCCATGTAAATATAAGATCTCTGGGATTATCAAGAATTGTTAAGACTGTATAGAGATCCTAAAAGGAAAATGTCTGAGAACTACTATATTTAAATATGTCTCAATTTTGAGCATTTTGGACTGATTTTTCCAGCTCAGTAGTGTGTCCTTTCAATATACAGGTTAAAGCTTTCCTTTATTTCAGGATATTTTTAACAAATATAACTTTCACTAATCACCCTTTGCCCATCGCTTTTTTTCTTTAGGAAAATCTATTATACATATGTTAGATATTTATTATCTACTATATCAATCAATTACTTGGAAAAAATCTGTTTTTCAAACTTTTTTTCTGTTTCTATCTTTGTATTCCCTATTATCCATATAGTACAATCCATAGAGGCATTTTGGTTACGTTAATTCCAGTTCAGTCCTCATTACTTTAGTGGCTTTTTCGTTTAAAATATTTCCTTATCGCTGTTAGATCTCTTTTCCATTTTTCCTTTGGCATATTATCACATTTCTAACTCTGATTTGTGCTGTTAATAGCTTTTTTCATTTAAAAAATTTATTTGATATCACTTGTATATATTTGGTGATGGTTCCCATGTATTTTATAATCATATTTTCTGATGAGCCATGATTGTCAATAGAAATATTAGTCTGCTGATTTTTTCATTTTTAAAAATAAATGTGTGAGTTAAACTCAGTATTTTCCTTCTGCTCATGTTTTAATGAGATGGTACAGTGAGGAGCTTCTCAAATGGCTTCCAATTATGCCCACATGCTTGTATTGACTACCGTACACCCTTCTCTTCCCCTGAGTACCTTGCTTCTAATCAACAGCATACTCCACATGGAGGGGATCACACTTCTCAATGATTAAAATACTAAGGATTCTGGCTTCCATCTCGCTGGCAGACCCACTCCCTTGCTGGCTGTTATTAAAGCAAGTTTCCACGTGGAGGAGGCCACTTGGCAAGCAACTGAGGGCAGCATCCAGCCCACAGCCACCTAAGAACTCAGTCCCTCAGTCCAACAGCCCTTGAGAAACTGAAATTTGGCCAGCAACCCCATGAGTTTGGAAACAGATTCCTCCTCCAGTTAAGGATCCAGATGAGATCCAAGCCAGGATGAGGTGACACTTCGATTGCAGCTTGTGAGAGACCATGAAATCTGAGCTATGCCCAGATTTCTCACCTGCAGAAACTGAAGTAATAAACATGTGGCTTTTGTAAGTTGCTAAACTTATGGTAGTTTGTTACACAGCAATAAATAACACAGATGGGTTCTCCTATGCTCTTTGGAGAAGGGTAGCTTTTATAATTTCACAGCTCTGGCTCTCTGGAATTGTGACCACAAAATACCGAATACAGTATTGTATCGAATTAATCTCTCCTGAAGAGGCATTTAATGACTATGTCAACATTTCAAATGCTGTGTTGTAACTGGAAAGTGGAATCAGCTTCCAATCTTCCAATGTCATTTCATTAAATAAAAGCCATGTGAAAATTGTGTGAAATTTGTTTGAAATTTAATTATACTAAAATCTTAAAGGAGAAGAACTTCTGGCTATGGCTTAGTGATGACGTCAGCAAATTTTCTTCCTAAAAAGCAATTGCAAAGCTGGACAAAATTAACAAAACCATCTTAGCACTCTGGAAATCAAACGCATATAATAATCTGAGAAGTAGCTTTGCTTGAAAATGTGCTGAGCTTCAGGTACGAACTGTGGGAATCTTGCCCTGTGGCCGTTTCCATACCTCCCAGCTTGGTTGACACAGAAGTTCTGCTGCGACAGAACTGTAAGAACTGGAAGATTCTCTGCCACAGTGGAAGGAGACTCAATAGATTCTTAGAGGAATGAATAATCTTGGTGGTAGATTAGCAGGGAAGTCCAAAGGCTCTACTAGCTTGAGTTCTGGTAATGCTTGAGACAAACATACTCTTGGATTAAGCTGCACATATGTACCCCAAAGACCACAGAGGGGCTGAGCTATCCACACATTCCTGGCTGACCCTGGGGCTGTGTTTGTGCACAGAGGAGACATGAGAGGGCTTGCCGGAAAGTAAACGCCAGGGAAGACTTTAAAATGGCTGAACTTTGAATGCACTTTGCTAATCAGACATAGATGAATTGGCAAATGATGGAAGCCTTACTGGATAAAGCTGTTTGAGCCCAACCTTATCTAATCAACTGCTTGGCCACCATGCTACACAGGCACAAGATCAACCCGAGGAAGTCAGACTGAAAAATGAAGAAGCAGAGACATCAGAGTCTATACATCATAAGGAAAATAGATTTCACCAGTTGAGCCCAGGCAGATTACTAGACAAAAAATAAAGAAACATATAAAAGCTCCAAAATGACAATTGTAACAATTTTCTGGGGAAAAAACAAGCATCTAGAGTTGTTACAATAAACACATAGACTATCCCTTATGTAAAATGCTTGAGACTAGAAGTGTTTCAGATTTTGGATTATTTTGGATTTTGGAATATTTGCATATGCAAAATGAAATATCGTGGAGATGGGACCCAAGTCAGTCTTAACACAAAATTTATGTATGTTTCTATATACCTCATATACATAGTCTGAAGGAAATTTTATATAATATTTTTAAAAATCTGGTGCATGAAACAAAGTTTTAACTGCATTTTTGATGGCAACTACGAGGTCAGGTGTGGAATTTTCTACTGTGGCATCATGTCAGTGCTCAGAAACTTTTGGATTTTGGAGAATTTCAGATTTCAGATTAGGGATATTCAACTTATATTTAAAATGTGTAGTTTTTATCCCAAAAATTTATAAGATATGCAAAGAAACAGCAAAGTGTGATCCATACTCATGAAAAAAAGTGAATAGTCTCTTCGTATCTGCAGATGTTGGATTTAGCAGACAAGAACTTAAAAGCAACTGTTATATTTAAATTACTAAAGGAGACCATTTTCAAAGAACTAAAGAAAAGTAGAACAAAAATGAATTAACATATAGAGAATTCCAGTAAGGAGACAGATGTTGTAGGAGAAAGATCCAAATGTAAATTCTGTACTTGAAAGGAACAACTGAAATAGAAATTCACCAGATGGGTTCAACAGCAAGTTCTAGATGGCAGAAGAAATAATGTGTGTGAAGATACATCAATAGAAAGTATCCCATCTTAAAAACAAAGTAAATGCTATTGAATAAAATAAACAGAGATTCAGAGACCTGTGAGACAAAGCCACATATGTATAATGGAAGTCTCAGGAAAGGAGGAAAGAGAGAAAAGTACAGAGAAAATATTTTAATAAATATGGCCCCAAACTTCCCCATTTTGATGAAAAATACCAGAATACACGCAAAATAGCTCCAAAAACTCCATATAAAATAAATATAAAGATATTCACACCTAAACCCATTATAGTTAAATGATTGAAAGTCAAA
This sequence comes from Homo sapiens, assembly GCF_000001405.40. NCBI lineage: Eukaryota > Metazoa > Chordata > Mammalia > Primates > Hominidae > Homo > Homo sapiens. The sequence goes on along the minus strand of NC_000008.11, from coordinate 10,455,478 downwards.
GAGGAAAAAAAAAATTCAAAAGAAACAAGAAAAAAATGGACTCTATTTATATTTCTAGGGAGCTATCATCATGATTAATAGCTCACTTCTCACCTGAAACGATGGAGGCCACGCAGTAAAGAACATATTCAAAAGCACTGAAGGAAAAAACAATTATCAACCGAGAATTCTATACTCGCCCAAGCTACCCTTCAAAGATGAGGCAAAACAGAATTCTGGTGCTGGACAAAATGAAGTAGATATACTTCTCCCTGTTTTAGCTAAGTACAGCTAAAATCCCTGAACATTATAAACAAGACAAGTATAAACAGACTCAGAAAGGTGGCGAGAAAAGGCAGATCACTTTGGTATCTCAGGACCTGAGGAATGAGAAAGTGATGAGTTCCATGAATTCCCCTGTTGTTTCTTATATCCCAAACTGACTGCTGGAGACATCAGCAACCTGAGAACACCAACAAGAGAAGGCCAAAAAAGCCCCAAGAAAACTCTTCTCTCTCTAGCCAAATTACAATAAAACGAGCAATCTAAAAATATACAAAAGAAAAAGAGGAGAAGGCTGAAAAAGAGCTTAAAGAAATAACGGCTGAAAAAGTCCCAAATTTGGCAAAATACATAAATCTATATATTTGAGAAACTGAATGAATGCCAAATAGTATAAATTCAAAGAAATCCATGCCAAAACACAACATAATAGAGCTTCTGGAAACTAAATTCAAAGAAAAAGTCTTTAAAGAGGCAAGAGAGGAATAGCACATTATCTATAGCAGAACAAAGATTCAAACACTGTAGATTTCTTACCAAAAATCATGGAAGCCAGAAGGAAGTAGCACAGTTTTCAAAAGCTGAAATAAAGATAGTGTCAATGTGAAATTCCACATCCAGCAAAAATATCCTTCAGGAATAAAAGAGAAATCAAGACATGTTCAAATAAAGGAAAACTAAAAGAATGTGTTACAACTAGACCTATCCAAAAAGAATGCCTAAGAAAACAGAAAGAAATAAAAAAAAATAATAAATTTTGTGAGACCAGTCTAGGCAACATGGTAAAATCCTATCTCTACTAAAAAAAATACATAAATTACCCTGGCATAATGGCATGTACCTGTGGTCCTAGCTACTTGTGAGGCTGAGGCAGGAGGATCACCTGAGCCTAGGAGGTCGAGGCTACAGTGAGGAGCCAAGATCACGCCACTACATTGCATCCTGGGTGACAAAGCAAGACCTTGTCTCAAAAATAAATAAATGAATACATTTTGTAATTTCAGGAAAAAAGAAAAAAACAACGAAAAAAGTAAAAATAAGTATAAAGGCCAGATGTGGTAACTCTCACCTATAATCTCACCACTGTGGGAGGCTGAGGAGGGAGGATTGCTTGAGCCCAGGAGTTTGAGACCAGCCCTAGCAACAAGAGTGTGACTCTAAAAAAAAAATAAAAAAAATTAGCCAGAAGAGGTGGTGCACACCTGTAGTCCTAGCTACTCAGGAGGCAGAGATGGGAGGGCTACTTGGGCCTGGGAGGCTGAGGCTGCAGTGAGCCACGATGGTGTCCCTGCACCCCAGCCTGGGCAACAGAATGAGACCGTGTCTCCAAAAAATAAATAAATAAATAAATAAATAAAAGACTTTCCTCCTCCTGTTTTTCCTTTTTCTTTTCTTTCTTTCTATTTATTTATGTATTTATGTATTTATTTTTGACACAGAGTCTTGCTCTGTCGCCAGGCTGGAGTGCAATGGTGCGATCTTGGCTCACTGCAACCTCCATCTCCGGGGTTAAAGTGATTCTCCTGCCTCAGTCTCCTGAGTAGCTGGGACTACAGGCACGTACCACCATGCCCAGCTAATTTTTGTATTTACTAGAGATGGGTTTCACTATGTTGGCCAGGCTGCTCTTGAACTCCTTATCTCAAGTGATCTGCCCACCTCAGCCTCCCAGAGTGCTGGGATTACCAGTGTGAGCCACTACGCCCAGCCTCTGTTTTTCTAACTTGTGTTTCATCACTGATGACAAAGTTATAATATTGTCTGATGTTCCCAATGTATAAAGAGAAAATATTTAAGACAATTATATTATAAATGGAGAGGTAATGAATCTTAAATGGAGGGACGCTTTCTATACTTCACTTGAACTGGTAAAATGTCAAGATCACCACAGCATAAGGAATTACGTAACACTTAAGAGTAACCCATTAAAAATCTACACTAAGATGTACTCAAAAACACTACAGACATCTAAAACACATTCAAGTAACCCACAAAGGACAGGAAAAAGAAACAGACAAAACAGAGAAACACAAAAGAAAACAAAAATGAAGGCAAAATAAAGACATTCCTAGATAAACAAAGACTAAAAAAAGTTATTGGTAGCAATTCAGCCTTATAAGAAACACTAAATACTTTGGGAGGCTGAGGGGGAAGGATTGCTTAAGACCAGCAGTTTGAAGCCAGCCTGGGCAACACAGCAAGACAGCAAGACCCTATATCTACAAAAAAAATTTTTTAAAGAAGAAATATTAAAGCATTTTCTTCAAATTGAAAAAAAAAAGGCACAGAAAAAAAGTACCATAAATAACAAATAATTGAGTTACTACAAGGGACTCTCTAAATATATTTTATGTGTTGCCTTCTTTAAAATACATAGAATTAGATAAAGAAATAATTATAACCTTGTATGGTTGTTACCATGACATATCTACAGGACCATCTATATGACAATAATGGCACAAAGAGTGGGGGATACAGCTATACTGGAGCAGTGTTTCTATCTTTTACCAGAACTAAGTTAGTATTAAGATAAAGCTGACTGTGGTTAAAGATATGTATTGTAATCTCTACCACAACCACTAAGAAAATAACTTTAGGCTGAGTGCAGTGGCTCACGCCTGTAATCCCAGCACTTTGGGAGGCTGAGGCGGGTGGATCACCTGAGGTCAGGAGTTGGAGACCAGCCTGCCCAACATGGTGAAACCCCATCTCTATTGAAAAATACAAAAATCAGCTGGGTGTGGTGGCAGGTACCTGTAGTCCCAGCTACTTGGGAGGCTGAGGCAGGAGAATTGTTTGAACCCGGGAGGCGGAGGTTGCAGTGAACCAAGATCGCACCATTGCACTCCAGCCTGGGAGACAAAGCAAGACTCCTGTCTCAAAAGAAAAAAAAAAAAAAAAGGAAGAAACAAAGAAAGGAAAGAAAATAAATTATATAGCTAAAAAAAGCAAGAGATGCTTTTCAATGGAATACTAAAGTATGTATTTAACACAAAATAAAGCAGTAAAGGAGAAATAGGAGAACAAAAGACCTACAGACAAAAAATGGCAAAATGCCAAATGTAATCCAACCATATCAATAGTTATACTGAGTTAAGGGCCTAAGCTCACTTTTTGTTTTTGTTTTTTGGTAATGTTGTTTGTTTGTTTTTTGCACGTGGCTATTCAATTATCCCAGAACCATTTGTTGAAAAGACTATCTTTTGCCCTAGTGATTTGTTAGCATCTTTGTCAAAAATCGATTAACCGTAAATTTCACAAATCTCAATTCTGTTCCACTGATCCATATTTCCATCCTTGTTCCAGCACTACACTGACTTGATTACTGTGGCTTTATAGTTATATTTTAAAATTGGGTACAATTTCAGCCATTATTTTTCATTCCTGTAATATACTTGCCATATTTTAGAATCAAGATTATACTAGCCTCATAAGAAGTGTTTCCTCTTTTTCTATTTCCTGGAAGAGTTTGCACAAGACTGTTGTTCTTTCTTCCCTAGGCATTTGGAAGAATTCACCAAAGAAACCATTTAAACTTAGAGGTTATTTCATGGGAAGGTCCTATTTATACTCAGAATCAATTTCTTTTTTAAATATATATATATATTTATTATACTTCAAGTTCTAGGGTACATGTGCACAATGTGCAGGTTTGTTACATATGTATACATGTGCCATGTTGGTGTGCTGCACCCATTAACTCATCATTTACATTAGGTATATCTCCTAATGCTATCCCTGCTGCCAATGACTTTCTTCAAAGAATTGGAAAAAACTACTTTAAAGGTCATATGGAACCAAAAAAGAGCCCGCATTGCCAAGTCAATCCTAAGCCAAAAGAACAAAGCTGGAGGCATCACACTACCTGACTTCAAACTATAATACAAGGCTACAGTAACCAAAACAGCATGGTACTGGTACCGAAACAGAGATATAGACCAATGGAAGAGAACAGAGCCCTCAGAAATAATACCACACATCTACAACTATCTGATCTTTGACAAACCTGACAAAAACAAGAAATGGGGAAAAGATTCCCTATTTAACAAATGGTGCTGGGAAAACTGGCTAGCCATACGCAGAAAGCTGAAACTGGATCCCTTCCTTACACCTTAGACAAAAATTAATTCAAGATGGATTAAAGACTTAAATGTTAGACCTAAAACCATAAAAACCCTAGAAGAAAACCTAGGCAATACCATTCAGGACATAGGCATGGGCAAGGACTTCATGTCTAGAATCAATTTCTTTAATAGCTATAGGTCAGTTCAGGCTTTCTGTTTTTTCTGCTGTCAGGTTTGGTAAATTGTCCTTTTTGAGACATTTGTCCATTTTTCCAGCTAATCAAATTTATTGCAATAAAATTGTTCATAAAATTATCTTATATTTCGATATCTGTAGGATCTATAGCTCTGTTCTTTCCATTCCTGTTATTGGTAAATTCTTTTTCTTTATTTTATGATTGATCATATATGCAGCAAATAATTTTATAAATTTTTTGAACTTTTGACTCTTGATTTACTGTTTTACATTTTTAAAAAGATTTAACTGATTTCTGCTTTTATGGTCTTTTTTCTTCTTTCCTTATGTTAAATTCACTCTTCCTTTTCTAGCATTCTAAGATGGAAACTTACTCGAATATGTACATTTAAGGCTAGATCATTCCGTCTAAGCACCACTTTACCTCCATCCTACCAGTCTTGACATGTGTTAATAATATTACTCAATTATTTTCTAGTTTCTATTTTTATTTCATCTTAGACCTCTGAATTATGTTAAACTGCATTGTTAAATTTTTAGTGGGGGTGTTTTTCTTGTCATTTTGTTATTAATTTCTACCTCAATTCCATGATAATCAGATAACATACTCTGAATGATGTCAATCATTTGATATTTACTGATGCTTTTTTATGGCTCAGTATATGGTTATTTATGATACATGTTTTATGGCGTTGTTGGGTGTGATCACATGCCAATTACATCAAGCTTTTTAACTGTGTCATTCAGGTCTCCTACGTGCTCACTGGTCCTCTGAATTTCATTGTTCTATCAGCTATTCAGAGAGTTGTATTAAAGCCTCCCACTATGATTGTGAAATTGACTATCTTTTGGTTCTTAATTTTTTTTTTTTTTTTTGAGACAGTCTCACTCTGTCACCCAGGCTGGAGTGCAATGGCACAATCTTGGCTCACTGTAAAACTTCCACCCCCCAGGTTCAAACGATTCTTCTGCCTCAGCCTCCTGCGTAGCTGGGATTACAGGCGCCCACCACTTTGCCCAGCTAGTTTTTGTATTTTTAATAAAAACGGGGTTTCACCATGTTGGCCAAGCTGGTCTTGAACTCCTGAACTCTGCCCACCTTGGCCTCCCAAAGTGCTGGGATCACAGGTGTGAACGACTGTGCCCGGCCTTGGTTCTTCAATTTTTTGTTTTATATATTTTGAAGCTGTTGGTAAGAGCATACAGATTTAGTACTGTGATATTTGTAAGATAGGTACTTTTTATAATAAAAAGAACATCTTTATAATAAAGCAACGCATCTTGGCTTAAAAAACAGTTTGTCTAATATTAGCATAGCTACATCAGCTTTTTTGGGTTAGTGTTCACGTGGTGTATATGTGTGTGTGTATATGTGTGTGTATATATGTGTGTGTGTGTGTGTGTGTGTGTGTGTGTATCCTTTACTCTCCACCTTTCTGTGTTTCTATATTTTAATTAGGACTCCCGTGAGAAGAAGAGATTTGAGTTTCTTTTTTATTTAGTCTGGAAATATCCTACTAATTATATTAGCAATATTGACATAATGTGGTTTATATATAAATGTACTATTCATTTTCTATTTGGCCCATATATTTTTTGTCCCTTTCTGCCTTTTCTTAACTTCTTTTGGAGTAGTCAAATAATTTTTCTTAATCCATATCATCCATCTATCCACTTAGTTATACTTTACAATTATTTTAACCACTTCTCTGATATTGGCAAAAACTTAGAATCTTTGGCTTCTATTCACCAACCCCCACCTTTTATGTTTTTGTTGTTATGCATTTTAATTCTATATATATTTTAAATTTCATGAGACACAGTTATTGCCTTGTACAATAAATATTCATTTATATTTACCACACATTTTCTCTTTTTTTTCCTTTTCATCCTGCATATTATAGTTCCATCCTGGATCATTTTTCTTCTACCAGAATAACTGTCTTTTATTATTCTTTTAACGCAGGCCTGTTGGCAACAAATGCCCTCAGTTCTCATTTGCTTCAAAATGTTTTTATTTCACTATATTTTTTGAAGCATATTTTACTGAGTTAAGATTCTAGATTGTGTCTTATTTTTCTTTCATCATTTCAAAGTTGTTATTAAATTACTTCCAGCTTTCATCATTTCTGTTGAGAAGTCAGCTGTCATTTCTATTGTTGTTTTTTGGAAGGTAATGTGTCTTTTTTTTTGCTTCTGGATGCTTTTAAGATTTTCTCTTCACTTTTCAACAGTTTTACTAGGATTTGCCTGCTTGTGGTTTTGCTTGTGTTTCTCTTGCTTGAGGTTCTGAGTTTTTTAAACATGGGGATCGATATTCATAAGTTTTGAAAAATACTAATTTGGTATTTCTAAAATATTGATTTTGTCTTATGTTTCTCTTCTCTTTCTGAAACTATAATACTATATATAGAGTACATATACACACATATATAGTATTATGTGATACACATTATGAATATGTCCCATGTGGCTCTTATGCCATGTACGTTTTCTTTTTTTGTCTCTGGGCACTTGACTTCTCTTCTAGTGTTAAAATTTTGTATTCTGCTGTGTCTAATCTGCTGTTGAAACTACCCATTTCATTATTAATTTCAAACATGTTTTTTTGAATTCTACAAATTCTATTGACTCTTTGTAATTTACAGTTTTTTTTGAAGTTCTGAATCTTTTCATTCATTCTGTCCACCCTGCCTCCATTTTATTTAATTTATGGTTATTCTAAAGCTCCTGTCTGCTACCTCCAATATCGGAATCCTATGTGATTCTGGCTCCATTCATGACTTAAAGTCTACTTTGCTGCACCAGCTTTCTCTTGGTTAGTGTTTACATCATTTCTTTCCTGTATTTTACTTTCAAAGTTTTTGTGCTCTTATTTTTAGAATACACAAGTAACATATGCTTTTCTTTTAAAATCCATACAGGCATTGTTAATATCTAGATCGTAAAGTTATATTTTTTCACTTCTTTGTATAGTTAGTAATTTTTACATGTTTAATCTTAATGAAATTTAATACATTTAAATACTTACCACTGTGTATTTAGAAAGAGAACAAGAATGGAGGTTCCACATGTTGCCTTCCACCATAGCAGAGCCCTCTGTGCTCTACTGTGTGGATAAATTCAAAGAATGATCATTTCCATCCAATCAGGGATTTAGCTGGGTTATGGCTGGTTTTGCAGTCAAACCTCAGATAAACTCAGTCTTCCTCTCATGATGCTTATTTTCTGGGCATGTCCTTGCAACCTCCTCACAGAGAAACTGGCAGGTGTCAAACACCTTCACCTTGAAGATCTGCAGGAGATTCGGGGTTCCCAGCCTTTTCCCCCAGGCAGCTTCATCCTGGTGCCTGTCTTGAGCAGCAGGTGACTGGTGATCCTGATGCAGATTCCTCCATTGATGGGTCTTTGTTCCCTCAGCATTGGAGGCTGCAAGGTTCTTCCCTTTGACATTTAGGTAACAGTCTAGCTGTCCAGACGCCCATACAGCTTGAAATTGGGCACTTGGGTCTCTCAAGTTTCTAGTTTCTCTTCCAGACCCACACAACTCCACTCCTAAAAGCCTTACTGGCTTCTCTCTGCCCCTGCAGGTGATCTCTTTCTTTCCGGACCAAGTCTGATTCTCAGCCCAGAGACAGGATTGACAAATGTCCCCCAGGGGACAGGAGGGACGAAAACCTGTTAGCAGTGACAGCTCATTTCATAATAGTGATGATTCCTTGAAATTTCAGTTGATTTAGTCCTCATCGGTCCCACAGTTTTCCTATGCTTTTAAAAAATTCCTATGATTAAAAAAAATTGATCTAGCTTTTTTTCTGGGTGGGAGCGCTGGTCTACCATAATTTACAGCATCCTACCCAGGAGTGAAAATCCAAACATTATTTTTAAAATACGAACTGGAAAGAAAAATCATCTACTCCCAAGTCTATAGTATCCATCGGGACTTTTGCTTCAACACTCATGACAGTAATCTTTTGTAAAATGCAACATTTTCCCTTTCAAATATTAGTTATAAGTATGACCCATCTATTCTCTTAAAGGACATCCTGCGGAACAGAAAAAAACGGATCTAGGTTTTTGTTGTTGTTGTTGTGCACTGAAGGAGGAAGCAAGTGTAAGGCTGCAGTCTGACCCTTGTTAAAGCAAACTAAATATGGCCTGAGAAGGACTCTGTACTTCTATATTTGAGTCCTTGTGGACAAACTAACCTAGGCAGACAAGGCTGAAACCCTAACTTAGGAGTATGCACCTGTAACGATAGCTGAGTCTTGGTCAATCCCAGCAGCCACACTTCAACCATTCATTCACTGCTGACGGTTCAAACTATGTTCAAACAAGGCAAATGCCAAACTTAACCAATCCAGTTGTTTCTGTACCTCACTGCAGATTCCTATAGGTCACTTCCCCCCGCCTTTTTTTTGGTCTGTAAATTTGTTCTGACCATGAGGCATCCCTGGAGCCTCTCTGTGACTCTGAGGGCTGCCCAATTCACGAATCTTTCATTGCTCAGTTAAACTCCTTTAAATATAATTCAGCTGAAGTTCTTCTTTTAACACGGTGGACTCTGTTCCTTCCTGTGTTACACTGGGCAAGTCGTTATTTCTCTTGGTCTCTGTGCCCTGGAATTTGAAATAAGGTTCCTTTGATCCTATTTCAAACAACAACAACAAAAAAACCTATTCTCTACCTGCTATATCAACGCTGTTACAACTGCACACAGGGGGGCCTTACTTGGATTCTGTTTGTTGGAAATGGGCCCCAACACAATGAAAGTTCAAGAAGAGAAGTGTGGTTTTCTGGCTGCTGTTTCAAGTGGCTAACTGTCCTCTGACATTATTCCATCAGTGCCAGAGTGGAATGAAAATGAGAGGACTCAGCATACGGGAGAGGCACAAAGGGCTGGGGACAGTTAAGCCCCACCTCCCTCCATCCTTCCAGCTATGAGGGCTGATAATTTGCAAATCAGGAATCCTGGAGCTGGACAGAGGAACCCCCTAGGCCTCTGTGGTTCTCGGAACAGGGGCCACCCTAAGACGCCAGGGAAAGCAGGCCAGGGAACTGGAGACGAAGTGAGGACGCGGATGATGTAGCCTGAGGGACTTTGTCAATTCATCACTCTCTCTGACCTAGTTTAGGGACTGTCGGTCTGGTGGCATCTGCTACAAGAGAAAGAAATTTAACACATAAACACGAGTTGGGGGAGGAGAGCTGAGCTATTTGGGACAGGAGACAGACTAAGAAATAGAAAGTCTTCCCCATGGATTATAGCCGTTTCTTTTTCCACTTTTGTATCTGAGCTATGCCCTAATTCTTTCTTGTTACAAGCCAGCCAGGGTATTTGAGCACAAGGTGACAAAGACTGAACTCCAGTTTTATTAACTCCATCTGGGATGGAGGGTTATAAGGCAGGTCCTGGCCTTGAGCCTTCATACAGGAATTGGTTAGACTCTGACTGATTCTGTTTGGACTGAAGAACTGCAGCCTTCTAAGAATGTGAACTCTAGTCTTGAATTGAGCTTGTTCTTGTAATTCACTGTTTTCTTTTTTTTCTGAGCAGTTGGATGAAATTCCGAGTCTCCATTCACCCTCTGAGCTGGAATAAAGGAGGCAGATGGTCCTGAGTCCAGATAACAGGACAAGGATCCTATCACAGCCCAAACTGTCCGATCAAATCAGACGGTTACCCAATTAGGGATTAGAAATGAGATTGAGGGTCAGGCACAGTGGCTCATGCTTGTAATTCCAGCACTCTGGGAGGCCGAGACAGGAGGATCACTTGAGCCCAGGAGTTTAAGACCAGCCTGGGCAATATGGTGAAACTCCATCTCTGCAAAAATATACAAAAATTAGCCAGGTGTGGTGGTACGTGTCTGTAGTCCCAGCTACCTGGGAGGCTGAGGTGGCAGGAGGCTGAGGTGGGAGGATTGCTTGAGCATAGGTGGCAGAGGTTGCAGTGAGCCAAGATTGTGCCACTGTACTGCAGCCTGGGTGATAGAGTGAAATTCTGTCTCAAAAAAAAAAAAAAAAAAAAAAAAAAATGAGTCTGTCATTCTAACTAGGTTCTGAGAAAATTGACTTTGTGAGTTAGCAGATTCTGAGGGCTTATCACCTGCAGCACATTGGGCTCCGAACATCAAAGTGCTATCATTCACAACTGGATGGGAAGTCCCATTATTGTCATTCATGTTTATTACCATGTGCTGGATACTGGACTGATACTCAGCAGCATCCTGGCCCTCTTCACCTCTCCCAGGATCATAGTGGCTGAAATCTTTGAAACATTGTTTTCCAGACTCTTCATGGCAGTATGGGTGGTGGGTAAGTTCCTGTTTGTATTAGTCCATTCTCACCCCACTATGAAGAAATACCCCAAACTGAGTAATCTGTAAAGAAGAGAGGTTTAATTGACAATTCCACATGGCAGGGGAGGCTTGAGGAAACTTAACAATCATGGCGGAAGGCACCAGGGCAGCAGGAGAGATAATGGGTGCCAAGTGAAGGAGGAAGCCCCTATAAAACCATCAGATCTCGTTAGAACTCACTCACTATCACCGCTATCATGAGAACAGCATGGGGGAAACTGCCCTCATGATTCAATTGTCTCCACCTGGTGCTGTCCTTGACACATGGGGATTATTACAACACAAGGTGAGATTTGGGTGGGGACACAGCCAAACCATATCACTGTCCATGGTCTCCATCACTTCACAGTGCTTCTGATGCCTTTGACACCTTGATTTCTTCCTCTAGGAACGCTGGATTAAGTGGCCCCAAGGATGTATCCCAGTTGTATCCTTCTGTGACTTTAATACGCCCCTCTCTGTAATCTTGGTTTCCATTACTTGGATCCTTCTCGTTTCTCTAATAACAGACACTTGCAGAGAATGTTGTCCTTTCTGCACAACTTTCACACGTATCTCCTTGAATTCTCACAGCCTTCCTGCAAGGCAGTTAGCACTAACTCCTTTGTAGAGACAAGGAAACTCAGGCTGACAAATGCAAGTGAACTTGTCCTGGGTGTGCCGACTTTAAGTGCCCTGCTCTGCACTCCACCCACACCGCCTCGTTGACGGCCTTTCTCTCTCTGGCCACCCTGTTCCTCCTTTTTCTCTTGCCAATCCATTAGGGGTCAAACCCAGAGCCCAAGCTTTGCTTTTGGCTTGTTTCCCAAGAAACCAGCTTTATTTGGAAGCTCACCCAATTACACCGTTTCATTACTATCTGTTGAGAGATGATGCTCACCCCCGGCTCATAGCCAATATGCTCTCCCCCACCCACATGCAAGATTGCATTATGTTTCTGTGGGCCCCAGTCAACTTTGCCTTCCTGTACCACTTCCTCCACATAGCCACGTTTTCCAATTATATTGTCATAAAGATGAATATCTTAGCATGTATTAAAACATTTTCTTTGACTTTTTTTCCAATCATAAAATAAATTAAAATATTTTCATGAGCCCCTGAAAGTACTGTAGGCCCTAGGCACTGTGCCTATCCTACCTAGTGGATACCTAGGCCTTGGCTACATGATTCTTCCATATTCCGAGACTAAGGAAATAGTCATCCAAAAGGGTTAAGGAACAAGCTAGGAATAGTTTCTAGCTTCCTGAGTGGAAATTTTCCACCACCCTGAGTGGAAAGTTTCACAATTCACAGAGCATAGAGTAGAGTGCTTCTCAGTAGGCTGTTAGTCCTAGACTAAATGCTGCTCTGCTCCCATCTCAGAAAACTTAAAAACAAGTCCTGAAAGAACTAAATGGTTTCCAAGTAACTTAAATGTGTCACAGAGTAAAACTCAGGAATACCTAGAGGAATACAAAAATATCCAGCACCCCAAAAAGCAAAATTCACAACGTCTCTGTTATCCAATCAAAAATTACCAGGCATGCAAAGAAGTGATAAAATAAGCCCCATAATGAGAAAAATGAGTCACTCAAAGAAAGCCAGAAATAACACAGATAATAGAATTAAAAGACAAGGACACTTAAACAGTGATAATAAAGGCATTAAACACATTCAAGAAGCTAGAGGAAAGATTGAACATTTTAGTAGATATAGAGATGATGCATTAAAGCCTCCAATCAAACATCAAGAGAAGAAAACATCAAAAGATGAAAACCACAATGTCTGAGATGAAAAATACGCTGGCTGGGATGAATAGCAGATTAAACATTGTAAAAGAAAAGGTTAGTGCACTTGAAAATACAGCAACAGAACAACTGAATAGATCCAAAACAAAACTTAGAGATGAGTTAGAAAAGCTTAAAAAATGATCAGAGTATTTGTGGGTCATTTCATCGGCGTTCCCAAAGAAGCTGGGGAGGGCTGAAAAATATTTGAAGATTTCATGGAAGTTTCTAAGCTTGATGAGAATGACAAACCTGCAGATTCAAGAAGCTCAATAAAATCCAAGCATAAGAAACACAAACACTACATCGGGGCACATCACAAATGTATTAGTTTCCTAGGTCTGCTGTAACAAAAACTATGTGGCTTAAAATAAATTTATTCTGTCACAGTCCTGGAGGCCAGAGCCTGAAATCAGGATGTTGCCAGGGCCATGCTCTCTCTGAAGGTCCTAGGGGAGGAGGCTTCCTTGCCTCTTTGTAATTCTGGTGGCTGCCACCAATCCTTGGTGTTCCTTGGCTTGAAGCATCAGTCCCATCTTTACTTCCATCATCATGTAGCATTTTCTTTGTGTGTCTTTGTCTCCATACAACGTTCTCTTCTCTGTGTATCTATGTTCAAATTTCCCTCACCTTATAGAGACACCAGTCATTAGATTGGGGCCCATTCTAATCTGGTATAACTGCATCTAAACTTGATTACACCTGGAACAACCATATTTCTAATCAGGTCACATTCACAGGTACCAGGGGTTAGGACTTGAATGTATTATTTTGTGGTAACACAATTCTACCCACTTTAATAATCAAATTACTTAAAACCAGTGATTAAGAGAAAATAATTAAAGCAGCCAAATGGGTTAAAAAATTGTATGCACCATACACAGAGGAACAAAAATAAGAATGATAGCAGATTTTTAACTAGAAACAATACAAGCCAAAAAAAAAAAAAGACAATGGAGCAACATCTTTAAATTACTGAAAGAAAAGAGACGTCAACATAGAATTTTATGTCCAACAAAACTGTGCCTTATAAACAAAGGCCAAATAAAGACTTTTTCAGACATACAAAAGCTGAAAGAACTAATCACCAGCAGAAATACACTCTAAGAAATCTTAAAGAAAGTCTTCCAAGTAGAAGGAAGATGACACCAGAAGGAAACATGGATCAACCAAGAGAAAACGAGCACTAGAAATAACTGTGAGTAAATATAAAATAATTTGTATAATAATTTATATATATTTGATTTTATTATAATTATTTAATAATTATTGTTATTTAAATATATTTAAAAAGTAATTGGCCATTTAAAGCAAAAAATAATAAAATTGTATTCTGGAGTTTATACTCTGTTTAGAATAATATATGATAACAACAGCATAATGACCAGGTGGAGAGAAATGGAAATATACTATTTTAAGGTATTTATAGTATACAATAAGTGATAACTGATAATTATGGTGATAAGTTGCACTGTAAATCTTAATGCAACCACTAAAATAACACAATAGATATAGCTAATATGCCAACAAAGGAGATAAAACAGAATCATTAAAAAATTCATCATCCTAAAAGAAGACAGAAAAACATTAAAAAAGGCATGAAGAATAAATAGGACAAGAAGAAAACAAATAGATACATGGAAGATTTAAACCTAACCATATAAATCATCACACGAAATATAAATAGTCTAAAACACCACTTAAAGTCAGAGACTGTCAGATTGGCTAAAAAACAAACAAACAAACAAACAAACAAAAAACCCACAACTCAACTATATGCTGTACAAACTCACCTTAAATAACGAGATACAAGTTGATTCAAAGTAAAAATAACGGAAAATTATATATCCTGTGTACACTCATCTAAAGAAAGTTGGAGTGGCTATATTAATATAAGACAGGGTGGATTTCAGAACAAAGAATATCACTAGCAATAAAGAGGGTCATTTTGTAATACAAGAGGGTCAGCTCATCAAGAGGATATAAAAATCTTAAACATTTCTGCATCTCGTGACAGAACTTCCAAATATATGAAGCAAAAACTAGCAAAACTATATGGAGAAACAGACACACCAACAATTAAAGTTGGAGATTTAAATACCTCTCTCTCATTGATAAAACTGGTAGAAAGAACATCAGTAAGGATACAGAAATCTTGAACAACACAATCAACCAACTTGACTTAGTTGACATTTACAGTATACTTCACCTAATGATGGCAAAATATATGTTCTTCTCAAGCATACATGAAACATTTACCATAATAGATCCTATTCTGGTTCATACAAGAAGTCTCAATAAACCCAAAAGCATACAATGTTTTTTGACAACAATGGAATTAAATTAGAAACTGGTAATAGACCTCTGGAAAATATTCCAATATTAGGAAACTAACACATTCTAAATAATCCATAAGTCAAAGAAGAACTCAAAAGAAAAATTTAAAAATAGTTTGAACTAAGCAAAAATGAAAACACAATGTATCCAGATTTGTAAGATCCCATGTAAGGCAGGGAAATTTATAGCAGTAAATACCTGTATTATAAAAGAATACAGGTCTCAAGCCAATGTCCTGAGCTTCCAAGTAGAAACTAGTAAAATGGAGAGAAAAGTAAAGCTAAAGTAAGCAGGAGAAAGAAAATAATAAGATTAGGGCAGAAATCAATTAAATATAAAATTCAATAGAAAATTTTAGAGAAAAATCAATAAAATTTGGTTTATTCAAAAGGCAATAAAATTGATAAACCTGTAGAATGACTGATCAGGAAAAAAACGTAAACAAATTGCCAATGTCAGGAATGAGAGAGGTAAGATCACTATGAATTTTATGGATATTAAGATAAGGAAATATTATGCAAATACATTACATAACTTAGATGAAAAGGAGAAATTACTTAAAAAAACCAAAATCTACCAAGGCTCATTCAGGAAGTAGATAATCCAAATGGTCCTGTATCTATTAAACAAATTAAATTTGCAATTAAAAATCTTCGTGCATAAAAAACTAAAGACCCAGAGGGCTTCACTGGCAAGTACCACCAAACATTTAAGGAAGAAATAATAACAGAATAATAACAATTCAAACTTTTCCAAAAAACCGAAAGATACCTCCCAGCTGATTCTATTAAGCCAGCATTACCAAAACCAGGTAAAGACATTACAAGAAAACTCAGACAAATATTCTTCATGAAAAAAGATGCAAAAATAGTTAAGAAAATTTTAACAAGTCAAATCCAACATTGTATAAAAGGGATACAAATCATGACCAAGTAGGTTTATCCCAGGAATACAAGGTTGAATTAAGACTCAAAAATCAGTCGAAATAATTCACAATATTTACAGACTAATAAGGAATGTCTGTATGATCATTTTCTGGATGCAAAAAAAACAGCTGACAAAATCTGAATCCATTCCTGATAAAAACAAACTTTCTGCAGACTAGAAAGAGAAGGAAAACTGACAAACAGCTTGTATGAAAAATCTACCGTTAACATCATATTTAATGGTAAAAGACTGGCATAGTTTGGCTGTGTCCCCACCCAAATTTCATCTTCAATTGTAGCTCCCGTAATTCCCACATGTCGTGGGATGGACCCAGTGGGAGATAACTGAATCATGGGGGTGGTTTCTCCCATACTATTCTCATGGTAGTGAATAAGTCTCACGAGATCTGATGATTTTATAAGGAATTTCCCCTTTCACTTGGCTCTCATTCTCTCTTGCCTGCCGCCATGTAAGGTGTGCCTTTTGCCCTCTGTCATGATTGTGAAGCCTCCGCAGCCACATGGAACTTGAGTCCATTAAACGTCTTTTTCTTTATAAATTACCCAGTCTCGGGTATGTCTTTATCAGCAGTGTGAAAACAGACTAATACAAGCCTAACATCAGAACAGATGAGTATTTCCCCTCTTACCACTTATATTAAAATTGTACTGGAGATAAAGTGCGACAGGGTAAGGGGGAAGGGGAAAAAGGTACACAGATTGGAAACAAGAAGTAAAACTGTCTCTATTTGCAGACGTCATATCTACGTAGAAAATCCCACGGAATCTACCAAAAAAAGAAACCACAATTGATAGGTGAGTTCAGCATTGCGGCAGGATACGGAATCAATGCACAAAAATCCATCAGATTTGCCTAAAGTAGCAATGAACAACTGGAAACTACAATTTTAAAAACAATACTATAACAATGCCATACAAATGGGAAATACTGAGGGGTATATCTAACCAAAGATGTGCAAGACCTGGATGCTGAAAACTATAAAGCATTATTAAGATAAATCAAATAAATTAATTAAATTTAATTAATTAAATGGAGAGCCATATTGTGCCCATGAATTAGAAGACCTAAGACTGTTAAACTGTAAATTCTTTCCAAATTGATTCTGATTCAATGCAAACCCTTGAAATCCCAGCAGAATTCTTTTTGTAGAAAACTGACAAACTGATTCTAAAATTCATACGGAAATGCAAAAGACCTTGGATAACCAAAAGCAACTTTATAAGAGAACAAAGTTTGACAAGTTACACTATCTAATTTTATTAAGGGTTATAAAATGATTTCATAAGTGATTAAGTGAAGATGTAAATTATTAAAGCTTATATTTCCAGAGACAGACTTAAAATCAATTATAATTATATATTAAAATATACAATTGTATAGAAAATTTATAGGAATTGGATCTTCAATTTGTATGCAGATCCTTCCCATGTCCCCTCCCAGACACTCATGTCAGTTCTGTTCCCAGAGCTGCTCACTCTCAGGGGATCACAAGGCCCCACCAATGGCTGCTGAGAAATCCACTTCCTGTGCAATGCTTTCAAGTGAACTTGTCAGGTTCAAGCTGTTCACAACGTTATTTTATTCTTAAAATAAAGAACAAAATCAACCTTCAGAGATACGTAGGGGATATTCATGCTGAATGATGAAAAAGGACCATTAAGTACCTTATTTGAAACCGCAGTACAACTTTAACTTCTGAACTCTCAGTGATTTTCACTGTTTACACTAGCTGATTCTAAAACTTATAATCTTTAGTAATCAAAACTGTATAGCATTGGCACAAAGGTAGACTAGATCAATGAAACAGAATACACAGTCCAGAAATAGATCTACACATATATGGACGATTGATTTTCAACAAATGTGCAACATCGATTCAGTTGAGAAAGGATGGTTGTCTGAGTCCACTCAGGCTGCTATGATCAAATACCATAATCTGTACCCTTCTAAACAACATAAATGTATTTCTCACAGTTCTGGAGGCTGAGAAGTCCAGGATCAAGGTGGCAGCAGATTCGGTGTCTGGCCAGGGCTCTGCTTCCTCATAGACTCACAGTCTTCTCACTGTGTCCTCCCAATGTGGAACGGACAAGGCAGGTCTCTGAGGCTCTTTTATAAGGGCACTAATGGCATTCATGAAGGCTCTGCCCTCATGACTTAATAAGATCCCCAAACACCCCACCTCCTAATACAATCACCTCGGGGATTAGGATCTCTACATACAAATCTGCAGAGGGTACAAACTTTTAGACCATACCAATAGCCTGTCAACAAATGGTGCTGGAATAATTGAATATCTATATGCAAAAAATAAACCAAACTTTAATTCATACTTTACACTGTGTACAAAAACAAACTCAAAATGGACCACAGGCCTAAGTGTAAAACCTTAAACCATACAACTTCTCATCTCAGGCAAAGATGTCTTAGACACAATACCAAAAACACAATACATAAAGGAAAAACTTGATAAACTGAGCTTCATCAACATTGAGAACTTCTGTTTTTGAAAGATACTGTTAAAAAAATAAAAAGACAAGTTACAGGCTTTGCAAAATGGATATCTAATAAAGGACGTATCTAGAATATAAAAAGGACTGTCAAAACTCAATACTAAGGTAACAACTGCCCAAAATGAGCAAAAGATTTTACTAGATGTGTCACCAAATAAGATAACCAGATGGCAAAGCAGCACATAGAAGAGGCTCAGGATCATTTGTTAGGGAAATGCAAATTGAAACCATAGTGAGATCCCACTGCACACCTGTTGGAATATCTAAACTCAAAACGATTGACCATGGCAAGCATCCAGGATGACGCAGCACACCTGGAACTCTCATAGCTGCTGGTGGTAACAACGTAAAATGTTACAATCACTTTGGAAAACAGTCTGGCAGTTTCTTAAATAGTTAAACATGCACCTATCATATGACCTAGGCATTTGACAGCTGGGTATATACCCAGGAGAAATGAAATCATGTGTTCATACAAAGATTAAAACATGAACTCCATAGCACGTTTATGTGTTATAATCACAAACTGAAAAGAACCCAAATGTCCGTCAGCAGATAAATGGATAAACCCACTGTGGTACATCCATGCGATGGAATACTACTTAGCAATGAAGAGGAATGAACCAATGAGACATGCAGCAACATGGATGAATCTCAAAATACTTACGTTGAGTAGGAAGCCAGATGATGGAAGAGTAAATGCTGAGTCCAATTTCAGAAATGCAAACTAGTCTTTAATGGCAGAAAGCGGATTGCCTTAGGACTGCGTCCTGAATATGGAGTAGGGGAAGCAGGCCCAGGAATAAGAGGTGTGAGGATATTTTTGGGGTGGTGGATACATTTGTTATCTTGACTGTAGCTATGATTTCATGGCTATATATGTATGTCAAAAAGTTATCAAATTATATACTTTGTGTGTAGTTTTTTGTGTAAATTACATTTTTTTTTTTTTGAGACAGGGTCTCACTCTGTCACCCAGGCTGGAGTGCAGTGGTGCAATCTCAGCTCACTGCAAGCTCCACCTCCCGGGTTCAAGCGATTTTTGTGCTTCAGCCTCCTGAGTAGCTGGGATTACAGGTGTGTGCCACCAAACTAATTTTTGTATTTTTATTAGAGGCAGGGATTCGCCATGTTGGCCAGGCTAGTCTTGAAATCCTGGCCTCAAGTGATCTCCCTGCCCCAGCCTCCCAAAGTGCTGGGATTACAGGTGTGAGCCACCACCCCCAGCCCTTGTGTTTAAAAAAATTAAATGCAACAGTGAGGTCACTGCAGTTTTAAAATAATTATCAACAGTAAAAACCAGGGGCCCCAACATTACCTCAGGATGTGACCCTGAAAGATGGCTGAAAAAGTGGGGGAAAACAAAAGCTACGAGTTTCATGCAGCCAGGTTGCCTAGTTCAAATGTGGATACTCAAAAAGACAGAAACTCACTTTGTGGGCTTCACCAACCTTCATCCCTAGCACCCCTCATCATACTGGTCAGCTACGAAAAATTAACCACTGGGCCAAATATTGTGATAGACACCTCACCAATGAAGATATATAGACACAAAGAAGCACATGAAAACATGCTCCACATCATGGGTCATCAGGGAAATGTGAACTAAAACAACGAGACATCACTACACACCTATTAACATGACCGAAATCCAGAACACCGACAGCACCAAATGCTGGTGAAGATGTGGAGCCACTGGAATTCTCATTCATTGCTAGTGAGAATGCAAAATGGCACAGCCACTTTGGAAGACAGTTTGGCAACTTCTTACAAAACTAAACATACCTCTCA
Organism: Homo sapiens; assembly: GCF_000001405.40. Classification (NCBI taxonomy): domain Eukaryota; kingdom Metazoa; phylum Chordata; class Mammalia; order Primates; family Hominidae; genus Homo; species Homo sapiens. The sequence continues at coordinate 10,435,240 of NC_000008.11, read as the reverse complement.
CTGTGCAATGCAGCAATCACAGTTCTTGGCATTTATCCAAAGAAGTTGAAAATTTAAGTCCACATAAAAACCTGCACACAGATATGTATAGCAATGTTATTCATAACTACCAAAACCTAGATATGTATAGCAATGTTATTCATAATTACCAAAACCTAGAAACAACCAACATACCCATCAGCAGGTGATTGGATAAACGAATGGCAGTACATCCAGACAATGGGATTTTATTCAGCACTGAAAAGAAATGTGCTATTGAGTCATGAAAAGACATGATGGAAACTTAAAGGCATACTTACTAAGTGAAAAAAGCCACTTTGAAAAGGCTACTGTGTGATTCCAACTATCTGACATTCTGGAAAAGGCAAAAGTATGAAGACAGTTAAAAGATCAGTGGTTGCCAGGGGTCAGGAGGGAGACAGGAATGAACAGGTGGATGGAGCACAGAGAATTTTTTGGTCAGGGAAACTATTCTCTATGATACTCTAACAGTGGATAGAGTCCAAACCCATAGGCTGTATAACACCAAGAACAAACCCGAATGTAAACTATGGACTCTGGGTGATAATGACGTGTCAATTTGGTTCATCATTTGTAACAAATGCACCACTCTGGTGGGGGATGGTGATAGTTGGGGAGCTTGTGCATGTGAGGGCATGGGGGGCATACGGAAATTTCTGTATCTTCCTCTCAATTTTGCTGTGAACCTAAAACTGCCCTAAAAAGTTAAGTCTTTGTAAAAACAAAAGCAGCATGAACACATATGGCACTATCACCACAGCTCTTAGGTTCCTTCTTTCAATGGCTCCACCCTGGGGCCTTGGCACATGCCTCTGCCTGGAAAATGTCCCTCTCCCTGGAACGTGTCCCTCTCCCAACTGTACCTTCGCACCCACTTTGCGTGTTACTTCTCATGGATCTTGCAGAATTCAGCCCAAATGCAGCTCCCTCAGCTTTGATCGGATCCCCTCATTTTTACTCTTTCACAGCACACTATGATTTTCCCTGAAAGCTCATCCACTGTTTTTAATTATGGAGTTGTGACACTGCTCGTTTAATATCTAATTTCCCCACTAGAACAGTTTTATGGAGGCTGGCAACCATGTTTGGCTGACATGATGCCCCCGGCATCTAGCACAGACCCTGGCACACAGCCGGGACCGAATAGATTCATGTTGAGAGAATTAATTAACTAATGGCTGAATGAATAAGAGAGCAATGAGAAGCAGCTCTTAATGTGAGCAATGAACTCCTCTGACTTGCCAGAGATTTTTACACGTTATCAAGGAGCTGGGGAACCTCCGTCCAGAGCCTTTCCTTTTGCTTCCACCTCCAAGGGGGCCACTTGGTCGCAGAAGAGCCACTGTACAGCAGGGGAGGAGAGGGGCCCACAGAGATGTTATCTTCTGTGAAGATGCACCGACTAAGTGACTAGTGGGTGCGCAGGGACATCTGCCTCGAGCCCACTGCTGACATCAGGCAGACACGTTCTTGGCATCCCAGTATCCCAATGTCCCAGCTGGAACTCAGAGCACATTCCAAAGAACGTGTAGCCTGTTCTCTGATGGAAATATTTAAAATTTGGGGGGCAGAAAGGACATCTCAGAGTCAACATATTGTTAAAAAATGTTGTTCCCTGGAAATTTTATAAACTATTCAGACAAACTAATAATGTTTAGAAAATGTCACTCATCACTCCAGGGACAGGGTGGACTCACAAAAGCGAATGAGATTTTTTTAAAGTTCTCAGCAAATAATCCCCTTCTCTCCTTTACAAGAAGACAATAATAATATCTACCATGTAGAGAACACTTACTGTATCTCAGGCTCTGTACAAAGTATATACATACATACATACATATACACACACACACACACACATATATATGTGTGTGTATGCATAGTATTTAATCTTCCCCAAGTCCTGCAACATGGGTATGATTATCGCTGTTTTACACACAAAGAAACTGAGCCTCAGAATGATCATGTGACTTCTGCAGGGTCACTCAATCTATAAGAGGCAGAGCTAGCATTTTCCCTCAGGTCTGTCTCACTTCACTCCAGCTGATCGCTCCACCAGCCTCTGTGGAATTTCCAGATGTCAGCAAAGCACCTGTTCCAGGCTCTCTGATCACCATGCTGTGGCTAACATCATGATACCCTGTTCTTTAGATGACATCTCTTCGGTGAACTTACCCCCGGCTGAGACATTACATCCAAAGCTTTAGTCAGCAATTCTGGTTTCACCTGGAAGGAAAGCTCTGGGTCTCACCTGGAAACCAAGTCTGATAGGTTGGCAGGGCCTTCCCAAGGTCCTTGGTGTAGAGGAATTCTGAAAGTGTGCCTGGGCTTGGCAGGAAAGAGCGTGGCAATCTACCAGCACTTTCTGCTAGAAGTTGGGGGTGGCAGGGTCAACAGGGGCAGTAGAATGACACGCCATGGCCATCACAACAGAAGCTCTAAGACGTTAAACAAGCAACATGTCCCTAAGTGAACTGTCCAGTTCAATTTTTGTTTATTTATTTTTCTTGAGATGGAGTCTCGCTCTTGTTGCCCAGGCTGGAGTGCAGTGGTGCAATATTGGCTCGCTGCAACCTCTGCCTCCCAGGTTCAAGTGATTCTCCTGCCTCAGCATCCTGAGTAGCTGGGATTACAGGTGCCAACCACCACACCTGGATAATTTTTTTGTATTTTTAGTAGAGACGGGGTTTCACCATGTTGGCCAGGCTGGTCTCGAACTCCTGACCTCAGGTGATCCGCCCACCTCGGCCTCCCAAAGTGCTGGGATTACAGGTGCGAGCCACCATGCCCAGGCCCGGCTCATTAAGTATTTTCCATAATGATTTTCAAGAACACATTGAGAACATGTGAATGAAACCCACGCATGACACAACACTGGGAGACAGAAACAGTATTTCATCTGCCAAACAGGGTGACAACATAGGGTCAGGCAGCAATGCCCACCCCTGCATCATTTGGGTTTGCCACTGGTGCCACCAAAATTTGAAATTCCCCAAGAGAAGGTATTGTTTTATTCACTATATTGGGAGAGGGGGGAGTACAGGAGACTTTACTCCATGGATCAGGAAGCTAAAATGGCGATTTTGTCAGTTATTAGGTATATCTATCTCATGATGTTTTAATAGGCTGTATTGTTATTTAGGTCTAATAAGGCCAACAGACCTAGAGATGGCTGCTGTTAACAGTTTGTTATTCACAGGTCCCAAGAGAAGCGGAAGAACTGGAGCAGAGGGGGGTGGAAACTGTGGACAGAGCCTCTACTGTGGTTTCCATGGGAAGGAATGGCAGAATGAACAGGCTCAGGACAGGCGCGTGTGAAAAATTTCAGCAGCTCTGGGGCACAGGGGCTGTCCCTAGCTGTCAAGCACTTGGCCTGGGGCACTTAGGAAAGCTGGAGAGCGGCCTGGAGTGTGAGAGCCAGACAGAGGAGGTGGTTGGGCTGTGAACTCTGGATCAATTGGTTTGTATTTAAAAAACTGCACCCTTGCCGGGTGCAGTGGCTCACACCAGTAATCCTAAAACTTTGGGAGGCCGAGGTGGGTGAATCACCTGAGGTTGGGAGTTCGAGACCAGCCTGACCAACATGGAGAAACCCTGTCTCTACAAAAAATACAAAATTAGCTGGACATGGTGGTGCATGCCTGTAATACCAGCTACTCGGGAGGCTGAGGCAGGAGAATCGCTTGAACCCGGGAAGCAGAGGTTGCAGTGAGCCGAAATCGCACCACTGCACTCTAGGCTGGGCAACAAGAGCAAAACTCTATCTCAAAAAAAAAAAAAAACAAAAACAAAAATAAACCTGCACCCCTAAGAGAAAGACTCCTCCCAGTGAGAAGCAGGGGTGAGGGGGCAGGCAGGAGGTCAGGGGCATATGCGCGTGGGGTGAATGGATACTGACAGATCAAGCTGCAGAAGCTGGAATCATGGCTAATACACACTACGCATTCTGGGAGTGAGGAAATAACTTCAGGCTTGTTCTGACCCACCGGACCCACTGAGAGACAGACTTGGAGCAAGATCCCATCTGTCACCTGGTCTTCATAAACCCCACTCTGCAGTGGACCTTGGTCTTTCACGTTTAGGAGCAGTGGGTAATAACTCCTAGAAGGCCTGGGCTATTTCCATTTCACCAGTACAGAGTCACCTTGGTAAAAGATCCCGGTTCCTTCTGGGGAAGGCTTAGGGCAAGATTCAAGGGATGTGGCACTTGAAACACTGCAAGATCCCTCCTCGAAGGGCTGGACGCCCCATCAGTTTTAGTTCGCTCTGCTTTGAACATGGAAGTTGGCCTAAGCTTTTCCCCAGACTCTACAAGCAACTTGCTTGTAGGACAGACACACTCGCTGCCTGTGCCTACCTCAGGGGTCACTCCTCCAATTCCTTTGCTCCTTCTTTCCCAGACCTCTGCATGTCAGAACACCCCGGCACTCAATGTTCAAACCCTTTCTCTCTCTCCGGTCTCTCCCTAAATGATATCAGCTGGTCCCGTGGCCTCAAACGCCATCTATATGCTGGGGATTCTGAAATTTCTCCTCCTCTGATCCCTTCCAAGATCCAGACCCATGCAACCAACTGCCCTGCTCCATATCCCCACCGGGACATCCGAGGAGCATCTCAAATTTGTGTGGCCAAAACTGCACAATTCATCCCATTACCTCTACCTCACATCCACCTTCCTACAAGCAAATCATACCCCCAGCCAACCAGTTGCTCCGGTTAAAACTAAATGAGGGAGAAAGTGTGTAAAAAGCTCCAATGCTGCCCAATTAAATAGAATAAACTAAAAAGCCCATTATGTCATCCTATAGAAGGCTCTCTGTGACCTGGTTCCACCTGCCTCACTGAGGGTTCTCTCTACTGATGGAATAGCTTCCACTTCCACTAGTGTATTCCCAACATGCTTCCTCCTTTAGGTCCTGCATCATTTAGTTCAGGAGTCCCCAACCACTGGGCCACGGACTGGTACTGGTCGGTGGCCTGCTAGGAACCAGGCCTCACAGCAGGAGGTGAGTGGCAGGCAAGTAAGCGAAGCTTCATTTGTATTTACAACCGCTCCCTATTGCTCACATTACCTCCTGAGCTCCACCTCCTGTCAGATCAGTGGTGGCATTAGATTCTCATAGGAGTGTGAACCCTATTGTGAACGGTGCATGTGAGGGATCTGGGCTGTATGCTCCTTATGATAATCCAATGCCTGATGATCTGTCACTGTCTCCCATTGCCCCCAGATGGGACCATCTAGTTGCAGGAAAACAAGCTCAGGGCTCCCACTGTTTCTACATGATGATAAGCTGTATACTTATTTCATTATATATTACAATGTAATAATAATAAAGTGCACAATAAGTGTGATGTGCTGGAATCATTCCAAAAACATCCCCCTTCCTCCCACCACCCACTTGTGGGAAAATCGTCTTTCATGAGACTGGTCCCCGGTGCCAAAAAGGCTGGGGACTACTGATTTAGTTCATTTCGTTCTCAAGTGATATGGTTTGGATCTGTGTTCCCCCCTAAATCTCCTGTCGAATTATAATCCCCAGTATTGGAGGTGGGGCCTGGTGGGAGGGGACTGGACCATGGGGGCGGCTTCTCAGGGTTCAGCACCATCCCTCAGTGCTGTTCTCCTGAAGGAGGTCTCCTGAGATCTCACGGTTTAAAAGTATGTGGCACCCCGACTTGATCCCCCTCCCGCTTCCATCATAATTCTAAGTTTCCTGAGGCCTACCCAGAAACCAAGCAGATGCCAGAATCATGCTTCCTGTAGAGCCTGTGGAACTGTGAACCAATCACACCTCTCTTCTTTATCAATTGCCCAGTCTCGGGCAGTTCTTTATAGCAACGTGAGAAGGGACTAACACATCAGGTCTCACCACCTTGCGAAGGCCTCCGTGACCAACCTCGCTAAAACACCCCTGAACACGATCTCACAGCCCCCAGACGCAACTGACTGCCCTAGCCCATTCATCATCTTCGCATCCCTCATCAGAACCTGACATCATCTTATTTCATCATTTCTTTCCATGTTTATGACTCCTTGTCTGGAATGTAAAGGTTCTTAAGGGCAGGGATTGAAGGGGTCTGCTATAACTAGAACAGCCTGTGACGTGAGGGATGCGACAGGCACCTGGAGAACAACTACTATTACTTAGGTTGCAAGGAGCTAGAGGTGTGCATGTTTACCAAAAATTTCATCCGAACTGTTCCCATTTGGAGGTAAACGGCTCTGAGGCTTTTTCCCTCCCAAGCTGTTTAGAGCTCTTAAATTCATCTTACAGCACTTAAAAATATTCTACCTAAGCAAGCCAAAGACAGAGGAGATGTCAGGCAGTTGGCATTATTGGACTGTAGGTTTTTATTAAAACAAACATTTCTCATAGCTCTAAGCAAAGCATTAGAATTCATCAAGCGGACTCACATCTTTTCTCTGCACAGAGAGGGCTGAAAAGGGAGAGAAAGCCCCTTATGTATGTCTAGATTTGGTAAAGCGAAGGATTTCAGCGAATGAGTCACTGAGGCTATACACGTTTGCAAATTGTAAGGCACTGGCGGGCAGAGAGCACAGATAAAGGACTTCTGGGGTCCCCCATCCTGTCCAGCAACCTCCCAGCTCACACCTTAGCTTCTACCAAGAAGGGTGAACACAGCATCCCTGCTATCTTCACTCAGACCCCAGAAGACACAGGAAACTGCACAGCTCCACTCCCACCATAACTTATTAGGAGATAAGTCACATTTTATCAACTTGCCATCGCGCCTCCTATAGATTATACTTCGGTAAACCCAATCTGTATAAATTCCTTTGTACTTTGTGCACTTTAAATGCCACGATTGTGAATCACACAAGCATTGCCCAATTTGTTGAAAGCATTTTTACTGGAACCTCAAAGGCCCACCATGTGGGGAGAAATTATTTTTTAATACCCACTGGGCAGGACACGCCGGTGCCCCCAAGGCCGCAGTAGCCATTGGGGTTCTTGCTCAGGTACTGCTGGTGGTAGTCTTCCGCATAGTAGAAAGTCTGTCCCTCCCGGATGTCGGTAGTGATGGGGCCGAAGCCGTGCTCTGAAAGAACCTGTGGGGACACAGAAAGGCGCCATCAGCTCCCATGCTAGAGAGACAGCACCTGCGAGGGGTGGCACTGAGGGGCCAGGGCTGCAGTGAGCAGACGCGTGGCTTGGGATGTGCAGTGGGTCCCCTTTAGGCCGGGCTCTCCGCATTCCAAGTGGAGTGACGCTGGGCAGGGACTTACCTTGCTGTGCCTCAGTTGACTGGGAACTGAAATCAGGTTTATATCAGATTTTTAAATCAGTAACTTACACTCTACCCCCACACCCCTGCCATCCCAAGTGCATGTTGGGGGCCCTGGTTTGGACGCTGTGGGTCTGTTTGAAACTGGCCCCAAAGCTCTCCCAGGGGAAACAGCAGGTAAGCATGGCTCCCTGGCTGTCCCCGAGGGTAAATGGATGTCCCTGAGAGGGCTCAGCAGGGCCACAGTGGGAGGGAATGAAACGGGTGGACAGGGTAGGGATGGACAGAATGGCTGCAGCTCTACCTGGCACTATCGCATCTGCCCACCAGCTCAGGAACAGGACCCCAGCCCACTCCCAGGATAGACAGAGTGTCCCCTCACTCGCTGTGGCTCTGGGGAGAAGGACCCTGCTGGCACGTCCTGGTGAGCAGGCGGTCGCTTGGGGTCTGTACTCTGAACTCCAGGCCAGGGAGCCTGGGGAGTCAGGGCAGGGCAGGATGTGGCCTGTGGCTCATCACCACCCTCTGCGTCCTAGTTTACGTCCCGGTGACATCTGCTGCCAGGGAAAGACACGCATCAACACAAGCTGGGAAAGGAGAGAGGGGCTATTTGGGGCAGGAGACAGACTAAGAAATAGACATTGCTCCCCGTGGATTTCAGCCTGCTTCTTCTCCCCTTTGGATTTCAGCTGTGCCCTAATTCTTTCCTGTTGCAGGCTGCTTGAAGCATGTGAGCACACGGCCACAGAGGCTCAACCCACTCTCACTGCCTCCATTCAGTAAAGAGCTGCAAAGCAGAGCCAGGACCCATGTTTTCACGAGGGGACCAACCACACTCTGACTGTCCACTGGTCCATGTGAGATGAAGTCTTCAAGTCTGCCAAGCACAGTGCATCCAATATTAATATTCAGCATGATTCACTGCGTCAGGTTTTTCTTGAGCAACGTCACTTATTTCCTGCATCTCTGTTTCGCCGTCTGAGCCAGCAGAAGGCCCAGCAGGTCCGGAACGACAAGGGGCAGGGTCCCCGCCAAGACGGGTGGGTTAGACCAGCCAGCTCAGAGGCAGCCAGTTTTCTTGCAGGGGTTAGGAATGAGAATGAGGAGCCATTCTAATGTCAGTTTTGACAATTTTTTGTAAACTAGCAATTATTGAGGGTCTACCATATGCCATGATCTGTGCAAAGACTTCACACATGTTAATTTTAGCCTCACAACAGCCACGGGAAGGAAGTCCTATTATTATCACCCATATTTAAAAGTGTGTATCAGATACTGTGCCTTGGTCCCTGACATTCTCAGCTCACCCTCGTACCGCACAGGCGGAAAGCTCGCAGACTGCATTCCCCAGATTCTGCTGCCAGCAAGGCCCTGCTTCAGATTCCACCAATCAGAGAAACTCACACGAAATTTGGCAGGCTACGTAAAAGAAGAAGCTATTCTTTGCAGGGCGCAGCTGTGAGGATGAGCGCAGGACTCTGCAGGAAGCAGACCCAAGACTCTGCCAGCTCCTCCTGGCCCTCTCCAGAGAGTCCGTGGAATGCCATCAGCAATGACTTTTGGCAATTTCAGTAACTTCTTGGTATCCTGAAATCTTGGGGTGCTTTTCCCTGACCTTCACGCGAACAGCCCTGCTAACGATTCTGTAAACACCGAATTCCTTCTGTAGAATCCATCCAGCTTGACGGAATGGAAGTTTTCTGTTTCCATGACCGGGCCCCAGCTCACACAGCATTTGGCTCCAGACTGTTTTCAGGGAACAGAACCTCTCTAAGAATGAGCACGTGGGGTTGGCTAACTAACAGGGGTAGATTTAGAGTTAGCAATGACCTCCTTGGAAATGGAGTATGTGCTGGCCGTGTGACTTGAACCATCGCTAGCATTTGCCTGTGAAGAGGCTGCCCACTGAAGGAAGGCTTTGGGATGCCAGGTGGCTGTGGAAATGGAATATTCTGGTGACAACAATAAGGACGACGTCTGTGGGGGGTGCCATCTGCTCCAGGCAGCACCAGAGAGTTTGGAGAAGAGAAAAAGGCACGGTGAGGGCCTGACATTCCTGGTCCAAGGCAAGTTCGGAGAACTGAGGGATGTAAAATAATCTGTCATCTCTTACAGCTGTATCCAAATAGCAAATAAAAAATCGGATCCCAAGGGCTCCGGGTTCACAACGCCAGTGGGATTCACAGGCTTACTTGGCCCAGAGCCCGGGTGTGCTCTTGCCCACAGGTGTGATCGTCCTCAGAGGACCTACCCACTCCGCGGCTGACACCGCCTGCTGAGACGGGCCTCGCTCCCGGCCCTGAGCTGCCTGTGCCTGCGTACTGGAGGCGTCCATGTTCTATGGCCACACCTGTGCAGACCTCCCAGCCTGCCTGTGTCTGAGATCCACCCTCTTCCCTGTCCTCCTAGGCACAAGGATGGCCTCCCAGGCACAGCTGCGGTCTCCAGAAGATTCTCTGAGCACAGCGTGGGAGGAAGTGGGTCCACGCAGGGAGGCCAGCGCCACTGCCCACCTCCCCTCCTCCTCCTCCCTTCGCAGCCACCTGCAGGCCCAGGGACCCCCTTGGGGAGCCCGGAAGGGAGGTTTGCCGGTGGGCCTCGGCAGTACCAGCCTCAGCCACAAGATGGCAGACACTTCACTAAGAAAAACCTCCAAGGCGAGCAGGGAAACCGCAGCCCACCCACGCCTCTGCACCGCCCTGGGCCTGGGACCTCATGGACGGGTCCTGTCGGGTGGCGGATAGAGGTGGCGGCCACCGGCCTGCGATGAGCGTGGCGTCAATCTGCAGGCTTCGGTTGTCCTTCCCAGCACTCTCCCCCATCCCCCCACCCACCGCCAAAACTGAGGGAAAGGACAAAAAAGAGACTAGGTGCGAAAGAAGGGGAAAGGGACCACGGAAGGTCACATCTAGTGTCTTCCTGGTCCCCCTTCGTCCGCTGCCTCACTTGCAAGTCACTCCCCTCGGACAACTCCATGCATTCTGCGAGGTCTCCCTCCGCCACTGTTCAGATTCACGTCTTGATTTCAGTGGGCTTCGCAGCCCCCCTGCTCCTTCGCTGTCCCCCGGGGTGGGCCCCGCTGTGTGCGGCACAAGTGACAGCATTAAGTTAATCATGACATCTCCCTCCAGGGCCCTGCAGGCTTGGCGATCTTCAAAGAGTGCACTGCCCTGACTGTTCACCAGGGAGCCTGGGAGATCTGGGCCTGCCCCAGCACCTCCCCTAACCCAGGAGGGGGCCTCTCCCTGGCCCCGAATCAGAACACCCCAGGCCTTTCTCTCCGATCCAACCCACCCCGGGCCCTTCTCCCCGTCCAGTTTAGCTCCGCCGCAGACCCTTCTCCCTGATCCCACTCCACCCTGGCCCCTTCTCCCTGTCCCTCTCCACCCCAGGCCCTTCTCCCGAATCCCACTCTATCCCGAGTCCTTCTCCCCATCCCACTCCACCCCAGGCCCTTCTCCCCGATCCTATTCCATCCCGAGTCCTTCTTCCCGTCCCACTCCACCCCGGGCCTTCTCCCCATTCCTGCTCCACCCCAGGCCCTTCTCCCCGATCCTATTCCATTCCGGGTCCTTCTCTCCATCCCACTCCACCCCGGGCCTTCTCCCCATTCCCGCTCCACCCCAGGCCCTTCTCCCTGATTCACCCCTCAGCATCGTCTCCCTCACCATCTTCTACCTTTTCAGCCTTTCCTTCCCCTCTGCGCACTATTTTCTTTGGTGTTGTTCATTTTTACCTGTTTCCCGAATGTTCCATTCCCTTGCACACGATCTCCAAGGAATGTCCTTTCCTCTTTTCCATCGCAGGAACTCCTATCCATCTCTGAGGACCCAGACCAAATGTCCCCACCTCTATGAAACCTGCCCGCTTCTTGAAGGCAGAAGCTGCTCCACATACTATGTTCGCGTGGCATCGCAATGCCCGACAGCGCTGATGACGCTGCATTACAAAAACCCTTCTGTTCTCCAAGCCACTTCCACTACCCAGGACTGTCTGTGTCTCTCCCTCATCTCGGGGCTTTGTGCACTGTGTGCAATTAATGAATGAATGAATGAATGAATGAGAAAATGAACTATGGATTCTTGGGATCTCCTGGAGATTCTCTCTGCTTCTGGATTCCACCTGGGTCCCTGTTGCTACCTCAAGACCCAGCACCTCCTCTAGGGCCTGGGAAGGAATGGTGGGAGGGAGAAGGGGACGACGGACTCAGGCAGCCACTTTCCGTGTCACAGAGTCCTGGCCAGTTCCATGGGCAGGTTCAGTCTTTAGATGGTGGCCCTGTGGTGCTGTGTCCTTGCAGGGAGCACAGAAGAATGCCTCTCTGTCATCCACGGCTCCTGAAAAAGCCCATTTGCTCTTCTGCAGGGAGAGTGGGGTGGTGCAGGAGCAGGGGGAGATAGGGGACGAAGACTGTCACCTCTGGGTTACAGATGGTTCCTCTGCTGCCACCCCCCCTCCCCGCCCCACCCCAAGTCCACTGGTCAACCTGGCACCGGGGCCAAGCTATGCAGGTGCCGGCATGGGTGCATGCCAGTCTCCTGAGCCCCCTTCCTGCACTATCAACACACACCAGGTGTCCCAGTCAGTGATGGGGCAGGGGTTCCTAGGTAGCGTGTTACTGATCATGGCTGACACACCAATGCTTGTGGTCATCTACTTTTCCTTAACGAATTGGAGCAGATGGAACGCCTTAGATCCGGATCTCGGTTTTACTGCCTCTCATTGGCCCTCAGGAGCAGGCAGGAGAGAACTGTCAGGAGAGCTGGAGAGGAGGAAGAGGGTGGGGACCCAGGTAATGCGCAGCCTGGTGGCCTCTCCCCTCTCCCGTCGTCCATGGGGAGGACCCATAAAAACGGCTGACCATTCGTGACTGCCGAGACAACTGCCCACATCACCTACTGAATCTTTAGGCGCCTTCCAATAAGGAGGCTGCACCCGTGACAGTGGGATGTCACCAGAAACACTGTGCTGGACAGAGGGAGGCAGGGCAGTGGCGCTCCGGCCTCAAGACCCAGGTGCCCTCAGGGGACTGTGCTCATCCTCCAGGCCCTATGGGGCCACTTTTGGGGATGGAGAATGAGTTCAGGTCATGACGGACTTGCCTGGTTGAAGTAACTGCCTAGATTGGTTCAAAAGCCTGGAAAGAGGTGCTCTTGCTGCTCAACCCCAGGGCCTGCCTCTGCATAGGGTAGCCCCGGCCCAGCTCCCTACTGCAGCCTGTGGGGCCAGGTACCCCCAGGGCTGTACTGACAGCCAGTCTCACATGCCCCTACCACGTTCCACTTCAGGGGAGGAATGACCTGAGCCTAGCTCCCGGCAACTTTTCTCTCTCTTACTGACTCCAAGTATCTTGACTTTTGCTTGTGGCATTTTTTTGTGTGTGTGTCTTGCTGACCTTTTAGAAAGAAGTCAGCAGGACTGCATACAGTAACACATGTGGGGCGACACCTGGCCCAGGGAATTTCTGGAAGGTCACCTAACAGAATTGGTCATTTGTGTTTTTCTCACAGACTCTTCCTCAATGACCCCAGGAAGCCTCCTGTGCCTTCCTTCTGTTGTCATTTTCTCCTTGGACTCAGCTTTTCTGCCTGTGAAATGGGCCCCTTACCTAGTTCACTGTGCTAGGACGAGGAATGCAGAGAGGGCACAGAAAGTGCACCATGCCCTGCCTGGCTTTTCTGTTGCTGAGACAGGGTCTTGCTCTGCCACCCAGGCTGGAGTACACTGGTGCAACCATGGTTGATGGCAGGCCCTACCTTCTGGGCTCAAGCGATCCTTGTACCTCAGCCCCTCCAGAAAAGCAGGGCCTACAAGTGCGTACACCACCATACCTGGCTAATTTTAATTTTTTTATAGAGACAGTGTCTCCCTATATGTTGTCCACGCTGGTCTCAAATTCCTGGCCTCAAACGATCCTCGCATCTTGGCCTCCCAAAGTGCTGGGATTACAGGTGTGAGCCACGACACAGCCTGCCTGGCGTGTTTTAACTACTGCAGAGTACTGGCTCCATTTCCCAAAAATCCCCACCCAGGGGTGAAAGCTAGCCTGCCTATCCTGCCCTCCTTAAGTAGCCCCCATTTCCACATTCCCCCATGGAATCCCCATTTCTATGGCTGAGCAGCAGATCTCTGGGGCAGGAAGGCGGGTAGGCATGTGTAAGTTGTGATGGAGCCCCCAGCCCCCTAGGCCTCATCCACCTCAGCTCGGTCTCCAGCTCCAGCGACTCATAGGAACACCACAGATGCACGAAAAGCAGCCGGGTCACTCCTTATGGAAGGCGTGCCAGCCGGGCACAGCAGGTCCCATCCGTCCTTCTAGGGCGGCCAGTAAAGAGCCTTTCTGGTAATAAATGTAATGAACATGTGATCATTCTGCTGACTGCAGCCTGCTAACAAGCTTACGATTAGGATCACCGAGATTCTCCAAGTGCCCGAGTGTCTCAGCCTATTACATGGAGGTGACACGCTCTCATACCACCCTGGGAAATGCAGGATGGCTCCTGGCAGCACAGGTGGCAGTGGGCACCAGTGGGCAAGGTTAGAAAGGCATTGAGACCCAGAGCCCAGAGTGGAGACCAGGACCCTGTGTTTGTCCAGAACAACAGTGTTTCCAAAGGGCTTCCACCCTCTATTCACGTGAACCTTCCATTGACTAAAATGTAGGCTTCTTATTCCTGTTTCTCAGCTGAGGACAGGGAAGCCTGGGGGAGAGGACAGGCATGACCACAGCCACCGGTCAGCAGCCGAGGCCAGCCCTGAACCCTGGCTCCTGACTACTCCCACAGGTGGCTAGACAAGGATGCCGCCCTGCCCCAGGAGCCCAGTAGGTTATAAAATACCCAAAGGAGCTCTAGACATGGATCAGCCTGTATGTGAGTCAGACTCTCCCTACCCAGCTCACATCCCCGGGACTCAAAACACGTGACGTTTATTTCACAGGCCATCTCTTTGGTTTTTGGTGGTGGTTTGTTTTTGGAGACAGGGTCTCACTCTGTCACCCAGGCTGGAGTGCAGTGGCGTGATCAGGGCTCAGTGCAGCTTGGACCTCTCAGGCTCAAGTGATTCTCCTTTTTTTTTTTAAGTTGTGGTAAAATACACACAACATAAAATGTACTATCTTAGCCATTTTTAAGTGTACAGTTGTGTTAAGTACATTCACATTGTTGTACAACTATCACTACTATCTCTAGAACTTTTTCATCTTTCTGAACTGAAACTCTGCATAAAACTTCCCTGTTCCCCGATAGCATATGTGATACTAACATAGGCATGAAAAGCACTTGTACATGGGGTGGGGGCTGCCCTCTCTTGCTGCCAGGATCACCTGTGCTACCACTGAACCTGGCTGGGTTAGTAACTCTGCAGATCCGAGACCATATGGAAAGAGGCCCGCATCATCCTAGCTGTGTAAGGTGAGACCCCAACATGAAGGAAAGGCCACCTAAGACTATTCAGCCTCAGATGGGCTCTCCAGACCACAAGAACTGTAAGAAATAAGACGTATTTGTTGTTTTATGTCATTAAGTTTTGGGGTAGTTTGTTATACAATACAAATGGATTCAAAGAGTCTCCCCATATTTTTAGATGAGAAGCCCCAATATTATCAATAGCACCTCTCCCCTCTCCTTCAATAATTCTAATAAAAATACAAATAGGAAAAAAAAAAAAACAAAAAAACTTCCCTGTTCCCCTACTCCCCAGCCCCGGGCAACCCCCATTCTGCTTTCTGTCTCCTCTGAATTTGACTCCTCTAGCTCCCTCATATACATGGAATTCCACAGTATGTCTTTTTGTGACTGGCATATTTCACTTAATGTCTTCAAGCTTCCTCCAGGAGGTGGCATGCGTCAGAATACCCTTTCTTTTTAAGGCTGCACACTATTCCACTCTACGTACATGCCATATTTTGTTGCTTTTGTTTCTTTAGCTGTCAAATAATACACATCTGGGAACATGACAAGCACACCCCACAAAGACACCTCGTTATGCTCCAGCCTGTTGTATCAGCAGCTTCCAGCGCTGACCCTGTGCTCCTCTACAGAACTGCAAAAGGAACGTGACAGCAGAAGGACTTGCCCCAAGCATATGGCTTGGCCATTCTTTCTCCTGCCCAACCCAGCTGATCCCAGTGGCCATGATGCCATTATAAAGACAGAAAGCTAACAGAGAGCTTGTCCTGGGTCACCTGATGGCAAGAGAGCTAGACTTGCCCGCCTGCCCTCCACCCAAAGAGATATACGCTCTAAACACCAAGCGCCACCAACTTCCCAAGTAACCTCCTGATTCTAGGAGATGACAGGAGACATACTCAGAGTGCCAGGAAAGCAGCATTTGCGTTTTAAGCACCAGGTACAGTGTCAATTTTCTAATGGATGTCAGGAGGAGTTTGCAGGGCCCCTCTAATGGGGCAGAGACGGATTGCAGGGTGCCTCTCTTTCACCATCTCACGTCATCAGGCTACTCATCCTGCAGGGTGGGGCCGTTATTCTACTTTACCCACTAGGAAACCCAAAGCAGTTAGGGACCTTACTTAAATTCACAGACCTTACTTGAATTCACTTTACCCACCAGGAAACCCAAAGC
The DNA here is from genome assembly GCF_000001405.40 of Homo sapiens. Classification (NCBI taxonomy): domain Eukaryota; kingdom Metazoa; phylum Chordata; class Mammalia; order Primates; family Hominidae; genus Homo; species Homo sapiens. The sequence goes on along the minus strand of NC_000008.11, from coordinate 10,419,388 downwards.
AGTTAGGGATCTTATTCAAATTCACATGCCTTACTCAAATTCACAAGGGTGAGGGGTAGGTCCGGGACAAGAATCCAGGTCTGGATTCCATGCCCCCTCCCACATCCATGCTGTTCCCGGAATTTGGGGCTGTGGGATAAGGAAGCCCCCAGGATGCCGAGTGTTCTGTCCTGCGACACGTGAGAGGTGCAAGGGATGATACAAATCCACAAGAACCTTGTATAGGAATTCTACAGAGCAGGGTCGGGAGGGAGTGGAGGGGGCTGGCTCTAGAGATGCTGATGCCTATGAACCTGTGGGCACATGCGTGGGAGGGAGGGGCCTGCATGTGCACCCTGTGTTTGTGCGCACAAGGATGCCGTATGTATGTATTCACCTCCCGCCTTAGTAGGACTGACCTATAGACATATTTTTGTTTTGTTTTGTTTTTGGAGACAGGGTCTCACTCTGTCACCCAGGCTGGAGTGCAGTGGCGTGATCATGGCTCACTGCAACTTTGACCTCTCAGGCTCAAGTGGTTCTCCCTGTTGGTGTTTTTTTTTTTTGTTGGTTTTTTTTTTTTTTTTTTTTTTTAGTCGTAGTAAAATACACATAACATAAAATGTACTATCTTAGCCATTTTTAAGTGTACAGTTAAGTACCTTCACTTTGTTGTACCACTATCACTACTATCTCTAGAAGTCCTTAGAAGAACTGACCTACAGACACTTTTTAGAAAAAAGTATTACTAGAAAGGAACCTGAACGTACAATAGTGTCTCTTGGGGACCATGGATTCCCTTGAGACTCCAGTGAATGCTTTGGACACTCTACCCAGATAAACTCACAATCAAATACTTGCTTATAATTTCAAAGGATCCTATGACCCTCTGGAGTCCATCCAACCATGATTACATCCTATGAACTGAGCTGCCCCTCCAGAGTCACCACTGCAACTGCCCATCCCCCAGCAGTCGCCAGGCACAGGGCTCCGGAAATGGGCAGGCAGATCCACTCAGCGGTGCATATTTCCAAGACAGATGACCCTCATTTCCATCACAGTTTGAAGGCCCTTGTGGCAAGGAGGAATGGCTGTGCTTGCTAAAGGGAAAGTCACAGGAAAGAAAGAGGGTACCTGCAGTTCAAACCTCATCAGACTGCAAGCCTCATTATGTCTTCTCCAAGCAATCCCCATCCCCTACACCCACCAAAGGAATTTAGCCTTAAGTGTTAGGTTTTCATGTAATTATTTGTAAAACGTATATGTGTATTTCATTTTGTGATCACTTTTTAAAGTATTGTGGTGGTATGAAATTAGTTTCCTAGAACAGAAATCTAATTTATGACCCTGAGCCCATCGGAAATTAGGGTCGGGCTTCTAAGAGGTCAACTTGAAGCTGCTGTCCGGGAGCCAGCACAGCTGCTTTAGGGGAAAACTCGCAGGCAGGACGCGGGCATGTGGATTCTAGACTCACTTCGCCCTCTAGCGGCAGCAGGACGCCTGTACAAGGCACTTCACTTGGTTCCTACCTTCCCCCTTCTGCACGGAGACCACTTCAATTCCCTCCACATCCACTCCATCAAATTCCATGCTATGCTTGTCCTGCGTGTGCACACGTGCGTGTACACAGACACACACACACACACACACACACAACATGCAGGTTTAATAAGCCCAGACAATGCCCCAGTCAGCTATTTTAGTCCATAGGGAGCACAGGTTGACCAAATAGATGTCAATCAAAACTTTAAAAAAAAAATGTGAAATGACTGGGATGGCTTTTAAATAAAGCCACTAGTAAGAAAACATCATCTATTCTGAGCTGGGCAGAGGCTCCTGCATCTCTGGCTGAGTGGTGCAGAGCAGATGCACCCCCACCTCCTGCGGTTCAGCCACAAGGAAGGGGGACGGCTGACTGGGCACTGACTGGCTGGGCTTACTAAGCCTACATGGAGTGTGCGTATGTGTGTGTGTGTGTGTGTGTGTGTGTCTTCTGACGAAGGGATGAGTGCTTCTCTTCAACACCAAAGAGGACCCCGGAGCAACAGGAGCTCCAGGCTCTGGGACAATGGAATTGCCCCTGTGAGTCATCAATCACTGCTGGCACATGCAAGGAGGACAAACCCAGGCCACCACAGTGTGACAATGACAAGGAGCGCGTTCAAAGGGGCTGAAGCCTTTACAAGCCCCCATCGGAGCTCACTGACCCTCCCAGCTTTGTGAACTCATTGGGAGGGAAAGGAGAGAAAGAGGTGACACAATTAGATCTAACTTGGTCCATTAAGAGACCTGCTTATGCAAATGCACGGCCTCTAGCTGGACGGATGGGGCTTCTTCGTACAGCTGCAGCGCTCCTGTGTTCCGTCCTTTCCCATACTCTGCAGGTTTGTCACACAGCTAATGGCTTTCATTATCTATTCCTCTGTGTCCTCTGCACCCTCGAGGTAAATCACAGTGTCTTCAGACTGCTAAGGATATTTCTCTTGGTTTGCAATGCAGAACGACAGAGCTACAAGCTGAGTTGTGTCTCTGCAGAGGACGGGGAGGATGGAGAAGGAGAGGAAGGAATGAGTTTGTTTCAGCTTGTTGGCTCCACAGCTCTGCCCTTGCTCCTCAGACAGCCTGCAAAGTTTGCAAGAAATGCAAAGTCTGGGCCCTTCCCCAGACGTACCGAATCCCATGTGAGGTTAGAGTGTAAGCAGCTCTGCTCTTGCAGGCAAGTGTGGTCAACGGCACAAGTGCTCTCCAACTCCCTCACCCTCCTTTTGAAGTCAGGTCACCCACGGGACCTGCTTTGGCCAGTAAGCTGTGAGTGAAAGTCACATGGGTGGTCTCCAGGCAGACGCTATAAAGCACTAGCGGAAGCGTCCCTACTTGTCCACCCTTTGCCACAGTAACCAGCCATGCTCCAGCCAGTGATGGCTCCAACACCCTGGGCCCTCACATAAGGACACTGACAAACCCACGCTGGGAGCACCACGGCCCGATGGAATCGTTTATTTCCTGCGTTGGTTTTCCTGGGCTTTCCCGGGCATGGGGTGTGATACCGAAGGGTTGGGAAGTCAGCACAGTTCAGCCGAAGCGAGCAGATTTCTCTGTGAAGAAGTTTTTAAACTCTCCAACTTCACTTCATGAATGAATCTCGACAATTGTTATTGCGCACTGGCTGTGTGTCAAGGACCGGGCTAGGCACGAGGAACACAGGGATGAACAGCACAAGCCCTGCCCGCGAGGTGCTCTCAGAAGAGTGTACGGGCAATTCCCACGACGTGTCTGCAGTGCCCAGCGTGAGCAGGTGCCGTGCCAGGTGCTGGGGAAGCAGGCTCAGGCAGGAGAAGTTCCCTCACACCAACAGCCACACCCCAGGGAGTGACGAGGACTCCTGTCCCCCACCCAGAGGGTCAGAATTCCCTTGGAGGAGAGAGGACACACGGGACTGTGAATATCCACCACGCGAGGCAGAGGGGATGTGCGGAAATGGAGGTGCAAACAGTCCTTTGAGGGCATGGAGGAAGGAAAGGTTAATCCTGCTGGGAAATTGCAGGAGGAGGTGGGCACTGAACTGGGAATTTGACAGTAGGCAGGAGTAGGGTGTGAAGGGCATGCTCCAAGCAGAAGAAACTCCGTGACCAAACACATGGAGGCTGGGGGTTGGGGGTAATGAGGTGTATCTGAGGGTGCTGACAGGTCCGGAGGAGAGTGCAGGGAGGGCAAGTCAGGTGAAATCAAGGATAAACTGGAAAGGTGGGCTAGGCCAGGGTGAGGGCGACCCAGCAGATGGGACCCTGGGGCTCAACCACAGGAAAAGATGGAAGCAGAGGTGGATGGAGAGGCTGCTGGAGGCATCAAGCTGTGGCCTATTTCTGCGTACTCGTCTCTGGGGACCCAGCTGCACACCCCCTGATTTTCCATCGCCTGCAATCACAGTGGTACAAGGGGCCACTTCAGGAGACTGAAGGAACCACGTGAACCCAGGCAAAGACAGCAGGTGCCTCTGAGGCTCACCTGCTTGCATGCAGCAAGGTCTGTAAGGCTGAGCTCAAGTGGGAACCCAGAGGAAGTGGGTGGCCGTCATTTGTTTTCCCATTACTTCCTTGTCGTCCTTCACCTCCCCACACCTCACAAATTCCAAGCATAACTTCCTAGATGCAAGGGGAATGGGTCCTTCCTTCTCTACCGCACATCGTGAATGGTGGGGACCCACCAGGCTGGACAGGGCTGGCTGCAGGTCTAAGCTGCACCCTCCTGGGGCCAGAGCATGAAACTCAGGGTCCTATAGTTGAAATGTGCAACCACCCATTTGCTCTGGCTCAGACAGTGCACCCTCCACCCGCAGGATGGTTTCCCTCCATCATGCATTCAAGGACTGCTGCTTCCTCTTGATTTGGGCTTTCCTTTGAGGTCTGCTGGCTTTTAAAAATAATTCAAGTGACTTTTCCTCTACGAGTTTTCTTTTCATGGCTTTCAGTTTCGGGAGACATGGATCTTCTCCTTCTCTTTCCCTGTCCCTGTCTTTGTATAGATCTCTGAGGGGTTATAATCTGCTTTTTCATATCTGCAATCAATTAACTACAACTTCTGATTTTTGTTATATGCTTAGCATTTAGTACACAAAGAAAACCACTTTTCACTTTTCAGGGAAAGCCAAGGATAGCAGGTTTCACCTTGGGGATGAAATGCAGATTTTGTTAAAAGGAAAGAGCCTTCATTCCAAAAGGTTGAATAGAAAAGAACTTCAAGCATAGCAGCAGATGCTTAAGCTTAGAGCACTGAATTCAGTGGGCAATGGGACTCCTCTGAATGTCACCGCTTCTCATTCACAGAAGAACTGCAGCAATTCAGAGCCACTAGAAAGAATAGTCTCACTGCAGACGGTTGACAGAGTGGCCAAGTGTCTTGGCTGCCAGGGCTGGGGGTGTCTCAGGATGCAGAACTTTCAGTGCCAACGCTAGGAAAGTCCTGGCAAACTGAGATGGTGGGTCACACCGACTGCAGAATGGTTGGAGGCATTTGTTTCTGTTAAGTAAGAAGCACTGGATAGTTTGTTTCACTCATCTGGGTCTCAGTTTCTCCAGCCGTAAAATGAGGAAGTTAAGTCAGCAGGATGCCTCCTGTTTACTTACACATGTCTCTTGGGACTGTGTCTTCCAGAGCCTTTTCTAAACTGTGCTCTTGCCCATCCCCCCAGATAATCATTTTATATTGAGAGGTAGTTCACATAAAATTCGTTTTTTTTTTCTTCATAGACAGAGTCTCATTCTGCCACCCAGGCTGGAGTGCAGTGGCACGATCACGGCTCACTGCAGCCTCAAACTCCTAGGCTCAAGCGATCCTCTTGTCTCAACCTCGCAAGTAGCAGGGACTACAGGAGCACACCACCACACCTGGCTAGTTTTATTTTATTTTTTGTAGAGATGGGGTCTCGCTATGTTGCCTGGGTCTGTCTCAAACTCCTGGGCTCAAACAATCCTCCTGCCTCAGCCTCCCAAAGCACTATGATCGCAGGTATAAGTCACTGTGCCTGACCTATCCTTTCAAACTTTACAATTCAGTGGTTTTCAAAATATTTTCAAGGTTATGTAACCATCACCGTTTTTCCCCCATTTTAAATTCTGTTCCTCAGACTGGATAATATCAATTGACTTATCTTCCAGTTTCATTCTTTCTTCCGCCAACTCAGCCCTTCTGGCGATTTTTTAAAAAGTTATTGTATCTTTGAATTTCTACTTAGTTCTTTTTTTTTTTTTTAATATCTCTCTCCTTACTGATATTCTTTATTTGTTGAGGCATTACTCTAACATTTTCTTTTAATTTTTTCAGTTTCCTTTAGTTCTTGGTGCACCTTTATAACAGCAGATTTAAAGTCTTTGTTTAGTAACGGATACCGTCATGTTTCTTTGTTACATATTTTTTTCTTGAAAATCAGACAATTTAAAAAATAATGTGGCAACTCTGGAAATCAGATGTCCTGCCCCACAGTGTGGTGTTGCTTCTGCTGCTGCTGTTCCTTTGTTCAGTGACTTTCTTGGACTAATTCTGTAAAGTCTGTCTTCTCTTTCAGGTGTGGCCATTGAAGTCTCAGTGTGGTTAGCTAATTATCACCGAATGGTTAGGCACCGAATTCCTTACAGGCCTGGAAGCACCAGACTCCTACCTTTGCTGAGGGCTGTGTGTGCGCTAGAGCACAGGAAGCTTCAGGGACCCCACGGTTCTCCACTCGGCCTTCTCTTCTTCTCTTCCCTTGTGCAGGGCCTCATGGCAGCCACAGGCGAGATCAGGGCCTTCCTGGGCATACGCATTCCTCAGTGTGGTGTTTCCATTTCCCAACTGAAGGCCACTTAGGTTGTTTCCTGTTTCTGGCTATTATGAACAAAGCTGCTGTAAACATTTGGGAATGGGTTTTTGTGTCGTCTTATTTCTCGTAGGTAAAAATCTAGGACTGGGATTGCTGGCTCACAGTAGGTGGAAGTATATTAAATGATGGGAAATTTCCAATGGTTTTCCAAACTGATCATGCCACTTTGTGCTCCCCACCTCAGTCCCCTGCAATGCATGAGAGTTCCCATTGCTCTGTGTCATTCCCAGGACTTGGTATTGTCACGATTCTTTGATTTGCTCATTCTAACTGCTGTAGAGTAGCATCACAACGTGGCTGTCATCTGCATTTCTCCAATGACTAATGATGCTGGGCACCTTTTAACGTTCCTATTTGCCTTCTGTATACAAAGGCATCCTGTAGGTGAAGGGACTTCTTTGGTGAAGTGTCTGTTCTAATCTCGTGTCCATTTTTTAATCAGGTGATTTGCTTGTATTGTTGAATTTTGAGGGTTCTCTAAATATTCCAAAGTTATGCTTTGGCTTCAAACGCGTAACCCCTGTCCCATGATTCTGGTATGCTCCCGTTGAGCATCTTCGTTCTATACCTGGAACATCATGTTCGATAGTTTATATCACATGTAATATCTCTGCAGGTCCACATTCATTCCCATGTAGCTCTGAAAGCAACTTTTTCAGTTGGTTCAGCACACATTTACTGTGTCCCTATTCGGGCATTACACAAAGTACCAGGGAACCAGAACTGACAAGCCTGTGGCCCTTGTAATTGAGGAACTTTTAATTTAAAGAAACGTGGTTCAAATTTGGATTAAATTAAGAAACACTTAAGAACGACTAGCTGCAATACATCAGATTTTTTCATATACAATTATTTGTTCAGACTAAAAACGGAAACATTTTCCTTATGACTGTATAGGGGCTATTCACTATCATTCATCAATCCCTTCTTTATGAATGGCGAAAAAAATGTTAATACGGCCCTTGCCTAAAGTATCATATATTCTAAAAGAATGCAGTTTGCATCAGAAGATTTCTGCTGTAATTTTAAATGAGTACTCCTGTATTCTGAGTTTATGAAATGTGATAAAAACCAAGTTCAAGGACAAAGTAAAACCACTCTGTGGACGACACACACCCTTTCCCTTCCCAGGGGCGGTGTCCACAGAACAGGGCTGTTCGCCACCCCTGGGAAAGTTTTGCTTAACTGGAATATGACTACCTAGCTAGGAGCTGCTGGCAGAATCTTCCTGAACACAGAGAAAATTAACTTTCAACAGCAGCTTAAAAAGCAATTGTAATTTCTTAAAATCCTCTTACGCCATGTTTAAAAAATGAGACTTAGCAACTTTATTTTTTTTATTCACTGATTAAGACAATAAAGGTTGTGCTCATTTCAATATTAAGAAATTAAAAGCTCCCTTGAGACTTTCTCTTGCCCTAGGGCAGGTTACATCTGTCAGCTGCAAACAGGCTGACCAGCTTGCAAGCAGAAATTCTCCCTTGGGCTGCAATATGTCTAACCTCACACTATATTGGCTGAAGCTAAGAATTCAATGATTGGGTTTTTTTTTTTTATTATTATATTCAAAGGAAACTAAAAATAAGACTAAAAAATAAAATAAGGGCTATATGAGCAAATGCACTCCAGATACAGTTGGCTGTGATGCGTTAGCTCCCAGCTCCACATGGTTAAGAATACGCAGTGAAGCTCAAGACAGAGAGAAAAGAAGCTTTTGTCAGTTTCCTTTAAAGCTTAAAAACGACACGGTGTGAACACACAGAGGACGGCCCACAAAAGGCTGTTTTCCTGTGATACTGTCAGCGTGACGTCTCAAAGCTGCAGGTGATAGCATGCCTGGCATTCTAGCAGTTTCAGCAACAGCATCTCAACTTCCAAGCAGGCGTCTTCGGAGGACTCTGGCCTCTTCGGTTCTTCTAATTGCCAAGAGAATAACAAAGAGGAAAAGTAAAACCTGAGTGGAGGTCAGATGGAGGGGTCTCATTCGGGCTGTTTAAGCTGCTTAGCAATGAAGTACAGTCAGGATTTTTTTTTTGAAAGGAGGAAGGAAAGACGAGAAGGAGGGAGGGAGAAAGGAAAAATGGGTGTGGGGGAGGAGAATTCAAAATAGGCCATAGGTGTTCTTTGCCAAAGCATAATTTTCCTTTTTGTCAGGCTCAGAACCAGTGGAAGAACTGGAACTCCCTCAAGAACATAAGCTAATTATACAATTTAAATTTGCATATAATTGGCATGCTTTCCAGTTCAGACAATAAAAATCCATGTTAACTGGAGTTACAAAAATGGCACTCTACACTGAAAGCAGCACTGTGCATCTCTAAGTATCAAACACTCCTTAAAATATCTCCAGGAGTTCTCCAGGAGATCATGTTTGCATAGAGGTTGGGGACAAGAGGGGCCTGGGCTCTTCTCCTGGTTCTGCCAAACAGCATGACCTTCAGGAGCTGACCTTGAGGCTTGGCCTTCTCTTCTGTAAGAGGGGGATAAGATATCTACCTCTCAGTGCTGTTTTGAGGAAGAGGTGAAATCATGTATTTGAGATAATACATCACATGGATTCTATTTCAGGAGCACTGCTCTAAACTGTGTTGGTTATTTTTGCGATGTGACGGAATGTCACACTGTGGGAATTATGAGGTGATGGGGGTTATGCCCAAAGAAGTAGGAGCGTCAAGGGCCTGGCCACTTGCATCCTGTTCCACCCTTTCCTGTCCTCCACCGGCACCCCCCAAACAAGTGACTTGGGTTTTTCACAGGCCACCCAGATTTTTGGTCCTTGGAAGACCTAGCCTGTTGGCAGACTTTCCATACGAGAGTGTTGGTGGCTCCTGGCCAAGCGTCCCCGCCACACATGCATACTCCATGTCACAATGTCACAAACCCACAGCAACGGATGGGACCATGGGAAGACCACTATGGGAAGATCCTGGACCCAGGCTCGGAGGATCATCTTTTTCCTTTGACTTGCTCTACGAAGAAATATCTTTAAAAATAATAGACAAGGTCTTGCTCTGTAACCCAGGGGGGAGTGCAGTGGCACCACGATAGCTCACTGCTGCCTCAAACTCCTGGGCTCCAGCGATCCTCCTGCCTCAGCCTCCCAAGTAGCTGGGACTAGAGACACGTGCCACCCATGCCAGGCTAATTCTTTTTATTTTCTGTAGAGACAGGGTCTATGTTGCCCAGGCTGGTCTCGAACTCCTAGCCTTAAGTGATCCTCCCACCTCAGCCTTCCAAAGTACTGACATTACAGGCATGGGCCGCTGTGCCCAGCTTCTATGAAGAAATATCTTGATTGAGTCTATTAAATCAACCCAAGTGAAAGTCCTGTGTTTCTGGGAGACAAGGACAAGCACGTGCATGTTGGTGGGGCGAGGAGGGCCTAGGGGTGATGCTGCGTATGCATTCACCCTGTACCAGGCTCCCCTGCATGCTCTACACATGCTGTCTGATGTTATCCTCATCACGTCCTCTCTAGAGATCACAGTAGTATCTGCTGCATTTGGTAAGAAGGGTGCTTAGCAAAGGAGAGGAGAGGCAGTATTTCAACCCAGGCAGTCTGACTCTGGAGCCATGGTTCTCAACCACTCACCAAATCTGCCATCTTAACTAAAAAGAATTCCATGTCCCCGTGTGACAAGAGACCTTACATGATCTCCTTTCTCATGAGGGGAGAGATGAACTTCATTTAAAAACAAACGGCCCACAAGCATATGAAAAAGTGCTCATCATCACTAGTCATCGGAGAAATGCAAATCAAAGGCACAATGAGATATCATCTTACACCAGTCAGAATGGCTACTATTAAAAAGTCAAAAAAATAACAGATGTTGGCAAGGGTGCAGAAAAAAGGGAATGCTTACACACTGTTGGTGAGAATGTAAATGAGCACAACCTCTACGGAAAACAGTATGGAGATTTCTCAAAGAACTAAAAATAGAACTGCCATTCAATCCAGCAATCCCACTGCTGGGCATCTGCCCAAAGGAAAATAAATCATTACATGAAAAAGACACCTGCACTCAGATGTGTATTACAGCACTACACACTGCAGCAAGGATATGGAATCAACCTAAACATCCTTCAACAGATGAACGGAAAAAGAAAATGTGGCGTATATGTACCATGGAATACTACTCAGCCATTAAAAAGAAGACAATCATGTCTTTTGCAGCAATGTGGAGAGAACTGGAGGCCATTATGCTAAGTGAAATAACTCAGACACAGAAGGTCAACTACTGCATGTTCTATCTTACGGATGGGAGCTAAATATGCAAGAACATAATAGTTACTGGAGACTTGGAAGGGTGGGAGGGTGGGGGAGTGAGGGATGAGAAATTACCTAATGGGTACAAGGTACATTATTTGGGTGATATTAACACTAAAAAAGCTCAGACTTCGCCACTACACAATGTATGCATGCAACAGAACTGTACTTGTGCCCCTTACATTTAAACAAATTAAATTAAAACCTGGATTTTTTTATTACCTACTCCTCTATTACTTATTTATTTAGAAATACGGTGTTGCTCTGTTGCCCAGGCTGGATTGTAGTGGTATGCTCACAGCTCACTGCAGGCTTGATTCTGGGTTCCAGCGATCCCTCTGCCTCAGCCTCTTGGGTAGCTGGGGCTACAGGTATGTGCCACCATGCCTGGCTAATTTTTTAAAAAAAATTTTGGTAGAGACAGGGTTTCACCGCATTGCCCAGGGTGGTCTTAAACTCCTGGGCCGAAGTGATCTGCCCGTCTCAGCCTCCCGAAGTGCTGGGATTACAAGCATGAGCCACCACGCCCAGCCCATGTTCCTCTTTAAATGTCACTATGCAGATGTAAAGTCAGAGTGGTGCTAATGAATGATGCTGAGAAGCCCGATTTTTGCACATCTCGTCCCAGGGATGCGACCCTTTCTCCCTGGCCTCTGTTTCCAGACAGTGAGCCAGTTCTGTCTGTGGTGACACAGTTTTCCTGCTAGTGCTCCTGGTCTCGTGATTACTCTTGAAACAAAATTAGAATGTGGTGTCGAAGCTTGTCAATTTTTTAATAGAAATTCTAAGAAGTTTATACCTATTGGTTCTTCTTTGCAATCCTATTAACCTACTCAAAGATTCGGTGCATCTCCAGTGTAGCTTAAAGATTGATGTGATCCTTAATGAAATTCTCAGAATTGATACTTTATCAGGTTTCAGAATGTGATTACCAGGTAGAATAGGCATTACAATAAAAATGTAAGGAGCAAGCAAGAATTTTGATTAAAATGTAAGCTATCCTATACTTCAGGTGCTGGGGTGTTTAGACCAATGACAATTCCTGCTCTGTGCCTCACTCTGTGCCCCACCATTTCCTGGGATCCAGAGTCTTCTCTTCTCTTGCCTACAGAATCCTGCCACTCACAACCCCACCCCAGAAATTCAAACGCACCCCGTGCAAACCCGGAGACATTCTCCTTCCTTTCCCAAAGCGGTTGGTCTTCGCTGTCCCCTCTCTTGGCACACGGCATCATTTGCTACCTCTCCTCCAGGCTACACATTTCATTGCCATCATCAACTCTCCCCATCCAATGTCCATAGCAAGTCCTAATTGTAAAGCAAAGCTTGA